>NC_000024.10:24847739-25456230 GCF_000001405.40 Homo sapiens
ATTACATTATGTTGATGTGCACTTTTAAAAATCATCATTGAAGTTGATCATTGATCTTTAGCTTTTAAAATTACCTTTTTAATTTTATTTTTCTTACTGATTCATAAGAATACTTTGTATTAGTATTCACTTTTGTCATACACAGTGGAAAACATATGCAGGAGTAATAAGGAGGTGCCCTGGTGCCCTTACCTCATTCCTACTTTCAATTGAGTTGACTCAACTATTTCACTTGTAAGCTTGATGATAGGGTAGAATGAGATTGATAGAAAATAAGATTCCTCTACCTCTATTTTACTTGGGTTTTTAAAAAATTTAAATTATGAGTGCTGTATTTTATCAAATGATTTTCAGTGATGAACTAAAGTAATGTATCCTGCGAATGGAGTATTCTTGCATTCCCAATGTAAACTTAGACTCTTTATATACTGCTGGAATTTTGCATTTGTGTTGAGGGCAGGGATGGATCATCTGGATGAGGCTTTGTTACCTATATGCTTTTAGCTTTGTAAAACGCGTTGAGAAATACTTTCTTCCTCATTGAAAATAGAGTTTCTGCTTAGCATTCTTCTATTATCTGTGGCCGCAACCCATTTTTCAGGTCTCATGTATACTTTTGCTTTCTTGTGTTTTCTTGCTTTGTTTTGCCAGGATTGTTTATTGCTTGAATTTCATCCTCCCCACGCACCACTCCCCGAGAATCTGCTCTTTGATTTGCTTAAGGTTTTGATTCTGATTTTCCTGTCATATTTTCTTAATTTTATCACTCTCTTTATTTGCTCCTCTTCTATTGCTGTGAATGTAACTTTGCTGACTACAAATGATAGGCTTTTTCCTGGTCAGTTTATATAAGTATCAGTTTGCTTACAGGTTGACATAGTAATTGAATTAGATAATACTGGCAAAGGAGCTGACATGCCAGGAGTTTAAATAACGATAATTTTTTTGCAGCTTTTAGCTGTCGTTGTCACTTGGTTGTCCACATGTAACAAGGAATGTATTTGCCCTATGTAGCAGTGAGAGTTGCGTGTATGATGGTGTTGAAGCTCACCCCTGTTTACTATTGCAACATTTCTCATTTGAAAATTCAACAACTCACTTGAAGATACGGTTAAGAAAATTACTTCTTTAATGCAGTTTGTTTTCAGGATGCCATTGACGGTTACGATGGTACTTTCTTTCAAACTAAACTTTTGCTTATCCGAAGCATTCATTTATATTTTTGGCCGTAGTTTAAAACTAACCAAAGATTGTCTGTTGATTGTGGATTTTTATATATACATTATATAATTATGTATAAGTACACAGTCGGAATTGAACAATCCCTGCTACTCGAGCCATGGTAAAAGTGAAGTACGTTGCAGAAAACGAGGTACATTGCTTACCTTGTTAGCTTTGAGCGCCACCTGCTGGCTGAGGACTAGGACATGATCATTACTTCCTTCATTTAAAGTATTCTGACGCTGTTAGAGAGATTCAGTGAATTTTATATGTACGATTCCAGTTAAGCAGGCAGCCGGTTTGTAAGATCCAAGCTAAAGTCAAACTTCTTAATAATATCAAATGCCTTTTTTCTTCTTTACCAAACTACGGTTATTTCGAGTATCCAAATGAGTATGAGAATCAGAAGAGACACCCGAGGTCTTTTCCGGCCATTCGTTTTCAAGCAAGGAAACTGAAACCGAGGTCATGAAAAGATTCACTTTAGTGAGCGATGGAAATCAGGTTCTTCCCAAAGAAGAATTTTCCTCTTCAATTCTTGTGGCACGGTGACAAGGTTTCTTAACCAGACCCTTTTCAAATTGTGCACCAAATACTTCCTTATGGTAGGAGGCTGTCTTTACACTGTAGGATGCGCAGTAGTGTGCCTGGCCTTCGGCCCATCAGATTCCAGGAATACATCTCAGTTGTGACAGCCAATCTCTAAACGTCGCTAAATGCCCCTGGGGCTCAAAAATCTTGCCCAGTTGAGAATCAGTGCATTTCCGTAACCTCTCGTAGTCTGACACAGTTTTCTGCCAGATGTTACATTTCTAAATTAAAATACATCCAAACACTATGGTGCAGAGACGATACTGTAATATAGCTTGTTTATCAAGGAAACACATACCCAAAGTTCATCCACAAATCAAGGAGGAATTGGAAAGGAGAAAAAGAAACTACAAGAATTTCAGAATTTGTTTTGTTTTGTTTTATTCTGTTTGGGATTTCTGAATGAACTGAGAAGGAATTGGTAAATTGTCTATAGGGAAGGGATATCTAATCAGGTTCCCAGTAGTTCAAGGTAGTGCAGCTTAATGTCATTTGGAAAAAGCAATAATGTGAGACATTTTTGAAAGGAAGAACTTTAAAAATAGTGTTTTAAATTTTTCTTTCACATCATTGTCATGAAATAACGCTGTTAAAGGAAAGAATTAGGAATTAGTTACAGACCCAAAATAGCAAGTACAAGCACGAAAGAATAGAGAAATGCAGTAACCTCGGCTTTAGTTGATTTGACAATTTAGATTTGATCTCTAGTAAAGCTGTGTAGAATCAGTAACTTCTAGGCTCTAATTAACAAAGCAGGAACCCTCCTTTCTTATTAACTTCTATAACATTACTGTGTTCAAAAAGATAACGCAGTTTCTTTTGTCTTTTGTTTTCTTTCAGACAGGTATATGTGTAATAGCTTTCTCTTTTGCAGCATTTTGTACTGACATTTGTGAAGTCAACAGCACTTCACCAATGATTTTTAAATTAATGATGTGTCATAGTTTCCTGATGTGTCAATTAGTTCTTAATTAAAATTTTTTCAAAATAAGTCAGCTAAATAGTGAAGCCAAAAAAGAAACTTGAAAACAAATCGGCTGAAAATAAATTCAAATAACAGGACACTAACTTACATTGGCACACCACTTGTACCACTTTATACGTACAAAATGAATTCACAGATGTGATCTCATGTCATTCTCAAAGCACTTTGCCCACAGATACATAGCTGGCAAGTAGGTGGCTTATAACCACTTACCTGTAAGGGACATAAACCTAGATCTCCTGACTGAATTAATTTTTGTTTCACTATGCTATATTGTTTCTCCAACGTATATATTACTTATGAATACTACTTCAGAAAATTTTACATTAACCTTAGAGTCTGCTGTGGAAAGAATAAAGACAGTTCTGATCAGAATCTAGAAAATTAGTGAGTTATATGTATGTGTTTTTTTATCTGAAAATAAAGATGGTATCATTTATATCTATCAGCCCACTGTGAAAATCAGAATTATCAGTCAGACTGATTCCGTGTTACTCAGGAAGAAAAATGTTATTTCAAAAGATGCTTTGAACACCCTAGCGTTAGGGAAGAGGATTGTAACAAATTGGTTTAAAACGTTGAGGCTTATTTTCTTTTTGGTGGGGCTTTTTTTTTTTTTTTTTTTTTTTAAGATTTATCTTTAGTCTACTCAGTAAAGTGAAAAGTTGTTTATGAATATAGAACAGGATGATTTTAATAACTTTAATTTTTACAAATCTAAACTCTCTAGTTTTGGGTGTCTTTTTTAACTACTTCACGTAGTACTTTCACAAATACTAAATGGGTATTCTTCCACAGCATTATACAAGACTCGGTGATGAGCGGCACTAGGTTTAAGAAAGTACTGTATCCTTCGGTTAAAATTCCATGCTGATGTACTCTGATAAGTTTAAATCCTGAGCCTGAACTGAGCTGCACTGGTGACTGAATTACAATGAAAGTAATTTATGTAAAATATACTTAAAATACAAAAATGGTATTTCACATTATGTATGGGTTTTGCCTGCATACGTAATTATGATGTCTACTTTCCAAATTACAGTCTGCTGCAAATCCTGAGACTCCAAACTCAACCATCTCCAGAGAGGCCAGCACCCAGTCTTCATCAGCTGCAGCTAGCCAAGGCTGGGTGTTACCAGAAGGCAAAATCGTGCCAAACACTGTTTTTGTTGGTGGAATTGATGCTAGGGTATTGTATTTGTACCTCATTTTTACCTTAACATACATCATGAACAATGGGATGTGGGCCCTGTTACAAACTTAAATTTTTTTTTGTACTTCCTGGAGGTTTAGAATTGCTTTTAGGTTTGACCCATAGGTACTAAAAATATCTTTGACAAAGGGCTGCTGGTCATTCGGGGATAAATGGGGGAGAAATTTCCACCTCATGGTAGTAAAATTGTAGTAAAGTTGAAATTTTTGAATGCTGAATTTTTACTCTGACGTTCAGTTCTTTTCCATAGATGGATGAAACTGAGATTGGAAGCTGCTTTGGTAGATACGGTTCAGTGAAAGAAGTGAAGATAATCACGAATCGAACTGGTGTGTCCAAAGGGTGAGTAATTTTATCAAAAATATGTGAACTCCAGTCACCTATTCTATAAGTATCAGACAAGACTTCAAAACTGATATTCTGACCCTTGTATAAATGCAATATTCTGCAGTGTTAATTTCTTTCACGTAGGGGATAAAAGGCTATTACCAGTTCTTCTATTTGACCATTTTTCTAATGTTTGTATTTAAATGTCTCCAGTTTCTATTTCATACAGATGAGTTAATCAGTTTTCTCAAATAATTGTTTTCTTCATACACTGCAGAGCATCTTAAATTTTAACCACCTTGTCTTAGACAGTAAGTTAAACTCAGGTTCACAGATATGAATTCTTTGCTAATCAATAAAGTTGTCACACTGCCCTAATCCTAGCACATTTTGACATAGTTCTGCTTAAGAAAAAGTGGTATTTGTAGAGGATCTGTCATGTACATCTTAGCAAATACTTATCATGGTATATTATTCGTCTTTTGTCATGATCACTTCTGTATATAGAATAGTAGACCTTCTGAACCACGTACTGTATGATGGTGATTTTATGCTTCATTTGTCTGCCTTTATAGCTATGGATTTGTTTCGTTTGTTAATGACGTGGATGTCCAGAAGATAGTAGGAGTAAGTAATCTAATAGAAAAATCTCTTATTTATCTTATTGCTACAACGTTTAGTGTCAGTGATACACTCGGACTTGTGTAAAATTTGGGGAAAGACACACTTCCTGTTCAAAATCCAAACTCAGAGTAACCTCACGTAGCTTGTTTGATCCTGTTTATTTTTGACTGGACACCTAGTTTCATGAACTACAGACAGGAAGGGTTGGAGACAGGGTGATGGAAAGTTTTTGATCAACTTTCACTTGATGCCTCTTGACACTGATTAGAGTAGTAAGGGTAAGTAAGGTAGCTTCGTGATGACAAATTTTAATTTGGTGCGTAGTTGTCCCCGATCTTCTATGATGATAGGTACTTTAGAAGACTTCAGGTGTTTACCCAAGTCTTGGAAGCTAACACTTGAAAATTGATTCTAGTTTTGTTAACGGTTCTATTTTCAGTCACAGATACATTTCCATGGTAAAAAGCTGAAGCTGGGCCCTGCAATCAGGAAACAAAAGTTATGTGAGTAGGAAAAGAAATGGTTCTTTTCTGACCCGTGTAGCTTTTCAAATAACTAAAAATAGGCTTTTTTCTTCTTGCTTTTTAAAAAGGTGCTCGTCATGTGCAGCCACGTCCTTTGGTAGTTAATCCTCCTCCTCCACCACAGTTTCAGAACGTCTGGCGGAATCCAAACACTGAAACCTACCTGCAGCCCCAAATCACGCCGAATCCTGTAACTCAGCACGTTCAGGTAAGAACTGCTTATGTTCCTGTTCTCTTGTTTATTCTAGTCATCCTTCCCTCTGTGGAATTGTATCTACACTTTCCATAGTAAGTGGCAATAGAATCCCTGTTTGAACAGTGTGAGTAACGGGAAATCTGTTACTTTTGTTAGAAATTTCTTATTCTTCGTGTTCGTCATTTGAGCTAAGAATCTTCTGTATACTTGGCGAAGCTTTCTCTTAGAAATGACCTCTGTAGACACATGAACAAATCTCTTCCTATCTCTGCCTCTTTCACCTCATATAACTAGTTCCTAAAGTATTTGGAAGCAGCCCTCCTTATGTGTCTGCCTAGTTTATTGTTCTCTAAGGTTAGCAGTTAACCTAGCTATTCTTTACTTGCAGTGATTTCCAGATGCCTCCTCATATAAATTGCTTGACTTCTGGGTATATTCTGGTTCTGGGATGGGTAGATTTCTGATCTCTTTTGCTCTATCTAGAAATCCCGTGAGTTTCTGGCACGTAATTTCTCTGATGCTGGTTGCTTTGATATTTAAAGTAGGATTTGACATACTCTTGTCACTTACTGGTGATAAATAACGTTTAGTTTGTTCTTCGTTCATTTTATTTATGTGTTAGTTTTTAAAAAGAGGTTTTCTTCGATGGAAAATAAAGTAACCAAATAGTAGTGAATTAGTTCTTCAGTGTCTCTCATTTGTTGACATTTTCCATGTACTTGAAACGTGTGGGGTACACCTCTTCTTCTTTTTCCTTCTCTGAGCAATGGCTAGAAGAAAAGCCCTACTTGTTTGTAGCATTTACTGTGAGCCATTACTGAATGTGGGTGTATTGATGAATGATGCTACCTGTATGTTTTTAATCAGTAAGTATTTATTGAAAAGTAGAAGACATTATACTGTCTCTTTTCCAGCTGTGGCTTACTTACTGCCCTTAATTTGTGGAAAAGAAGTACAGAGAAAGCCGTAACATCTGCCGAAGAACTACAGTATTACCCTATAATATCATCAGATAGCAAACAGTCTAGAAGTATTTTGCCAAAGAAAGAGCAAATGTATTATTTTAACTTACGTTGAAATCTATCTTAATAGAGCCTTATCAGCAGCGTAAGAAATAACTTCTGGGTGGGCATAAGTACACAGTATAAATATGGTAGACTTTGGCCGGTGCAACAGTCACTTGTTTTGTCATTTGTCTCTTCCCCCTCCCCGCCCAAAGGGTAGCACTTGACAGAGAATATTTGTTTCTTCATGTCAGTCATTCATTTAGAAATCTGTATTTCTGTATGTAGAAAAATAATTACCATTTCAAGGTTTTTCGTATTTTTGTTATTTTGGGAATGATATTTCTTTCTAGTTAAAGAAAATGTTTTACCGTATTAATCCATTCTTTCTGTAAACTTTATTTTCAGGCTTACTCTGCTTATCCACATTCACCAGGTCAGGTCATCACTGGATGTCAGTTGCTTGTATATAATTATCAGGTAATTGAAGAGGGAGTAAGATGATTTACTTTCAGCTACTATTGAGGCCTCCACTTGCTTATACAAATTGCTTGAATAGGTTGTCCTTTTAAACTAGTGAACTGTACCTAAAATTTAAGAAATCACTTAGAATTAGTGTAATGAGGACCTCTGTTTTATTTAGAAGTGATGAAATAAGATTTTGACAGGAGGGTACTTAGCAATAACTTTTCCGTAGAACAATTTCTGAGATTTGGTGTTCCCTTCTTTGTTTCAGCATGTATTTTGTTATCTTTGCTGTCAAAGAGCTGAAACATCCAGACTGACTTTCCTGAATCTTGTAGAGATACAGAGTGAAATAAAAGCTTTACCGAATTCTTAGAGCACAGAATTTCAGTTGTATTTTTATTTTAGCTTGCTGCTTCATGATAGCAGTTCTCTGGGTCTCTTTTCAATGGTACAACTATTATCTGTGACCCATAATTGTATCTGTGGTAACAAATTCAAAGAATTAATATCTTTGAGGGTTCCACAATTCTGTTTCCATAAAATTGGGAAAAAGGTGAGGTTTTCTGTGTAGAAGTAACAACAAGAACTTTGGGGATTAGAAACCTAAAGTACTTCTTTTTTCTATTCTGTTTCTTTTATTATAACAAAGGAGCCATCATGATAAATACTCCAATATTATGTAACTCATGTGTTTTTGAAAACGTGTAGGAGTATTTAAATAATTTTGGTTACTTTTTTTTTTTTTTTTTTTTTTTTAATTTAAGATTCCACTGCACTGGCCTGTTGGGGCGCAAAGGAGTTATGTTGTTCCTCCGGTAAAGCGAATGAGTGAAACATATACCTGCTCTTCTTTCTTGATTTTTTGTGTGGCACATATGCCTATAAATATTTTTAATGATTCTTTATATTGATGTGTTAACGTTTTGTTACTTTCTTTTTAACCCAATTATAATCTCCCATGGGAGAAACAGTGCCTTTTTCTCTCTCAGGTTTTTGTATGCTTAAGCAATGGCTTCTCCAAATTATGACAAGTGTTCAGTTACTTGTCGATAGATTATTTAATCTAAGAAAGGTAGTCCTAATGTGGCTTTATCTAAGAAAGGTAGTATTAATTTGGCTTTAGAATAGCATGTATCTGATGAGAATCTGCATCTGGATGTACCAACCATAAAAAATTTCATAAAAGAAACAGAAATGTTTTGCTGTTAATTACTCTTAAATAAGAATAGGATTAAAAAGAGTATTACCTCTATAACACCTGAGCTGCTTTCCCCCATATAACTAAAATATTTAAAAGCAGTTCTTCTCATGTGTCTGCCTGCTTTATTCTTCTCTAAGTTTAGCAGTTAATCCAGGTATTCTTTATTTGAAATGATTTCCAGATGCCTCTGCATATTAAATTGCTGACTTCCAGATATATTCTGGTTCTGGAATGGGTAGATTTCTGATATGTTTTAGGTATCTGTAAATCCCGCAAGTTTCTGGCATGTAGTGTCTCTGATCCTTGTTAGTTTGCTATTTAAAGTAGATTTGACATATTCTGTCACTTACTGGTGGTAAATAACGTTTATTTTCTTCTTAGTTCATTTTATTTATATCTTAGTTTAAAAGACATTTTCTTTGATGGAAAATAAAGTAACAGAATAGTAGTGAAGTAGTTATATTCAGTGTTTCTCATTTGTTGACATTTTCCCTGTACTTGAAACATGTACGGTATACCTCATCTTCTTTTTCCTTCTGTGAACAATGGCTGGAATAAAAGCCCTACTTCTATCATTTACTGTGAGCCATTACTGAATCTGGGTGTATTGATGCATGCTGCTTACCTATATGTGTTGAAACAATAAGTATTTATTGAAACATATGAGACATTATACTGTCTCTTTTCCAGTATTGGATTCTATACTGCACTTAGTTTTTCAACATGAAGTACAGAAAACGCCGTAAATTCTGCAGAACTACGTATTACCTTATAATATTGTCAAATACACATCAGTCTGGAAGCATTTTTACAGGGAAATAGCAAATGTATTAATTTAACTTACATTGAACTCTGTCTTAATGCAGCCTTATCACCAGTGCAAGAAATAACTTCTGGGTGGGCATAAGTACACAATATAAGTAAGGTTAACTTTGCCTGGTGTCATAGCCAGTTCTTTTGACATTTGTCTGTTCCCCCTCCACGCCCAACCATAGCACTTGACCGAGAATAATACGTTCTTCATAAATCAGTCAGTCACTTACAATTCTACATTGTTGCAGATAGAAAAATAATTAGTATTTCGAAATTTTTCATAGTTTTGTTATATTGGGACTAATTCTTCCTAATTAAAAATAATGTTTTAACGTATTAATTCATTCTTTCTGTATAATTTATTTTCAGGAATATCCTACTTATCCCGATTCAGCATTTCAGGTCACCACTGGATATCAGTTGCCTGTATATAATTATCAGGTAATGTAAGAGGGAGTAAAATGATTTGCTTTCAGGTATTATTGGGGCCTTTAACTTTTTTAGACAAATTTCCTGAACAGTTGGTCATTTTAAACTAGTGAAGTGTACCTAAAATTTAAGGAAACACTTAGAATTAGTGTAGAATGAAGACATCTGTCTTATTTAGAAGTAATGAAGTAGTATTTTGAGAGGAATATACCTGGCAATAACATTTCTGTAGAAGAGATTTCTGAGATGTGGTGTTCTCTCCTTTACTTCTGGATGTAGTTTTCATCTTTACTGTGAAATAGCTGAATGAAACATCCAAACTGACTTTCATGAATTTTCTTAGGGAGATAGAGTGAAATAAATTTCTGCTGCACTTTTCAGAGCACAGAATCCCAATTACATTTTCATTTTAGCTGGCTGTTTGAAGATAGTAATTCTCTGGATCTCTTTTCATAGATACAAGTATATCTATGACCCATAATTATATCTATGGTAATAAACTGAAAGAGGTAGTATCTTGGAGGTTTCCACATTGCCAACTCCTGAAAATTTGGAGAAAGATGAAGTTTCAAATATAAAAGTAAGAAGAATGTCATGGACTAGAAACATGATGTACTTAAGTTTTCCTTTCTGTTACTTTTATTATAATAAAAAAGGAGACAGCAGGATAAGGACTTCAATATTGTGTTTCTCATGAGTTTTTGAAAATGTGTAGGAATACTTTAATAGTTTTGGTGTCCTTTTTTTTTTTTTTTTTTTTTTTTTAAGATGCCACCATAGGGGCCTGTTGGGGAGCAAAGGGATTCCGTTCTTGACGTTAAGTGAATTAGCCAAACATAGACTTCCTGTTCATTCTTGATTTTTTTCCATGTCCTATATGCCTATAAATATTTTTAAGTGATTCTTTATATTAATTTTTTTGTCGTTGTTACTTTCTTGTTAACCCGATTATGAACTCCCATGGGAGCAAGAGTGCCTTTTTTGCCCTCAGGTTTTTATGTGCCTAAGCAATGGCAGGTCCACATAATGATAGACTATATAATCACAGAAAAGTAGTATTCACTTGACTTTAGAATTATCACGTATCTGCCAATAATCAGCCTCTGGCTTTACCAGCAATAGAAAATTTATAGAAGAGAAACAGAATTGCTTTGCTGTTAATGACGCTTAAATAAGAACAGGAGTGAACGAGAGTATTACCTCCAAATCACCGGAGCTGCTTTCCCCCTTATAAGCAGTTCCTAAAGTGAATGAAAGCAGCTCTCCTTATGTGTCTGCCTACTTTATTCTTCGGTAAGTTTAGCAGTTCATCTAGCTATCCTTTATTTGAAATGATTTCCAGATGCCTCCTCATATAAATTGCTGACTTCTGGATATTTCCTGGTTCTGGAATGGGTAGATTTCTGATGTGGTTTAGTATATATATGTAAACCCCGTGAGCTTCTGGCATCTAATTTCTCTGATCCTGGTTACATTGATATTTAAAGTAGGGTTTGACATACTCTGTCACCTACTGTTGATAAATAACGTTTATATTCTTCTTAGTTCATTTTATTGACGTGTTAGCTTTAAAGACATTTTCTTTGACGGAAAATGAAGTAACAAAATAATAGTGAAATAGTTATGCAGTGTCTCTAATTTGTTGATATTTTGCATGTACTTGAAACTTGTATGGTATACCTCTTCTTTTTCCTTCTCTGAACAATGGCTAGAAAAAAAGTCCTACTTTTTTCTGTCATTTACTGTGAGGCATCACTGATTCTGGGTGTATTCATGTATGCTGCTACCTGTATGTTTTCAAACAATAAGAATTTATTGAAACATGTAAGACATTATACTTTCTCTTCTCCAGTATTGGATCATAGACTGCACTTAGTTTTTTGTAATGAAGTACAGACAAAGCCATAACATCTGTCGAACTACATATTACCCTATAATATTGTCTGATACAAAACAGTCTGGAAATATTCTTACAGAGAAATTGCAAATGTATTAATTTAACTTACCTTGCAATCTCTCTTAATGGAGCCTTACCACCAGTGTAAGAAATAACGTCTGGGTGTGAATAAGTACACAGTATAAGGTAAACTTTGGTGAAGTAGTCAATTCTTTTGTCATTTGTTCCCCCTTCACACCCATAGTGTAGCACTTGACCTAGAATCTTTCTTTCTTCATAAAGTCAGTCATTCATTTGGAATTCTGCATTGTTGTACGTAGAAAAAGGATATTTTACCTTTTGTAATATTTTTGTTATATTGGGAATTATATTTCTTTGTAATTTTAAAAAGTGGTTTACCATATTCATTTTTTTCTGCAACCTTTCTTTTCAGCCATTTCCTGCTTATCCAAGATCACCATTTCAGGTCACTGCTGGATATCAGTTGCCTGTATATAATTATCAGGTAATGTAAGAAGGAGTAAAATGATTTACTTTCAGGTATTACTGAGGCATTCAACTTGTTTATACAAATTTCCTGAATAGTTGGTCATTTTAAATTAGTGAAGTGTACCTAAAATTTAAGGAAACACGTAGAAGTAGTGTAGAATGAAGACCTCTGTCTTATTTAGAAGTAATGAAGTAGTATTTTGAGAGGAATATACTTGGCAATAACTTTTCTGTAGAAGAGATTTCTGAGATGTGGTGTTCTCTTCTTTATTTCTGGATGCAGTTTTCATCTTTACTGTGAAATAGCTGAATGAAACATCCAAACTGACTTTCATGAATTTTCTTAGGGAGATAGAGTGAAATAAATTTATGCTGCACTTTTCAGAGCACAGAATCCCAATTACATTTTCATTTTAGCTGGCTGTTTGAAGATAGTAATGCTCTGGATCTCTTTTCATAGATACAAGTATATCTATGACCCATAATTACATCTATGGTAAGAAACTGAAAGAGGTAGTATCTTTGAGGTTTCCACCTTGCCAACTCCCGAAAATTTGGAGAAAGGTGAAGTTTCCAATATAAAAGTAACAAGAATGTCATGGACTAGAAACATAAAGTACTTAAGTTTTCCTTTCTGTTACTTTTATTATAATGAAAAAGGAGACAGCCGGATAAGTACTTCAATGTTGTATTTCTCATGTGTTTTTGAAAATGTGTAGGAATACATATAATAGTTTCGGTGTCCTTTTTTTTTCTTTCTTTTTCTTTCTTTTTTTTTTTTAAGATGCCACCATAAGGTCCTGTTGGGGAGCAAAGGATTATGTTGTCCTTGACGTTAAGTGAATTAGCCAAACATAGATTTCCTGTTCATTCTTGATTTTTTTCCATGTCATATATGCCTATAAATATTTTTAAGTGATTCTTTATATTAATTTTTTTGTTGTTGTTACTTTCTTGTTAACCCGATTATAAACTCCCATGGGAGCAAGAGTGCCTTTTTTGCCCTCAGGTTTTTATGTGGTTAAGCAATGGCAGGTCCATATAATGACAGACTATATAATCAAAGAAAGGTAGTGTTCATGTGACTTTACAATTAGCATGTATCTGCATAGAATCTGCCTCTGGCTTTACCAGCAATAGAATATTTATAGAAGAGAAACAGAAATGCTTTGCTGTTAATGACGCTTAAATGAGAATAGGAGTAAACGAGAGTATTACCGCCAAATCACCGGAGCTGCTTTCCCCCTTATAACCAGTTCCTAAAGTGAATGAAAGCAGCTCCCCTTATGTGTCTGCCTACTTTATTCTTTGGTAAGTTTAGCAGTTCATCTAGCTATTCTTTATTTGAAATGATTTCCGGATGCCTCCTCATATAAATTGCTGACTTCTGGAAATATTCTTCTTCTGGAATGGGTAGATTTCTGATGTGGTTTAGTATATATATAAACCCCGTGAGCTTCTGGCGTCTAATTTCTCTGATTCTGGTTACACTGATATTTAAAGTAGGGTTTGACATACTCCATCACTTAATGTTGATAACTAACCTTTATATTCTTCTTAGTTCGTTTTATTTATGTGTTAGCTTAAAAGACATTTTCTTTGATGGAAAATGAAGTAACAAAATAATAGTGAAATAGTTCTGCGGTTGTCTCTAATTTCGTGATATTTTCCATGTACTTGAAACATGTATGGTATACCTCTTCTTTTTCCTTCTCTGAACAATGGCTAGAAAAAAAGCCTTACTTGTTTCTGTCATTTACTGTGAGCGATTACTGAATCTGGGTGTATTCATGTATGCTGCTACCTGTATGTTTTCAGATAATAAAAATTTTTTGAAACATATAAGACATTATACTTTCTCTTGTCCAGTATTGGATTATAGACTGCACTTAGTTTTTCGTAGTGAAGTACAGACAAAGCCATAACATCTGTCAGACTATATATTGTCCTATAATATTGTCTGATACAAAACAGTCTAGAAATATTCTGACAGGGAAATAGCAAATGTATTAATTTAACTTACCTTGCAATCTCTCTTAATGGAGCCTTACCACCAGTGTAAGAAATAACTTCTGGGTGTGAATAAGTACACAGTATAAGGTAAACTTTGGTGAAATAGTCAATTCTTTTGTCATTAGTTCCCCCTTCACTCCCAAAGTGTAGCACTTGTCATAGAATCTTTCTTTCTTCATAAAGTCAGTCATTCATTTAGAATTCTGCATTATTGTATGTAGAAAAACAATATTTTACCTATTTTTGTTATATTCAGAATTATATTTCTTTCTAATTTTAAAAAAATGGTTTACCGTATTCATTTTTTTCTGGAACCTTTCTTTTCAGGCATTTCCTGCTTATCCAAATTCACCATTTCAAGTCGCCACTGGATATCAGTTCCCTGTATACAATTATCAGGTAATGTCAGAGGGAGTAAAATGATTTGCTTTTAGGTATTATTGAGGCCTTTAACTTGTTCATACAAATTTCCTGAATAGTTGCTCATTTTAAACTAGTGAATTGTACCTAAAATTTAAGGAAACACTTAGTGTAGAATGAAGACCTCTGTGTTATTTAGAATAATGAGGTAGTATTTTGACAGGAATATACTTGGCAATAACTTTTCTGTAGAACAGATTTCTGAGATTTGGTGTTCTCTTCTTCATTTCTGGATGTAGTTTTCATCTTTACTGTCAAATAGCTAAATGAAACGTCCAAAGTGTCTTTCATGAATTTTCTTAGGGAGATAGACTGAAATAAAATTATGCTGCACTTTTCAGAGCACAGAATCCCAATTACATTTTCATTTTAGCTGGCTGTTTGACGATAGTAATGCTCTGGATCTCTTTTCATAGATACAAGTGTATCTGTGACCCATAATTATATCTACGGTAATAAACTGAAAGAGCTAGTATCTTTGAGGTTTCCACATTGCGAAATCCCGAAAATGTGGAGAGAGCTGAAGTTTCCAATGTAAAAGTAACAAGAATGTCATGGACTAGAAACATAAAGTATTTGAGTTTTCCTTTCTGTTACTTTTATTACAATAAAAAAGGAGACAGCAGGATAAGTACTTTAATATTGTGTTTCTCATGTGTTTTTGAAAATGTGTAGTAATACTTCAATAGTTTTGGTTTCCTTTTATTTATTGATTGATTTTTTAAGATTCCACCTTAGGGGCCTGTTGGGTAGCAAAGGGATTATGTTGTCCTTGACGTTAAGGGAATTAGCCAAACATAGACTTCCTGTTCATTCTTGATTTTTTTCCATGTCATATATGCCTACAAATATTTTTAAGTGACTTTTTATGTTAATGTTTTTTTTGTTGTTGTTTCCTTCTTGTTAACCCGATTATAAACTCCCATGGCAGCAACAGTGCCTTTTTTGTCCTCAGGTTTTTATGTGCTTAAGCAATGGCAGGTCTACATAATGATAGACTATATAATCAAAGAAAGGGAGTATTCACGTGACTTTAGAATTAGCATGTGTCTGCACAGAATATGCCTCTGGCTTTACCAGCAGTAGAAAATTTATAGAAGAGAAACAGAAATGCTTTGCTGTTAATGACGCCTAAATAAGAATAGGAGTAAAGGAGAGTATTACCTCCAAATCACCGGAGCTGCTTTCCCCCTTATAAGCAGTTCCTAAAGTGAATGAAAGCAGCTCTCCTTATGTGTCTGCCTACTTTATTCTTCGGTAAGTTTAGCAGTTCATCTAGCTATCCTTTATTTGAAATGATTTCCAGATGCCTCCTCATATAAATTGCTGACTTCTGGATATTTCCTGGTTCTGGAATGGGTAGATTTCTGATGTGGTTTAGTATATATATGTAAACCCCGTGAGCTTCTGGCATCTAATTTCTCTGATCCTGGTTACATTGATATTTAAAGTAGGGTTTGACATACTCTGTCACCTACTGTTGATAAATAACGTTTATATTCTTCTTAGTTCATTTTATTGACGTGTTAGCTTTAAAGACATTTTCTTTGACGGAAAATGAAGTAACAAAATAATAGTGAAATAGTTCTGCAGTGTCTCTAATTTGTTGATATTTTCCATGTACTTGAAACTTGTATGGTATACCTCTTCTTTTTCCTTCTCTGAACAATGGCTAGAAAAAAAGTCCTACTTTTTTCTGTCATTTACTGTGAGGCATCACTGATTCTGGGTGTATTCATGTATGCTGCTACCTGTATGTTTTCAAACAATAAGAATTTATTGAAACATGTAAGACATTATACTTTCTCTTCTCCAGTATTGGATCATAGACTGCACTTAGTTTTTCGTAATGAAGTACAGACAAAGCCATAACATCTGTCGAACTACATATTACCCTATAATATTGTCTGATACAAAACAGTCTAGAAATATTCTTACAGAGAAATTGCAAATGTATTAATTTAACTTACCTTGCAATCTCTCTTAATGGAGCCTTACCACCAGTGTAAGAAATAACGTCTGGGTGTGAATAAGTACACAGTATAAGGTAAACTTTGGTGAAGTAGTCAATTTTGTCATTTGTTCCCCCTTCACACCCATAGTGTAGCACTTGACCTAGAATCTTTCTTTCTTCATAAAGTCAGTCATTCATTTGGAATTCTGCATTGTTGTACGTAGAAAAAGGATATTTTACCTTTTGTAATATTTTTGTTATATTGGGAATTATGTTTCTTTGTAATTTTAAAAAGTGGTTTACCATATTCATTTTTTTCTGCAACCTTTCTTTTCAGCCATTTCCTGCTTATCCAAGTTCACCATTTCAGGTCACTGCTGGATATCAGTTGCCTGTATATAATTATCAGGTAATGTAAGAAGGAGTAAAATGATTTACTTTCAGGTATTATTGAGGCATTCAACTTGTTTATACAAATTTCCTGAATAGCTGGTCATTTTAAATTAGTGAAGTGTACCTAAAATTTAAGGAAACACGTAGAAGTAGTGTAGAATGAAGACCTCTGTCTTATTTAGAAGTAATGAAGTAGTATTTTGAGAGGAATATACTTGGCAATAACTTTTCTGTAGAAGAGATTTCTGAGATGTGGTGTTCTCTTCTTTATTTCTGGATGCAGTTTTCATCTTTACTGTGAAATAGCTGAATGAAACATCCAAACTGACTTTCATGAATTTTCTTAGGGAGATAGAGTGAAATAAATTTATGCTGCACTTTTCAGAGCACAGAATCCCAATTACATTTTCATTTTAGCTGGCTGTTTGAAGATAGTAATGCTCTGGATCTCTTTTCATAGATACAAGTATATCTATGACCCATAATTACATCTATGGTAAGAAACTGAAAGAGGTAGTATCTTTGAGGTTTCCACGTTGCCAACTCCCGAAAATTTGGAGAAAGGTGAAGTTTCCAATATAAAAGTAACAAGAATGTCATGGACTAGAAACATAAAGTACTTAAGTTTTCCTTTCTGTTACTTTTATTATAATGAAAAAGGAGACAGCCGGATAAGTACTTCAATGTTGTATTTCTCATGTGTTTTTGAAAATGTGTAGGAATACATATAATAGTTTCGGTGTCCTTTTTTTTTCTTTCTTTTTCTTTCTTTTTTTTTTTTAAGATGCCACCATAAGGTCCTGTTGGGGAGCAAAGGATTATGTTGTCCTTGACGTTAAGTGAATTAGCCAAACATAGATTTCCTGTTCATTCTTGATTTTTTTCCATGTCATATATGCCTATAAATATTTTTAAGTGATTCTTTATATTAATTTTTTTGTTGTTGTTACTTTCTTGTTAACCCGATTATAAACTCCCATGGGAGCAAGAGTGCCTTTTTTGCCCTCAGGTTTTTATGTGGTTAAGCAATGGCAGGTCCATATAATGACAGACTATATAATCAAAGAAAGGTAGTGTTCATGTGACTTTACAATTAGCATGTATCTGCATAGAATCTGCCTCTGGCTTTACCAGCAATAGAATATTTATAGAAGAGAAACAGAAATGCTTTGCTGTTAATGACGCTTAAATGAGAATAGGAGTAAACGAGAGTATTACCGCCAAATCACCGGAGCTGCTTTCCCCCTTATAACCAGTTCCTAAAGTGAATGAAAGCAGCTCCCCTTATGTGTCTGCCTACTTTATTCTTTGGTAAGTTTAGCAGTTCATCTAGCTATTCTTTATTTGAAATGATTTCCGGATGCCTCCTCATATAAATTGCTGACTTCTGGAAATATTCTTCTTCTGGAATGGGTAGATTTCTGATGTGGTTTAGTATATATATAAACCCCGTGAGCTTCTGGCGTCTAATTTCTCTGATTCTGGTTACACTGATATTTAAAGTAGGGTTTGACATACTCCATCACTTAATGTTGATAACTAACCTTTATATTCTTCTTAGTTCGTTTTATTTATGTGTTAGCTTAAAAGACATTTTCTTTGATGGAAAATGAAGTAACAAAATAATAGTGAAATAGTTCTGCGGTTGTCTCTAATTTCGTGATATTTTCCATGTACTTGAAACATGTATGGTATACCTCTTCTTTTTCCTTCTCTGAACAATGGCTAGAAAAAAAGCCTTACTTGTTTCTGTCATTTACTGTGAGCGATTACTGAATCTGGGTGTATTCATGTATGCTGCTACCTGTATGTTTTCAGATAATAAAAATTTTTTGAAACATATAAGACATTATACTTTCTCTTGTCCAGTATTGGATTATAGACTGCACTTAGTTTTTCGTAATGAAGTACAGACAAAGCCATAACATCTGTCAAACTATATATTGTCCTATAATATTGTCTGATACAAAACAGTCTAGAAATATTCTGACAGGGAAATAGCAAATGTATTAATTTAACTTACCTTGCAATCTCTCTTAATGGAGCCTTACCACCAGTGTAAGAAATAACTTCTGGGTGTGAATAAGTACACAGTATAAGGTAAACTTTGGTGAAATAGTCAATTCTTTTGTCATTAGTTCCCCCTTCACTCCCAAAGTGTAGCACTTGTCATAGAATCTTTCTTTCTTCATAAAGTCAGTCATTCATTTAGAATTCTGCATTATTGTATGTAGAAAAACAATATTTTACCTATTTTTGTTATATTCAGAATTATATTTCTTTCTAATTTTAAAAAAATGGTTTACCGTATTCATTTTTTTCTGGAACCTTTCTTTTCAGGCATTTCCTGCTTATCCAAATTCACCATTTCAAGTCGCCACTGGATATCAGTTCCCTGTATACAATTATCAGGTAATGTCAGAGGGAGTAAAATGATTTGCTTTTAGGTATTATTGAGGCCTTTAACTTGTTCATACAAATTTCCTGAATAGTTGCTCATTTTAAACTAGTGAATTGTACCTAAAATTTAAGGAAACACTTAGTGTAGAATGAAGACCTCTGTGTTATTTAGAATAATGAGGTAGTATTTTGACAGGAATATACTTGGCAATAACTTTTCTGTAGAACAGATTTCTGAGATTTGGTGTTCTCTTCTTCATTTCTGGATGTAGTTTTCATCTTTACTGTCAAATAGCTAAATGAAACGTCCAAAGTGTCTTTCATGAATTTTCTTAGGGAGATAGACTGAAATAAAATTATGCTGCACTTTTCAGAGCACAGAATCCCAATTACATTTTCATTTTAGCTGGCTGTTTGACGATAGTAATGCTCTGGATCTCTTTTCATAGATACAAGTGTATCTGTGACCCATAATTATATCTACGGTAATAAACTGAAAGAGCTAGTATCTTTGAGGTTTCCACATTGCGAAATCCCGAAAATGTGGAGAAAGCTGAAGTTTCCAATGTAAAAGTAACAAGAATGTCATGGACTAGAAACATAAAGTATTTGAGTTTTCCTTTCTGTTACTTTTATTACAATAAAAAAGGAGACAGCAGGATAAGTACTTTAATATTGTGTTTCTCATGTGTTTTTGAAAATGTGTAGTAATACTTCAATAGTTTTGGTTTCCTTTTATTTATTGATTGATTTTTTAAGATTCCACCTTAGGGGCCTGTTGGGTAGCAAAGGGATTATGTTGTCCTTGACGTTAAGGGAATTAGCCAAACATAGACTTCCTGTTCATTCTTGATTTTTTTCCATGTCATATATGCCTACAAATATTTTTAAGTGACTTTTTATGTTAATGTTTTTTTTGTTGTTGTTTCCTTCTTGTTAACCCGATTATAAACTCCCATGGCAGCAACAGTGCCTTTTTTGTCCTCAGGTTTTTATGTGCTTAAGCAATGGCAGGTCTACATAATGATAGACTATATAATCAAAGAAAGGGAGTATTCACGTGACTTTAGAATTAGCATGTGTCTGCACAGAATATGCCTCTGGCTTTACCAGCAGTAGAAAATTTATAGAAGAGAAACAGAAATGCTTTGCTGTTAATGACGCCTAAATAAGAATAGGAGTAAAGGAGAGTATTACCTCCAACTCACCGGAGCTGCTTTCCCCCTTATAAGCAGTTCCTAAAGTGAATGAAAGCAGCTCTCCTTATGTGTCTGCCTACTTTATTCTTCGGTAAGTTTAGCAGTTTATCTAGCTATCCTTTATTTGAAATGATTGCCACATGCCTCCTCATATAAATGGCTGACTTCTGGATATATTCTGGTTCTGGAATGGGCAGATTTCTGACGTGGTTTAGTATATATATATAAACCCGGTGAGTTTCTGGCATGTAATTTCTCTGATCGTGGTTACATTGATATTTAAAGTAGGGTTTGACATAGTGTGTCACTTACTGTTGATAAATATCGTTTATTTTCTTCTTAGTTCATTTCATTGATGTGTTAGCTTAAAAGACATTTTCTTTGACAGAAAATGAAGTAATGAAATAATAGTGAAATCGTTCTGCTGTGTCTCTAATTTGTTGATATTTTCCATGTACTTGAAACATGTATGGTATACCTCTTCTTTTTCCTTCTCTGAACCATGGCTAGAAAAAAAGCCCTACTTGTTTCTCTCGTTTACTGTGAGGCATTAGTGATTCTGGGTGTATTCATGTATGCTGCTACCTGTATGTTTTCAAACAATAAGAATTTGTTGAAACATGTCAGACATTATACTTTTTATTCTCCAGTATTGGAATATAGACTGCAATTAGTTTTTTGGAATGAAATACAGACAAAGCCATAACATCTATAGAACTACATATTACCCTACAATATTGTCTGATACAAAACAGTCTGGAAATATTCTTACAGCGAAATTGCAAATGTATTGATTTACCTTACATTGCAATCTGTCTTAGTGGAACCTTATCACCAGTGTAAGACATAATTTCTGGGTGTGAATAAGTACACAGTATAAGGTAAATTTTGGTGAAGTAGTCAGTTCTTTGTCATTTGTTCCCCCTTCACACCCAAAGTGTAGCACTTGACATAGAATCTTTCTTTCCTCATAAAGTCATTCATTTGGAATTCTGCATTGTTGTATGTAGAAAAAGGATATTTTCCGTTTTGTAATATTTTTCTTATATTGGGAATTATATTTCTTTCTAATTTTAAAATGTGGTTTACCATATTCATTTTTTCTGCAACCTTTTCAGGCATTTCCTGCTTATCCAAATTCACCAGTTCAGGTCACCACTGGATATCAGTTGCCTGTATACAATTATCAGGTAATGTAAGAGGTAGTAAAATGGTTTGCTTTCAGGTATTATTGAGGCCTTTAACTTGTTTATAGAAATTTCCTGAATAGTTGGTCATTTTTAACTAGTGAAGTGTCCCTAAAATTTAAGGAAAGACTTAGTGTAGAATGAAGACCTCTGTCTTATTTAGAAGTAATGAAGTAATATTTTTACAGGAATATCCTTGGCAATAACATTTGTGTAGAAGAGATTTCTGAGATTTGGTGTCCCCTTCTTCATTTGTGGATATAGTTTTCATCTTTGCTGTCAAATAGCTGAATGAAACATCCAAACTGACTTTCATGAATTTTTTTAGGGAGATAGAGTGAAATAAAATTATGATCCACTTTTCAGAGCACAGAATTCCAATTATATTTTCATTTTAGCTGGCTGTTTGACGGTAGTCATTCTCAGGATCTCTTCTCATAGATACAAGTATATCTATGACCCATAACTATATCTATGGTAATAAACTGAAAGAGCTAGTATTTTTGAGGTTTCCACATTGCCAACTCCCAAAAATTTGGAGAAAGGTGAAGATTCAAATTTAAAGTAACAAGAATGTCATGGACAAGAAACATAAAGTACTTAAGTTTTCCTTTCTGTTACTTTTATTATAATAAAAAAGGAGACAGCGGAATAAGTACTTCAATACTGTGTTTCTCATGTGTGTTTGAAAATATGTAGGAATAGTTTAATAGTTTTGGTTTCCTTTTTTTTTTTTTTTTTTTAAAGATGCCACCTTAGGGGCCTGTTGGGGAGCAAAGGGATTATGTTGTCCTTGACGTTAAGGGAATTAGCCAAACATAGACTTCCTGTTCATTCTTGATTTTTTTTCCATGTCATATATGCCTATAAATATTTTTAAGTGACTCTCTATATTAATGTTTGTTGTTGTTGTTGTTACTTTCTTGTTAACCCGAGTATAAACTCCCATGGCAGCAACAGTGCCTTTTTTGCCCTCAGGGTTTTATGTGCTTAAGCAATGGCAGCTCCACATAATGATAGACTATATAATCAAAGAAAGGTAATATTCACGTGACTTTAGAATTAGCATGTAGCTGCATAGAATCTGCCTCTGGCTTTACCAGCAGTAGTAAATTTATAGAAGAGAAACAGAAATGCTTTGCTGTTAATTATGCTTAAATAAGAATAGAAGTAAAGGAGAGTATTACCTGCAAATCACCAGAGCAGCTTTCCCCCGTATAAGCAGTTCCTAAAGTGAATGAAAGCAGCTCTCCTTATGTGTCTGCCTACTTTATTCTTCCGTAAGTTTAGCAATTCATCTAGCTATCCTTTATTTGAAATGATTTCCAGATGCCTCCTCATATAAATTGCTGACTTCTGGATATATTCTGGTTCTGGAATGGGTAGATTTCTGATGTGATTTAGTATATATATATAAACCGCTTGAGTTTCTGGCATCTAATTTCTCTGATCCTGGTGACATTGATATTTAAAGTAGGGTTTGACATACTCTATCACTTACTGTTGATAAATAACGTTTATATTCTTCTTAGTTCATTTCATTGATGTGTTAGCTTAAAAGACATTTTCTTTGATGGAAAATGTAGTAACAAAATAATAGTGAAATAGTTCTGCGGTTGTCTCTAATTTCGTGATATTTTCCATGTACTTGAAACATGTATGGTATACCTCTTCTTTTTCCTTCTCTGAACAATGGCTAGAAAAAAAGCCTTACTTGTTTCTGTCATTTACTGTGAGCGATTACTGAATCTGGGTGTATTCATGTATGCTGCTACCTGTATGTTTTCAGATAATAAAAATTTTTTGAAACATATAAGACATTATACTTTCTCTTGTCCAGTATTGGATTATAGACTGCACTTAGTTTTTCGTAATGAAGTACAGACAAAGCCATAACATCTGTCAAACTATATATTGTCCTATAATATTGTCTGATACAAAACAGTCTAGAAATATTCTGACAGGGAAATAGCAAATGTATTAATTTAACTTACCTTGCAATCTCTCTTAATGGAGCCTTACCACCAGTGTAAGAAATAACTTCTGGGTGTGAATAAGTACACAGTATAAGGTAAACTTTGGTGAAATAGTCAATTCTTTTGTCATTAGTTCCCCCTTCACTCCCAAAGTGTAGCACTTGTCATAGAATCTTTCTTTCTTCATAAAGTCAGTCATTCATTTAGAATTCTGCATTATTGTATGTAGAAAAACAATATTTTACCTATTTTTGTTATATTCAGAATTATATTTCTTTCTAATTTTAAAAAAATGGTTTACCGTATTCATTTTTTTCTGGAACCTTTCTTTTCAGGCATTTCCTGCTTATCCAAATTCACCATTTCAAGTCGCCACTGGATATCAGTTCCCTGTATACAATTATCAGGTAATGTCAGAGGGAGTAAAATGATTTGCTTTTAGGTATTATTGAGGCCTTTAACTTGTTCATACAAATTTCCTGAATAGTTGCTCATTTTAAACTAGTGAATTGTACCTAAAATTTAAGGAAACACTTAGTGTAGAATGAAGACCTCTGTGTTATTTAGAATAATGAGGTAGTATTTTGACAGGAATATACTTGGCAATAACTTTTCTGTAGAACAGATTTCTGAGATTTGGTGTTCTCTTCTTCATTTCTGGATGTAGTTTTCATCTTTACTGTCAAATAGCTAAATGAAACGTCCAAAGTGTCTTTCATGAATTTTCTTAGGGAGATAGACTGAAATAAAATTATGCTGCACTTTTCAGAGCACAGAATCCCAATTACATTTTCATTTTAGCTGGCTGTTTGACGATAGTAATGCTCTGGATCTCTTTTCATAGATACAAGTGTATCTGTGACCCATAATTATATCTACGGTAATAAACTGAAAGAGCTAGTATCTTTGAGGTTTCCACATTGCGAAATCCCGAAAATGTGGAGAAAGCTGAAGTTTCCAATGTAAAAGTAACAAGAATGTCATGGACTAGAAACATAAAGTATTTGAGTTTTCCTTTCTGTTACTTTTATTACAATAAAAAAGGAGACAGCAGGATAAGTACTTTAATATTGTGTTTCTCATGTGTTTTTGAAAATGTGTAGTAATACTTCAATAGTTTTGGTTTCCTTTTATTTATTGATTGATTTTTTAAGATTCCACCTTAGGGGCCTGTTGGGTAGCAAAGGGATTATGTTGTCCTTGACGTTAAGGGAATTAGCCAAACATAGACTTCCTGTTCATTCTTGATTTTTTTCCATGTCATATATGCCTACAAATATTTTTAAGTGACTTTTTATGTTAATGTTTTTTTTGTTGTTGTTTCCTTCTTGTTAACCCGATTATAAACTCCCATGGCAGCAACAGTGCCTTTTTTGTCCTCAGGTTTTTATGTGCTTAAGCAATGGCAGGTCTACATAATGATAGACTATATAATCAAAGAAAGGGAGTATTCACGTGACTTTAGAATTAGCATGTGTCTGCACAGAATATGCCTCTGGCTTTACCAGCAGTAGAAAATTTATAGAAGAGAAACAGAAATGCTTTGCTGTTAATGACGCCTAAATAAGAATAGGAGTAAAGGAGAGTATTACCTCCAACTCACCGGAGCTGCTTTCCCCCTTATAAGCAGTTCCTAAAGTGAATGAAAGCAGCTCTCCTTATGTGTCTGCCTACTTTATTCTTCGGTAAGTTTAGCAGTTTATCTAGCTATCCTTTATTTGAAATGATTGCCACATGCCTCCTCATATAAATGGCTGACTTCTGGATATATTCTGGTTCTGGAATGGGCAGATTTCTGACGTGGTTTAGTATATATATATAAACCCGGTGAGTTTCTGGCATGTAATTTCTCTGATCGTGGTTACATTGATATTTAAAGTAGGGTTTGACATAGTGTGTCACTTACTGTTGATAAATATCGTTTATTTTCTTCTTAGTTCATTTCATTGATGTGTTAGCTTAAAAGACATTTTCTTTGACAGAAAATGAAGTAATGAAATAATAGTGAAATCGTTCTGCTGTGTCTCTAATTTGTTGATATTTTCCATGTACTTGAAACATGTATGGTATACCTCTTCTTTTTCCTTCTCTGAACCATGGCTAGAAAAAAAGCCCTACTTGTTTCTCTCGTTTACTGTGAGGCATTAGTGATTCTGGGTGTATTCATGTATGCTGCTACCTGTATGTTTTCAAACAATAAGAATTTGTTGAAACATGTCAGACATTATACTTTTTATTCTCCAGTATTGGAATATAGACTGCAATTAGTTTTTTGGAATGAAATACAGACAAAGCCATAACATCTATAGAACTACATATTACCCTACAATATTGTCTGATACAAAACAGTCTGGAAATATTCTTACAGCGAAATTGCAAATGTATTGATTTACCTTACATTGCAATCTGTCTTAGTGGAACCTTATCACCAGTGTAAGACATAATTTCTGGGTGTGAATAAGTACACAGTATAAGGTAAATTTTGGTGAAGTAGTCAGTTCTTTGTCATTTGTTCCCCCTTCACACCCAAAGTGTAGCACTTGACATAGAATCTTTCTTTCCTCATAAAGTCATTCATTTGGAATTCTGCATTGTTGTATGTAGAAAAAGGATATTTTCCGTTTTGTAATATTTTTCTTATATTGGGAATTATATTTCTTTCTAATTTTAAAATGTGGTTTACCATATTCATTTTTTCTGCAACCTTTTCAGGCATTTCCTGCTTATCCAAATTCACCAGTTCAGGTCACCACTGGATATCAGTTGCCTGTATACAATTATCAGGTAATGTAAGAGGTAGTAAAATGGTTTGCTTTCAGGTATTATTGAGGCCTTTAACTTGTTTATAGAAATTTCCTGAATAGTTGGTCATTTTTAACTAGTGAAGTGTCCCTAAAATTTAAGGAAAGACTTAGTGTAGAATGAAGACCTCTGTCTTATTTAGAAGTAATGAAGTAATATTTTTACAGGAATATCCTTGGCAATAACATTTGTGTAGAAGAGATTTCTGAGATTTGGTGTCCCCTTCTTCATTTGTGGATATAGTTTTCATCTTTGCTGTCAAATAGCTGAATGAAACATCCAAACTGACTTTCATGAATTTTTTTAGGGAGATAGAGTGAAATAAAATTATGATCCACTTTTCAGAGCACAGAATTCCAATTATATTTTCATTTTAGCTGGCTGTTTGACGGTAGTCATTCTCAGGATCTCTTCTCATAGATACAAGTATATCTATGACCCATAACTATATCTATGGTAATAAACTGAAAGAGCTAGTATTTTTGAGGTTTCCACATTGCCAACTCCCAAAAATTTGGAGAAAGGTGAAGATTCAAATTTAAAGTAACAAGAATGTCATGGACAAGAAACATAAAGTACTTAAGTTTTCCTTTCTGTTACTTTTATTATAATAAAAAAGGAGACAGCGGAATAAGTACTTCAATACTGTGTTTCTCATGTGTGTTTGAAAATATGTAGGAATAGTTTAATAGTTTTGGTTTCCTTTTTTTTTTTTTTTTTTTAAAGATGCCACCTTAGGGGCCTGTTGGGGAGCAAAGGGATTATGTTGTCCTTGACGTTAAGGGAATTAGCCAAACATAGACTTCCTGTTCATTCTTGATTTTTTTTCCATGTCATATATGCCTATAAATATTTTTAAGTGACTCTCTATATTAATGTTTGTTGTTGTTGTTGTTACTTTCTTGTTAACCCGAGTATAAACTCCCATGGCAGCAACAGTGCCTTTTTTGCCCTCAGGGTTTTATGTGCTTAAGCAATGGCAGCTCCACATAATGATAGACTATATAATCAAAGAAAGGTAATATTCACGTGACTTTAGAATTAGCATGTAGCTGCATAGAATCTGCCTCTGGCTTTACCAGCAGTAGTAAATTTATAGAAGAGAAACAGAAATGCTTTGCTGTTAATTATGCTTAAATAAGAATAGAAGTAAAGGAGAGTATTACCTGCAAATCACCAGAGCAGCTTTCCCCCGTATAAGCAGTTCCTAAAGTGAATGAAAGCAGCTCTCCTTATGTGTCTGCCTACTTTATTCTTCCGTAAGTTTAGCAATTCATCTAGCTATCCTTTATTTGAAATGATTTCCAGATGCCTCCTCATATAAATTGCTGACTTCTGGATATATTCTGGTTCTGGAATGGGTAGATTTCTGATGTGATTTAGTATATATATATAAACCGCTTGAGTTTCTGGCATCTAATTTCTCTGATCCTGGTGACATTGATATTTAAAGTAGGGTTTGACATACTCTATCACTTACTGTTGATAAATAACGTTTATATTCTTCTTAGTTCATTTCATTGATGTGTTAGCTTAAAAGACATTTTCTTTGATGGAAAATGTAGTAACAAAATAATAGTGAAATAGTTCTGCAGTGTTTCTAATTTGTTGATATTTTCCATGTACTTGAAACATGTATGGTATACCTCTTCTTTTTCCTTCTCTGAACCATGGCTAGAAAAAAAGCCCTACTTGTTTCTCTCGTTTACTGTGAGGCATTAGTGATTCTGGGTGTATTCATGTATGCTGCTACCTGTATGTTTTCAAACAATAAGAATTTGTTGAAACATGTCAGACATTATACTTTTTATTCTCCAGTATTGGAATATAGACTGCAATTAGTTTTTTGGAATGAAATACAGACAAAGCCATAACATCTATAGAACTACATATTACCCTACAATATTGTCTGATACAAAACAGTCTGGAAATATTCTTACAGCGAAATTGCAAATGTATTGATTTACCTTACATTGCAATCTGTCTTAGTGGAACCTTATCACCAGTGTAAGACATAATTTCTGGGTGTGAATAAGTACACAGTATAAGGTAAACTTTGGTGAAGTAGTCAATTCTTTTTTTTTAAAAAATTATGCTTTAAGTTTTAGGGTCCATGTGCACATTGTGCAGGTTAGTTCCATATGTATACATGTGCCATGCTGGTGCTCTGCACCCTCTAACTCCTCATCTAGCATTAGGTATATCTCCCAGTGCTATCCCTCCCCCCTCCCCCCACCCCACAACAGTCCCCAGAGTGTGATATATCCCTTCCTGTGTCCATGTGATCTCATTGTTCAATTCCCACCTATGAGTGAGAATATGCGGTGTTTGGTTTTTTGTTCTTGCGATAGTTTACTGAGAATGATGATTTCCAATTTCATCCATGTCCCTACAAAGGACATGAAGTCATCATTTTTTATGGCGGCATAGTATTCCATGGTGTATATGTGCCACATTTTCTTAATCCAGTCTATCATTGTTGGACATTTGGGTTGGTTCCAAGTCTTTGCTATTGTGAATAATGCCGCAATAAACATACGTGTGCATGTGTCTTTATAGCAGCATGATTTATAGTCCTTTGTGTA
Organism: Homo sapiens; assembly: GCF_000001405.40. Classification (NCBI taxonomy): domain Eukaryota; kingdom Metazoa; phylum Chordata; class Mammalia; order Primates; family Hominidae; genus Homo; species Homo sapiens. Next base: position 24,876,651 of record NC_000024.10, read on the forward strand.
TACACCCAGTAATGGGATGGCTGGGTCAAATGCTATTTCCAGTTCTAGATCCCTGAGGAATCGCCACACTGACTTCCACAATGGTTGAACTAGTTTACAGTCCCGCCAACAGTGTAAAAGTGTTCCTGTTTCTCCACATCTTCTCCAGCACCTGTTGTCTCCTGACTTTTAAATGATTGCCATTCTAACTGGTGTGAGATGGTATCTCACTGTGGTTTTGATTTGCATTTCTCTGATGGCCAGTGATGATGAGCATTTTTTCATGTGTTTTTTGGCTGCATAAATGTCTTCTTTTGAGAAGTGTCTGTTCATGTCCTTCACCCACTTTTTGATGAGGTTGTTTGTTTTTTCTTGTAAATTTGTTTTAGCTCATTGTAGATTCTGGATATTAGCCCTTTGTCAGATGAGTAGGTTGTGAAAATTTTCTCCCATTTTGTAGGTTGCCTGTTCACTCTGATGGTAGTTTCTTTTTCTGTGCAGAAGCTCTTTAGTTTAATTAGATCCCATTTGTCAATTTTGTCTTTTATTGCCATTGCTTTTGGTGTTTTAGACGTGAAGTCCTCGCCTATGCCTATGTCCTGAATGGTAATGCCTAGGTTTTCTTCTAGGGTTTTTATGGTTTTACGTCTAACGTTTAAGTCTTTAATCCATCTTGAATTGATTTTTGTATAAGGTGTAAGGAAGGGATCCAGTTTCAGCTTTCTACATATGGCTAGCCAGTTTTCCCAGCACCATTTATTAAATAGGGAATCCTTTCCCCATTGCTTGTTTTTCTCAGGTTTGTCAAAGATCAGATAGTTGTAGATATGCGGCGTTATTTCTGAGGGCTCTGTTCTGTTCCATTGATCTATATCTCTGTTTTGGTACCAGTACCATGCTGTTTTGGTTACTGTAGCCTTGTAGTATAGTTTGAAGTCAGGTAGTGTGATGCCTCCAGCTTTGTTCTTTTGGCTTAGGATTGACTTGGCAATGCGGGCTCTTTTTTGGTTCCATGTGAACTTTAAAGTAGTTTTTTCCAATTCTGTGAAGAAAGGCATTGGTAGCTTGATGGGGATGGCATTGAATCTGTAAATTACCTTGGGCAGTATGGCCATTTTCACGATATTGATTCTTCCTACTCATGAGCATGGAATGTTCTTCCATTTGTTTGTATCCTCTTTTATTTCCTTGAGCAGTGGTTTGTAGTTCTCCTTGAAGAGGTCCTTCACATCCCTTGTAAGTTGATTTCCTAGGCATTTTATTCCCTTTGAAGCAATTGTGAATGGGAGTTCACTCATGATTGGGCTCTCTGTTTGTCTGTTGTTGGTGTATAAGAAAGCTTGTGATTTTTGTACATTGATTTTGTATCCTGAGACTTTGCTGAAGTTGCTTATCAGCTTAAGGAGATTTTGGGCTGAGACAATGGGGTTTTCTAGATATATAATCATGTTGTCTGCAAACAGGGACAATTTGACTTCCTCCTTTCCTAATTGAATACCCTTTATTTCCTTCTCCTGCCTAATTGCCCTGGCCAGAACTTCCAACACTATGTTGAATAGGAGTGGTGAGAGAGGGCATCCCTCTCTTGTGCCAGTTTTCAAAGGGAATGCTTCCAGTTTTTGCCCATTCAGTATGATATTGGCTGTGGGTTTGTCATAGATAGCTCTTACTATTTTGAAATACGTCCCATCAATACCTAATTTATTGAGAGTTTTTAGCATGAAGGGTTGTTGAATTTTGTCAAGGGCTTTTTCTGCATCTATTGAGATAATCATGTGTTTTTTGTCTTTGGTTCTGTTTATATGCTGGATTACATTTATTGATTTGCGTATATTGAACCAGCCTTGCATCCCAGCGATGAAGCCCACTTGATCATGGTGGATAAGCTTTTTGATGTGCCGCTGGATTCGTTTTGCCAGTATTTTATTGAGGATTTTTGCATCAATGTTCATCAAGGATATTGGTCTAAAATTCTCTTTTTTGGTTGTGTCTCTGCCTGGCTTTGGTATCAGAATGATGCTGGCCTCATAAAATGAGTTAGGGAGGATTCTGTCTTTTTCTGTTGATTGGAATAGTTTCAGAAGGAATGGTACCAGTTCCTCCTTGTACCTCTGGTAGAATTCGGCTGTGAATCCATCTGGTCCTGGACTCTTTTTGGTTGGTGAGCTATTGATTATTGCCACAATTTCAGCTCCTGTTATTGGTCTATTCAGAGATTCAACTTCTTCCTGGTTTAGTCTTGGGAGAGTGTATGTGTCGAGGAGTTTATCCATTTCTTCTAGATTTTCTAGTTTATTTGCGTAGAGGTGTTTGTAGTATTCTCTGATGGTAGTTTGTATTTCTGTGTGATCAGTGGCGATATCCCCTTTATCATTTTTTATTGCGTCTATTGGATTCTTCTCTCTTTTTTTCTTTATTAGTCTTGCTAGCGGTCTGTCACTTTTGTTGATCCTTTCAAAAAACCAGCTCCTGGATTCATTAATTTTTTGAAGGGTTTTTTGTGTCTCTATTTCCTTCAGTTCTGCTCTGATCTTAGTTATTTCTTGCCTTCTGCTAGCTTTTGACTGTGTTTGCTCTTGCTTTTCTAGTTCTTTTAATTGTGATGTTACGGTGTCAATTTTGGATCTTTCCTGCTTTCTCTTGTGGGCATTTAGTGCTATAAATTTCCCTCTACACACTGCTTTGAATGCATCCCAGAGATTCCGGTATGTTGTGTCTTTGTTCTCGTTGGTTTCAAAGAACATCTTTATTTCTGCCTTCATTTTGTTATGTACCCAGTAGTCATTCAGGAGCAGGTTGTTCAGTTTCCATGTAGTTGAGTGGTTTTGAGTGAGATTCTTAATCCTGAGTTCTAGTTTGATTGCACTGTGGTCTGAGAGATAGTTTGTTATAATTTCTGTTCTTTTACATCTGCTGAGGAGAGCTTTACTTCCCAGTATGTGGTCAGTTTTGGAATAGGTGTGGTGTGGTGCTGAAAAAAAATGTATATTCTGTTGATTTGGGGTGGAGAGTTCTGTAGATGTCTATTAGGTCCACTTGGTGCAGAGCTGAGTTCAATTCCTGGGTATCCTTGTTGACTTTCTGTCTCGTTGATCTGTCTAATGTTGACAGTGGGGTGTTAAAGTCTCCCATTATTAATGTGTGGGAGTCTAAGTCTCTTTGTAGGTCACTCAGGACTTGCTTTATGAATCTTGGTGCTCCTGTATTGGGTGCATATATATTTAGGATAGTTAGCTCTTCTTGTTGAATTGATCCCTTTACCATTATGTAATGGCCTTCTTTGTCTCTTTTGATCTTTGTTGGTTTAAAGTCTGTTTTATCAGAGACTAGGATTGCAACCCCTGCCTTTTTTTGTTTTCCATTTGCTTGGTAGATCTTCCTGCATCCTTTTATTTTGAGCCTATGTGTGTCTCTGCACGTGAGATGGGTTTCCTGAATACAGCACACTGATGGGTCTTGACTCTTTATCCAGTTTGCCAGTCTGTGTCTTTTAATTGGAGCATTTAGTCCATTGACATTTAAAGTTAATATTGTTATGTATGAATTTGATCCTGTCATTATGATGTTAGCTGGTTATTTTGCTTGTTAGTTGATGCAGTTTCTTCCTAGTCTCGATGGTCTTTACATTTTGGCATGATTTTGCAGCGGCTGGTACCGGTTGTTCCTTTCCATGTTTAGTGCTTCCTTCAGGAGCTCTTATAAGGCAGGCTTGGTGGTGACAAAATCTCTCAGCATTTGCTTGTCTGTAAAGTATTTTATTTCTCCTTCGCTTATGAAGCTTAGTTTGGCTGGATATGAAATTCTGGGTTGAAAATTATTTTCTTTAAGAATGTTGAATATTGGCCCCCACTCTCTTCTGGCTTGTAGGGTTTCTGCCGAGAGATCCACTGTTAGTCTGATGGGCTTCCCTTTGAGGGTAACCCGACCTTTCTCTCTGGCTGCCCTTAACATTTTTTCCTTCATTTCAACTTTGGTGAATCTGACAATTATGTGTCTTGGAGTTGCTCTTCTCGAGGAGTATCTTTGTGGCGTTCTCTGTATTTCCTGAATCTGAACGTTGGCCTGCCTTGCTAGATTGGGGAAGTTCTCCTGGATAATATCCTGCAGAGTGTTTTCCAGCTTGGTTCCATTCTCCCGATCACTTTCAGGTACACCAAGCAGACGTAGATTTGGTCTTTTCACATAGTCCCATATTTCTTGGAGGCTTTGCTCATTTCGTTTTATTCTTTTTTCTCCAAACTTCCCTTCTCACTTCATTTCATTCATTTCATCTTCCATTGCTGATACCCTTTCTTCCAGTTGATCGCATCAGCTCCTGAGGCTTCTGCATTCTTCACGTAGTTCTTGAGCCTTGGTTTTCAGCTCCATCAGCTCCTTTAAGCACTTCTCTGTATTGGTTATTCTAGTTATACATTCTTCTACATTTTTTTTTCCCAAAGTTTTCAACTTCTTTGCCTTTGGTTTGAATGTCCTCCCGTAGCTCAGAGTAATTTGATCGTCTGAAGCCTTCTTCTCTCAGCTCGTCAAAGTCATTCTCCATCCAGCTTTGTTCCGTTGCTGGTGAGGAACTGCGTTCCTTTGGAGGAGGAGAGGTGCTCTGCTTTTTAGAGTTTCCAGTTTTTCTGTTCTGTTTTTTCCCCCTCTTTGTGGTTTTATCTACTTTTGGTCTTTGATGATGGTGATGTACAGATGGGTTTTTGGTGTGGATGTCCTTTCTGTTTGTTAGTTTTCCTTCTAACTGAGAGGACCCTCAGCTGCAGGTCTGTTGGAATACCCTGCCGTGTGAGGTGTCAGTGTGCCCCTGCTGGGGGGTGCCTCCCAGTTAGGCTGCTCGGGGGGTCAGGGGTCAGGGACCCACTTGACGAGGCAGTCTGCCCGTTCTCAGATCTCCAGCTGCGTGCTGGGAGAACCACTGCTCTCTTCAAAGCTGTCAGACAGGGTCATTTAAGTCTGCAGAGGTTACTGCTGTCTTTTTGTTTGTCTGTGCCCTGCCCCTAGAGGTGGAGCCTACAGAGGCAGGCAGGCCTCCTTGAGCTGTGGTGGGCTCCACCCAGTTGGAGCTTCCCTGCGGCTTTGTTTACCTAATCAAGCCTGGGCAATGGCGGGCGCCCCTCCCCCAGCCTCGTTGCCGCCTTGCAGTTTGATCTCAGACTGCTGTGCTAGCAATCAGTGAGACTGCGTGGGCGTAGGACCCTCCGAGCCAGGTGCGGGATATAATCTAGTGGTGTGCCGTTTTTTAAGCCCGTCGGAAAAGCGCAGTATTCGGGTGGGAGTGACCCGATTCTCCAGGTGGCATCCGTCACCCCTTTCTTTGACTCAGAAGGGAACTCCCTGACCGCTTGCGCGTCCCAAGTGAGGCAATGCCTCGCCCTGCTTCCGCTCGCACGCGGTGAGCCCACCCACTGACCTGCGCCCACTGTCTGGCACTCCCTAGTGAGATGAACCCGGTACCTCAGATGGAAATGCAGAAATCACCCGTCTTCGGCGTCGCTCACGCTGGGAGCTGTAGACTGGAGCTGTTCCTATTCGGCCATCTTGGCTCCTCCCCCACCCCCCTTTTTTTTTCAAGATGCCACCATAGGGGCCTGTTGGGGAGCAAAGGGATTATGTTTTCCTTGATGTTAAGTGAATTAGCCAAACATAGACTTCCTGTTCATTCTTGGTTTTTTTCCACGTCGTATATGCCTATTACTATTTTTAAGTGATTTTTATATCAATGTTTTAGTTTACTTTTTTACTTTCTTGTTAACCCGATTATAAACTCCCATGGGAGCAACAGTGCCTTTTTTGCCCTGAGGTTTTTATTTGCTTAAGCAATGGCAGGTCCACTTAATGATAGACCATATCATCAAAGAAAGGTAGTATTCATGTGGCTTTTGAATTAGCATGCATCTGCGTAGATTCTGCCTCTGGCTTTACCAGCAACAGAAAATTTGTAGAACAGAGACAGAAATGCTTTGCTGTTAATTGCGCTTAAATAAGAATAGGAGTAAACGAGAGTATTACCTCCAAAGCACCAGAGCTGCTTTCCTCCTTATAACCAGTTCCTAAAGTGAATGAAAGCAGCTCTCCTTATGTGTCTGCCTACTTCATTCTTCGGTAAGTTTAACAGTTCATCTAGCTACCCTTTATTTGAAATGATTTCCAGATGCCTCCTCATATAAATTGCTGACTTCTGGATATATTCTGGTTCGGGAATGGGTAGATTTCTGATGTGGTTTAGTAGGTATATAAATCCCGTGAGCTTCTTGCATCTAATTTCTCTGATCCTGCTTACACTGATATTTAAAGTAGGTTTTGACATACTCCATCACTTAATGTTGATAAAGGATGTTTATATTCTTCTTAGTTCGTTTTATTTATGTGTTAGCTTTAAAGACATTTTCTTTGACGGAAAGTGAAGTAACAAAATAATAGTCGAATAGTTCTGCCGTGTCTCTAATTTGTTGATATTTTCCATGTACTTGAAACATGTATGGTACACCTCTTCTTTTTCCTTCTCTGAACAATGGCTAGAAAAAAAACCCTACTTCTTTCTGTCATTTACTGTGAGGCATTACTGAATCTGGGTGTATTCATGTATGCTGCTACCTGTATGTTTTCAAACAATAAGAATTTATTGAAACATATAAGACATTATACTTTCTCTTCTCCAGTATTGGATTATAGACTGCACTTAGTTTTCCGGAATGAAGTACAGACAAAGCCATAACGCATGTACAACTACACATTGTCCTATAATATTGTCTGATAAAAAACAGTGTAGAAATATTCTGACAGGGAAATAGCAAATGTATTAATTTAACTTACCTTGCAATCTCTGTTAATGGAGCCTTATCACCAGTGTAAGAAATAACGTCTGGGTGTGAATACGTACACAGTATAAGGTAAACTTTGGTGAAGTCGTCAATTCTTTTGTCATTTCTTCCCCCTTCACAGCCAAAGTGTAGCACTTGACATGGAATCTTTCTTTCTTCATAAATCAGTCATTCATTTGGAATTCTGCATTGTTGTATGTAGAAAAACGATATTTTCCCTTCTGTAATATTGTTGTTATATTGGGAATTATATTTCTTTGTAATTTTAAAAAGTGGTTTACCATATTCATTTTTTTCTGCCAACCTTTCTTTTCAGGCATTTCCTGCTTATCCAAGTTCACCATTTCAGGTCACCACTGGATATCAGTTGCCTGTATATAATTATCAGGTAATGTAAGAAGGAGTAAAATTATTTGCTTTCAGGTATTATTGAGGCCTTTAACTTGTTTATACAAATTTCCGGAATAGTTGGTCATTTTAAACTAGTGAAGTGTACCTAAAATTTAAGGAAACACTTAGAATTAGTGTAGAATGAAGACCTCTGTCTTATTGAGAAGTAATGAAGTCGAATTTTGACAGGAATATACTTGGGAATAACTTTCCTGTAGAACAGATTTCTGAGATTTGGTGTCCCATTCTTCATTTCTGGATGTAGTTTTCATCTTTACTGTCAAATAACTGAATGAAACATCCAAACTGACTTTCATGAATTTTCTTAGGGAGATAGAGTGAAATAAAATTATGACCCACTTTGCAGAGCACAGAATTCCAACTATATTTTCATTTTAGCTGGCTGTTTCACGATAGCAATTCTCTGGGTCTCTTTTCACAGATACAAGTATAACTATGCCCAATAATTATATCTATGGTAATAAACTGAAAGAGCTAGTATCTTTGAGGTTTCCACATTGCCAACTCCCGAAAATGTGGAGAAGGGTGAAGTTTCTAATATAAAAGTAAGAAGAATGTCATGGAGTAGAAACATAAAGTACTCAAGTTTTCCTTTCTGTTACTTGTATTATAATAAAAAAGGAGACAGCAGGATAAGTGCTTCAATATTGTGTTTCTCATGTGTTTTTGAAAATGTGTAGGAATATTTTAATAGTTTTGGTTTCCTTTCTTTTTTTTTTTTTAAGATGCCACCATAGGGGCCTGTTGGGGAGCAAAGGGATTATGTTTTCCTTGATGTTAAGTGAATTAGCCAAACATAGACTTCCTGTTCATTCTTGGTTTTTTTCCACGTCGTATATGCCTATTACTATTTTTAAGTGATTTTTATATCAATGTTTTAGTTTATTTTTTTACTTTCTTGTTAACCCGATTATAAACTCCCATGGGAGCAACAGTGCCTTTTTTGCCCTGAGGTTTTTATTTGCTTAAGCAATGGCAGGTCCACTTAATGATAGACCATATCATCAAAGAAAGGTAGTATTCATGTGGCTTTTGAATTAGCATGCATCTGCGTAGATTCTGCCTCTGGCTTTACCAGCAACAGAAAATTTGTAGAACAGAGACAGAAATGCTTTGCTGTTAATTGCGCTTAAATAAGAATAGGAGTAAACGAGAGTATTACCTCCAAAGCACCAGAGCTGCTTTCCTCCTTATAACCAGTTCCTAAAGTGAATGAAAGCAGCTCTCCTTATGTGTCTGCCTACTTCATTCTTCGGTAAGTTTAACAGTTCATCTAGCTACCCTTTATTTGAAATGATTTCCAGATGCCTCCTCATATAAATTGCTGACTTCTGGATATATTCTGGTTCGGGAATGGGTAGATTTCTGATGTGGTTTAGTAGGTATATAAATCCCGTGAGCTTCTTGCATCTAATTTCTCTGATCCTGCTTACACTGATATTTAAAGTAGGTTTTGACATACTCCATCACTTAATGTTGATAAAGGACGTTTATATTCTTCTTAGTTCGTTTTATTTATGTGTTAGCTTTAAAGACATTTTCTTTGACGGAAAGTGAAGTAACAAAATAATAGTCGAATAGTTCTGCCGTGTCTCTAATTTGTTGATATTTTCCATGTACTTGAAACATGTATGGTACACCTCTTCTTTTTCCTTCTCTGAACAATGGCTAGAAAAAAAACCCTACTTCTTTCTGTCATTTACTGTGAGGCATTACTGAATCTGGGTGTATTCATGTATGCTGCTACCTGTATGTTTTCAAACAATAAGAATTCATTGAAACATATAAGACATTATACTTTCTCTTCTCCAGTATTGGATTATAGACTGCACTTAGTTTTCCGGAATGAAGTACAGACAAAGCCATAACGCGTGTACAACTACACATTGTCCTATAATATTGTCTGATAAAAAACAGTGTAGAAATATTCTGACAGGGAAATAGCAAATGTATTAATTTAACTTACCTTGCAATCTCTGTTAATGGAGCCTTATCACCAGTGTAAGAAATAACGTCTGGGTGTGAATACGTACACAGTATAAGGTAAACTTTGGTGAAGTCGTCAATTCTTTTGTCATTTCTTCCCCCTTCACAGCCAAAGTGTAGCACTTGACATGGAATCTTTCTTTCTTCATAAATCAGTCATTCATTTGGAATTCTGCATTGTTGTATGTAGAAAAACGATATTTTCCCTTCTGTAATATTGTTGTTATATTGGGAATTATATTTCTTTGTAATTTTAAAAAGTGGTTTACCATATTCATTTTTTTCTGCCAACCTTTCTTTTCAGGCATTTCCTGCTTATCCAAGTTCACCATTTCAGGTCACCACTGGATATCAGTTGCCTGTATATAATTATCAGGTAATGTAAGAAGGAGTAAAATTATTTGCTTTCAGGTATTATTGAGGCCTTTAACTTGTTTATACAAATTTCCGGAATAGTTGGTCATTTTAAACTAGTGAAGTGTACCTAAAATTTAAGGAAACACTTAGAATTAGTGTAGAATGAAGACCTCTGTCTTATTGAGAAGTAATGAAGTCGAATTTTGACAGGAATATACTTGGGAATAACTTTCCTGTAGAACAGATTTCTGAGATTTGGTGTCCCATTCTTCATTTCTGGATGTAGTTTTCATCTTTACTGTCAAATAACTGAATGAAACATCCAAACTGACTTTCATGAATTTTCTTAGGGAGATAGAGTGAAATAAAATTATGACCCACTTTTCAGAGCACAGAATTCCAACTATATTTTCATTTTAGCTGGCTGTTTCACGATAGCAATTCTCTGGGTCTCTTTTCACAGATACAAGTACATCTATGCCCAATAATTATATCTATGGTAATAAACTGAAAGAGCTAGTATCTTTGAGGTTTCCACATTGCCAACTCCCGAAAATGTGGAGAAGGGTGAAGTTTCTAATATAAAAGTAAGAAGAATGTCATGGAGTAGAAACATAAAGTACTCAAGTTTTCCTTTCTGTTACTTGTATTATAATAAAAAAGGAGACAGCAGGATAAGTGCTTCAATATTGTGTTTCTCATGTGTTTTTGAAAATGTGTAGGAATATTTTAATAGTTTTGGTTTCCTTTTTTTTTTTTTTTTTAAGATGCCACCATAGGGGCCTGTTGGGGAGCAAAGGGATTATGTTTTCCTTGATGTTAAGTGAATTAGCCAAACATAGACTTCCTGTTCATTCTTGGTTTTTTTCCACGTCGTATATGCCTATTACTATTTTTAAGTGATTTTTATATCAATGTTTTAGTTTATTTTTTTACTTTCTTGTTAACCCGATTATAAACTCCCATGGGAGCAACAGTGCCTTTTTTGCCCTGAGGTTTTTATTTGCTTAAGCAATGGCAGGTCCACTTAATGATAGACCATATCATCAAAGAAAGGTAGTATTCATGTGGCTTTTGAATTAGCATGCATCTGCGTAGATTCTGCCTCTGGCTTTACCAGCAACAGAAAATTTGTAGAACAGAGACAGAAATGCTTTGCTGTTAATTGCGCTTAAATAAGAATAGGAGTAAACGAGAGTATTACCTCCAAAGCACCAGAGCTGCTTTCCTCCTTATAACCAGTTCCTAAAGTGAATGAAAGCAGCTCTCCTTATGTGTCTGCCTACTTCATTCTTCGGTAAGTTTAACAGTTCATCTAGCTACCCTTTATTTGAAATGATTTCCAGATGCCTCCTCATATAAATTGCTGACTTCTGGATATATTCTGGTTCGGGAATGGGTAGATTTCTGATGTGGTTTAGTAGGTATATAAATCCCGTGAGCTTCTTGCATCTAATTTCTCTGATCCTGCTTACACTGATATTTAAAGTAGGTTTTGACATACTCCATCACTTAATGTTGATAAAGGATGTTTATATTCTTCTTAGTTCGTTTTATTTATGTGTTAGCTTTAAAGACATTTTCTTTGACGGAAAGTGAAGTAACAAAATAATAGTCGAATAGTTCTGCCGTGTCTCTAATTTGTTGATATTTTCCATGTACTTGAAACATGTATGGTACACCTCTTCTTTTTCCTTCTCTGAACAATGGCTAGAAAAAAAACCCTACTTCTTTCTGTCATTTACTGTGAGGCATTACTGAATCTGGGTGTATTCATGTATGCTGCTACCTGTATGTTTTCAAACAATAAGAATTCATTGAAACATATAAGACATTATACTTTCTCTTCTCCAGTATTGGATTATAGACTGCACTTAGTTTTCCGGAATGAAGTACAGACAAAGCCATAACGCGTGTACAACTACACATTGTCCTATAATATTGTCTGATAAAAAACAGTGTAGAAATATTCTGACAGGGAAATAGCAAATGTATTAATTTAACTTACCTTGCAATCTCTCTTAATGGAGCCTTATCACCAGTGTAAGAAATAACGTCTGGGTGTGAATACGTACACAGTATAAGGTAAACTTTGGTGAAGTCGTCAATTCTTTTGTCATTGCTTCCCCCTTCACACCCAAAGTGTAGCACTTGACATGGAATCTTTCTTTCTTCATAAATCAGTCATTCATTTGGAATTCTGCATTGTTGTATGTAGAAAAACGATATTTTCCCTTCTGTAATATTGTTGTTATATTGGGAATTATATTTCTTTGTAATTTTAAAAAGTGGTTTACCATATTCATTTTTTTCTGCCAACCTTTCTTTTCAGGCATTTCCTGCTTATCCAAGTTCACCATTTCAGGTCACCACTGGATATCAGTTGCCTGTATATAATTATCAGGTAATGTAAGAAGGAGTAAAATTATTTGCTTTCAGGTATTATTGAGGCCTTTAACTTGTTTATACAAATTTCCGGAATAGTTGGTCATTTTAAACTAGTGAAGTGTACCTAAAATTTAAGGAAACACTTAGAATTAGTGTAGAATGAAGACCTCTGTCTTATTGAGAAGTAATGAAGTCGAATTTTGACAGGAATATACTTGGGAATAACTTTCCTGTAGAACAGATTTCTGAGATTTGGTGTCCCATTCTTCATTTCTGGATGTAGTTTTCATCTTTACTGTCAAATAACTGAATGAAACATCCAAACTGACTTTCATGAATTTTCTTAGGGAGATAGAGTGAAATAAAATTATGACCCACTTTTCAGAGCACAGAATTCCAACTATATTTTCATTTTAGCTGGCTGTTTCACGATAGCAATTCTCTGGGTCTCTTTTCACAGATACAAGTATATCTATGCCCAATAATTATATCTATGGTAATAAACTGAAAGAGCTAGTATCTTTGAGGTTTCCACATTGCCAACTCCCGAAAATGTGGAGAAGGGTGAAGTTTCTAATATAAAAGTAAGAAGAATGTCATGGAGTAGAAACATAAAGTACTCAAGTTTTCCTTTCTGTTACTTGTATTATAATAAAAAAGGAGACAGCAGGATAAGTGCTTCAATATTGTGTTTCTCATGTGTTTTTGAAAATGTGTAGGAATATTTTAATAGTTTTGGTTTCCTTTTTTTTTTTTTTTTAAGATGCCACCATAGGGGCCTGTTGGGGAGCAAAGGGATTATGTTTTCCTTGATGTTAAGTGAATTAGCCAAACATAGACTTCCTGTTCATTCTTGGTTTTTTTCCACGTCGTATATGCCTATTACTATTTTTAAGTGATTTTTATATCAATGTTTTAGTTTATTTTTTTACTTTCTTGTTAACCCGATTATAAACTCCCATGGGAGCAACAGTGCCTTTTTTGCCCTGAGGTTTTTATTTGCTTAAGCAATGGCAGGTCCACTTAATGATAGACCATATCATCAAAGAAAGGTAGTATTCATGTGGCTTTTGAATTAGCATGCATCTGCGTAGATTCTGCCTCTGGCTTTACCAGCAACAGAAAATTTGTAGAACAGAGACAGAAATGCTTTGCTGTTAATTGCGCTTAAATAAGAATAGGAGTAAACGAGAGTATTACCTCCAAAGCACCAGAGCTGCTTTCCTCCTTATAACCAGTTCCTAAAGTGAATGAAAGCAGCTCTCCTTATGTGTCTGCCTACTTCATTCTTCGGTAAGTTTAACAGTTCATCTAGCTACCCTTTATTTGAAATGATTTCCAGATGCCTCCTCATATAAATTGCTGACTTCTGGATATATTCTGGTTCGGGAATGGGTAGATTTCTGATGTGGTTTAGTAGGTATATAAATCCCGTGAGCTTCTTGCATCTAATTTCTCTGATCCTGCTTACACTGATATTTAAAGTAGGTTTTGACATACTCCATCACTTAATGTTGATAAAGGACGTTTATATTCTTCTTAGTTCGTTTTATTTATGTGTTAGCTTTAAAGACATTTTCTTTGACGGAAAGTGAAGTAACAAAATAATAGTCGAATAGTTCTGCCGTGTCTCTAATTTGTTGATATTTTCCATGTACTTGAAACATGTATGGTACACCTCTTCTTTTTCCTTCTCTGAACAATGGCTAGAAAAAAAACCCTACTTCTTTCTGTCATTTACTGTGAGGCATTACTGAATCTGGGTGTATTCATGTATGCTGCTACCTGTATGTTTTCAAACAATAAGAATTCATTGAAACATATAAGACATTATACTTTCTCTTCTCCAGTATTGGATTATAGACTGCACTTAGTTTTCCGGAATGAAGTACAGACAAAGCCATAACGCGTGTACAACTACACATTGTCCTATAATATTGTCTGATAAAAAACAGTGTAGAAATATTCTGACAGGGAAATAGCAAATGTATTAATTTAACTTACCTTGCAATCTCTCTTAATGGAGCCTTATCACCAGTGTAAGAAATAACGTCTGGGTGTGAATACGTACACAGTATAAGGTAAACTTTGGTGAAGTCGTCAATTCTTTTGTCATTGCTTCCCCCTTCACACCCAAAGTGTAGCACTTGACATGGAATCTTTCTTTCTTCATAAATCAGTCATTCATTTGGAATTCTGCATTGTTGTATGTAGAAAAACGATATTTTCCCTTCTGTAATATTGTTGTTATATTGGGAATTATATTTCTTTGTAATTTTAAAAAGTGGTTTACCATATTCATTTTTTTCTGCCAACCTTTCTTTTCAGGCATTTCCTGCTTATCCAAGTTCACCATTTCAGGTCACCACTGGATATCAGTTGCCTGTATATAATTATCAGGTAATGTAAGAAGGAGTAAAATTATTTGCTTTCAGGTATTATTGAGGCCTTTAACTTGTTTATACAAATTTCCGGAATAGTTGGTCATTTTAAACTAGTGAAGTGTACCTAAAATTTAAGGAAACACTTAGAATTAGTGTAGAATGAAGACCTCTGTCTTATTGAGAAGTAATGAAGTCGAATTTTGACAGGAATATACTTGGGAATAACTTTCCTGTAGAACAGATTTCTGAGATTTGGTGTCCCATTCTTCATTTCTGGATGTAGTTTTCATCTTTACTGTCAAATAACTGAATGAAACATCCAAACTGACTTTCATGAATTTTCTTAGGGAGATAGAGTGAAATAAAATTATGACCCACTTTTCAGAGCACAGAATTCCAACTATATTTTCATTTTAGCTGGCTGTTTCACGATAGCAATTCTCTGGGTCTCTTTTCACAGATACAAGTACATCTATGCCCAATAATTATATCTATGGTAATAAACTGAAAGAGCTAGTATCTTTGAGGTTTCCACATTGCCAACTCCCGAAAATGTGGAGAAGGGTGAAGTTTCTAATATAAAAGTAAGAAGAATGTCATGGAGTAGAAACATAAAGTACTCAAGTTTTCCTTTCTGTTACTTGTATTATAATAAAAAAGGAGACAGCAGGATAAGTGCTTCAATATTGTGTTTCTCATGTGTTTTTGAAAATGTGTAGGAATATTTTAATAGTTTTGGTTTCCTTTCTTTTTTTTTTTTTAAGATGCCACCATAGGGGCCTGTTGGGGAGCAAAGGGATTATGTTTTCCTTGATGTTAAGTGAATTAGCCAAACATAGACTTCCTGTTCATTCTTGGTTTTTTTCCACGTCGTATATGCCTATTACTATTTTTAAGTGATTTTTATATCAATGTTTTAGTTTATTTTTTTACTTTCTTGTTAACCCGATTATAAACTCCCATGGGAGCAACAGTGCCTTTTTTGCCCTGAGGTTTTTATTTGCTTAAGCCATGGCAGGTCCACTTAATGATAGACCATATCATCAAAGAAAGGTAGTATTCATGTGGCTTTTGAATTAGCATGCATCTGCGTAGATTCTGCCTCTGGCTTTACCAGCAACAGAAAATTTGTAGAACAGAGACAGAAATGCTTTGCTGTTAATTGCGCTTAAATAAGAATAGGAGTAAACGAGAGTATTACCTCCAAAGCACCAGAGCTGCTTTCCTCCTTATAACCAGTTCCTAAAGTGAATGAAAGCAGCTCTCCTTATGTGTCTGCCTACTTCATTCTTCGGTAAGTTTAACAGTTCATCTAGCTACCCTTTATTTGAAATGATTTCCAGATGCCTCCTCATATAAATTGCTGACTTCTGGATATATTCTGGTTCGGGAATGGGTAGATTTCTGATGTGGTTTAGTAGGTATATAAATCCCGTGAGCTTCTTGCATCTAATTTCTCTGATCCTGCTTACACTGATATTTAAAGTAGGTTTTGACATACTCCATCACTTAATGTTGATAAAGGACGTTTATATTCTTCTTAGTTCGTTTTATTTATGTGTTAGCTTTAAAGACATTTTCTTTGACGGAAAGTGAAGTAACAAAATAATAGTCGAATAGTTCTGCCGTGTCTCTAATTTGTTGATATTTTCCATGTACTTGAAACATGTATGGTACACCTCTTCTTTTTCCTTCTCTGAACAATGGCTAGAAAAAAAACCCTACTTCTTTCTGTCATTTACTGTGAGGCATTACTGAATCTGGGTGTATTCATGTATGCTGCTACCTGTATGTTTTCAAACAATAAGAATTTATTGAAACTTATAAGACATTATACTTTCTCTTCTCCAGTATTGGATTATAGACTGCACTTAGTTTTCTGGAATGAAGTACAGACAAAGCCATAACGCGTGTACAACTACACATTGTCCTATAATATTGTCTGATAAAAAACAGTGTAGAAATATTCTGACAGGGAAATAGCAAATGTATTAATTTAACTTACCTTGCAATCTCTCTTAATGGAGCCTTATCACCAGTGTAAGAAAGAACGTCTGGGTGTGAATACGTACACAGTATAAGGTAAACTTTGGTGAAGTCGTCAATTCTTTTGTCATTTCTTCCCCCTTCACACCCAAAGTGTAGCACTTGACATGGAATCTTTCTTTCTTCATAAATCAGTCATTCATTTGGAATTCTGCATTGTTGTATGTAGAAAAACGATATTTTCCCTTCTGTAATATTGTTGTTATATTGGGAATTATATTTCTTTGTAATTTTAAAAAGTGGTTTACCATATTCATTTTTTTCTGCCAACCTTTCTTTTCAGGCATTTCCTGCTTATCCAAGTTCACCATTTCAGGTCACCACTGGATATCAGTTGCCTGTATATAATTATCAGGTAATGTAAGAAGGAGTAAAATTATTTGCTTTCAGGTATTATTGAGGCCTTTAACTTGTTTATACAAATTTCCGGAATAGTTGGTCATTTTAAACTAGTGAAGTGTACCTAAAATTTAAGGAAACACTTAGAATTAGTGTAGAATGAAGACCTCTGTCTTATTGAGAAGTAATGAAGTCGAATTTTGACAGGAATATACTTGGGAATAACTTTCCTGTAGAACAGATTTCTGAGATTTGGTGTCCCATTCTTCATTTCTGGATGTAGTTTTCATCTTTACTGTCAAATAACTGAATGAAACATCCAAACTGACTTTCATGAATTTTCTTAGGGAGATAGAGTGAAATAAAATTATGACCCACTTTTCAGAGCACAGAATTCCAACTATATTTTCATTTTAGCTGGCTGTTTCACGATAGCAATTCTCTGGGTCTCTTTTCACAGATACAAGTACATCTATGCCCAATAATTATATCTATGGTAATAAACTGAAAGAGCTAGTATCTTTGAGGTTTCCACATTGCCAACTCCCGAAAATGTGGAGAAGGGTGAAGTTTCTAATATAAAAGTAAGAAGAATGTCATGGAGTAGAAACATAAAGTACTCAAGTTTTCCTTTCTGTTACTTGTATTATAATAAAAAAGGAGACAGCAGGATAAGTGCTTCAATATTGTGTTTCTCATGTGTTTTTGAAAATGTGTAGGAATATTTTAATAGTTTTGGTTTCCTTTTTTTTTTTTTTTTTAAGATGCCACCATAGGGGCCTGTTGGGGAGCAAAGGGATTATGTTTTCCTTGATGTTAAGTGAATTAGCCAAACATAGACTTCCTGTTCATTCTTGGTTTTTTTCCACGTCGTATATGCCTATTACTATTTTTAAGTGATTTTTATATCAATGTTTTAGTTTATTTTTTTACTTTCTTGTTAACCCGATTATAAACTCCCATGGGAGCAACAGTGCCTTTTTTGCCCTGAGGTTTTTATTTGCTTAAGCAATGGCAGGTCCACTTAATGATAGACCATATCATCAAAGAAAGGTAGTATTCATGTGGCTTTTGAATTAGCATGCATCTGCGTAGATTCTGCCTCTGGCTTTACCAGCAACAGAAAATTTGTAGAACAGAGACAGAAATGCTTTGCTGTTAATTGCGCTTAAATAAGAATAGGAGTAAACGAGAGTATTACCTCCAAAGCACCAGAGCTGCTTTCCTCCTTATAACCAGTTCCTAAAGTGAATGAAAGCAGCTCTCCTTATGTGTCTGCCTACTTCATTCTTCGGTAAGTTTAACAGTTCATCTAGCTACCCTTTATTTGAAATGATTTCCAGATGCCTCCTCATATAAATTGCTGACTTCTGGATATATTCTGGTTCGGGAATGGGTAGATTTCTGATGTGGTTTAGTAGGTATATAAATCCCGTGAGCTTCTTGCATCTAATTTCTCTGATCCTGCTTACACTGATATTTAAAGTAGGTTTTGACATACTCCATCACTTAATGTTGATAAAGGACGTTTATATTCTTCTTAGTTCGTTTTATTTATGTGTTAGCTTTAAAGACATTTTCTTTGACGGAAAATGAAGTAACAAAATAATAGTCCAATAGTTCTGCAGTGTCTCTAATTTGTTGATGTTTTCCATGTACTTGAAACATGTGTGGTATACCTCTTCTTTTTCCTTCTCTGAACAATGGCTGGAAAAAAAGCCCTACTTGTTTCTGTCATTTACTGTGCGGCATTACTGAATCAGGGCATATTCATGTATGCTGCTACCTGTATGTTTTCAAACAATAAGAATTCATTGAAACATATAAGACATTATACTTTCTCTTCTCCAGTATTGGATTATAGACTGCACTTAGTTTTTTGGAATGAAGTACAAACATAGCACTAATATCTATAGAACTACATATTACCCTTTAATATTGTCTGATACAAAACAGTCTAGAAATATTCTGACATTGAAATAGCAAATGTATAAATTTAACTTACATTGCAATCTGTCTTAATGGAGCCTTATCACCGGTGTAAGAAAGAATTTCTGGGTGTGAATAAGTACACAGTATAAGGTAAACTTTGGTGAAATAGTCAATTCTTTTGTCATTTGTTCCCCCTTCACACCCAAAGTGTGGCACATGACATAGACTATTTCTTTCTTCATAAAGTCAGTCATTCATTTAGAATTCTGCATTGTTGTATGTAGAAAAATGATATTTTAACGTTTTTAATATTTTTGTTACATTGGGAATGATATTTCTTTCTAATTTTAAAAAATGGTTTACCATATTCTTTTTTTTCTGCCACCTTTCTTTTCAGGCATTTCCTGCTTATCCAAATTCAGCAGTTCAGGTCACCACTGGATATCAGTTCCATGTATACAATTACCAGGTAATGTAAGAAGGAATGAAATGATTTGCTTTCAGGTATTATTGAGGCCTTTAACTTGTTTATACAAATTTCCTGAATAGTTGGTCATTTTAAACTAGTGAAGTGTACCTAATATTTAAGGAAACACTTAGAATTAGTGTAGAATGAAGACCTCTGTCTGATTTAGAAGTAATGAAGTAATATTTTGACAGGAATGTACTTGGCAATAACTTTTCTGTAGAACAGTTTTCTGAGATTTGACCCTTCTATATTTCAGGATATAGTTTTCATCTTTGCTGTCAAATAGCTGAATGAAACCTCCAGAATGACTTTCATGAATTTTTTAGGGATATAGAGTAAATAAAATTATTACCCAATTCTTAGAGCACATAATTCAAATTATAGTTTCATTTAGTAGGCTGTTTCCCGACAATTGTTGTCTGGTTCTCTTTTCATAGTAGAGAGGACTCTATCTATGACCAATAATCATATGTAGCATAATAAGTTCAAAGTAGTAACATCTTTGAGATTTCCACAATGCCAAATCCAAAAATTGGGGAAAAGGTGTGGTTTCGTATTTGTATGTGGAAGTAACAACAAGAATGTCAGGAATTAGAACCATAAAGTACTTCTTTTTTTCCATTGTCTTTCTTTTATTATAATAACAAAGGAGCCAGCATAGGTACTTCAATATTTTATATATCATTTGTTTTTGAAAATGTTTATGAATATTTGAATAATTTTGTTTTCCTATTTTTTTTTTAAGATGCCACCGCAGTGCCCTGTTGGGGAGCAAAGGAGGTAGGTTGTACCTCTGGTAAAGTGAATTAGCCTACCATGTACTTCTGTTCTTTCTGGATTATTTTCCATATCATTTATGCCTTATAAATATTTTAAATGATTCTTTATATTAATGTGTTACATTTTGTTACTTTCTTTTTAACCCAGTTACAATCTCCCATGGGTGCAACAGTGCCTTTTTCTCTCTCAGGTTTTTGTGTGCTTAAGGAGTGGCTGGTCCACATAATAAGTGTTCAGTTACTTGTTGATAGACTGTGTAATCTAAGAAAGATAGTATTAATGTCACTTTAGAATTAGCATGTATCTGCGTAGGGTCTGCCTCTGGTTTTACCAGCCACAAAAAATTTGTTGAAGAGAAACAGAAATGTTTTGCTGTTAATTACTCTTAAATAAGAATAGGAATAAAAAAAGAGTATTACCTCTAAAATACCTGAACTTCTTTCCCCCATTATACCTAGTTCTGAAAACATTTGAAAGCAGCTGTTCTAATGTTTCTGCCTAGTTTATTCTTTAAGGATAGCGATTAATCTAGCTCTTCTTTACTTGCAATGATTTCCAGTTGACTCCTCATATAAACTGCTGACTTCGGGATATATTCTCGGTCTGGAATGTATAGATTTCTGACCTATTTTACTGTACCTATAAATCCTGTGAATTTCTGGCATGTAATTTCTCTGATCCTGATTACTTTGATATTTAAAGTAGGATTTGACATACTCTATCACTTATTGGTGATAAATAACGTCTGTTTTCTTCTTAGTCCATTTTATTTATGTGTTAGTTTAAAAGACATTTTCTTTGATGGAAAATAAAGTAACAAAATAGTAGTGAAATAGTTCTTCAGTGTCTCTCATTTATTGACATTTTCTGTGTACTTGAAATGTGTAGGATATACCTCTTCTTCTTTTTTCTTCTCTGAACAATGGCTAGAGACAAAGCCCTACTTGTTTCTAACATTTACGGTGAGCCATTACTGAATTTGGGTGTATTCATGTATGCTGCTTCCTATATGTTTTCAAACAATAAGTATTTATCGAAACATATAAGACATCGTACTGTCCTTCTCCAGTTTTGGATTGTACACTGCCCTTAGTTTTTCGAAATGAAGTACAGAAAAAAAACATAACATCTGTAGGAGAACTACATATTACCCTGTAATATTGTCAAACACAAAACTATCTGGAAGTATATTGACAAAGAAATAGCAAATGTATTAACTTAACTTACATTGAGATCTGTCTTAATGGAGCCTTACCAGCAGTGTAAGAAACAACTTCTGGGTGGGCATAAGTACACAGTGTCAGTAAGGTGAACTTTGCCTGGTGAAATAGTCACTACTTTGTCATTTGTGTGTTCCCCCGCCCCACCCAAAGGGGCTTAGCACTTGACAGAGAATATTTATTTCTTCCTGAAGTCATTCATTCATTTAGAATTCTGCATTGTTTTATATAGAAAATTAATAAATATTTTAAAGTTTTTCATTTTTTTTATTTTGGGAATAATATTTTTTTCTAATTTAAAAAGATGTTTTACCATATTCATTCTTTCTGTAAACTTACTTTCAGACATATCCTACTTATCCAAATTCACCAGGTCAGGTCACCACTGGGTGTCAGTTGCCTGTATGTAATTATCAGGTAATTGAAGAGGGAGTAAAATGATTTGTTTTCAGATATTATTGAAGCCTTTAACTTGTTTATATGAATTTCCCAAATAGTGTGTCATTTTAAACTAGTGAAATGTACCTAAAATTTAGGAAAACACTTGCAATGGTCTAGAATGAAGCCCTCTGTATTATTTAGAAGTAATGAATTAACATTTTGACAGGGATATACTTAGCAATAACTTTTCTGTAAAACAGTTTTCTGAGATTCGTTGTCCCCTTCTATATTTCAGCGTGTATTTTTTCATCTTTTTCATCTTTTTATCATCCCATTCTTAGAGCACAGAATTCCAATTATATTTTTATTTTAAGCTTGCTGCTTCATGATAGTAGTTCTCTGGGCCTCTTTTCATAGATATGACTACATCTGTGACCCATAATCATATCTATGGTGATAAGTAATAAATTGAAAAAACTAGTATCCTTGAGATTTCCACAATGCCAACTCCAGAAAATTGGGAAAATGGCGAGGTTTTATGTATAAAAGTAACAAGAACATCAGGGATTAGAAACATAAAGTACTTCTTTTTTTTTTTTTACTCTGTTTCTTTCACTTTAATAACAAATGAGCCAGCATGATAAGTGCTTCAATATTGTGTATCTCATGAGTTTTTGAAAATGTGTAGGAATATTTTAATAGTTTTGGTTTCCTTCTTTTTATTTTTTTAAGGTGCTACCGCAGTGGCCTGTTGGGGAGCAAAAGGGGTTATGGAGTAAAGTGAATTAGTGAAACGTATACTTCCTCATCTTTCTTGACTTTTTTCTATGCCATATATGCCTGTAGATATTTTTAAATGGTTCTTTATATTAATGTTTTATGTTTTGTTACTTTATTTTTAACCCAATTATAAACTCCCATGGGAGCAACAGTGCCTTTTTGTCTCTCACATTTTTGTGTGCTGAAACAGTGGCTGGTCCACATAATGATAAGTGTTCAGTTACTTGTTGATAGATTATATAATCCAGGAATGGCGGTATTAACTGGCTTTAGAATTAGCATGTATCTGCCTAGAATATGCCTCTGGCTTTACTAGCCATAAAACATTTGTTGAGGAGAAACCGAAATGTTTTGCTATTAATTACTCTTAAAGAGGAATAGGAATAAAACAAGAGTATTACCTCTAATACAACAGAGCTGCTGTCTTACATCACGATTGGATATTTGAAGGATATAGTAAGTGTTAAAATTCTCAAACACTCCCTTAACTACATTTGTTTCTTAGAATCCTTCTACCTCTGATTATGTTGATACCTGGAAGACGTTTTAAAACAAAAGGCTGCCTTAATGCATTTCAACTTTTCGTTTAAAACAAGGTTTCTGAAGTAACACAATTGAATTTCAACACAACCTACATTGAAACTTTTGATACCAGCTCACCTTTTTGAGGAATAAATAAGTAGCTTTTAAACGTATCTGTATTATCTGTTTAATTACACTTTCATTATTTTAAATATAGGCTTATTCAGCTCTTAACTGTCACTGTAGTGAAGTTGATACAGGAGGTGATGTTGTGCTAAATGAATGCTCAATTCATGAAGCTACCCCACCCTCTGGAAATGGCCCACAAAAGGCAAACATCTAATTTTGAATTTTTTTTACAATATATATTTCATATTTTTTTCTAATTTGAATGACTTTTTTTGAGAAGCAAACATTTTTGCCCAAATTTAAAAATGTTAGCCATAAATCATGGAGCTTAAATAATGGACTGATAGTCAGCAGTTAATGTAAAGGTTGTTGAAATTTCAGATACCCCAAATTTTCAGTATATACCTAAAGTTTCTGATTCAGCAAGTCCTTTCCTGTATTTCAGTTTCACTAATTTTAAAAAGCCATTCTTTAATAAATACTGTATTAATATGATTTGGCAGAATGCTATGGGAGGGTTTCCTCTAGAATTCTACTCAAAAGAAGAATTAGTACGAATTGTATGTCCCTTTTCTTTTACAACAGTTTTGATCTTAAGCAGTGAAAAATACCATTTAAATAAGCATTCTCTCCATAACATTATATGTGGCAGAAGTTTCCAACAGTGGTGAAGTCAGTAGTAATTATTCAAACACTGAAATAGACAGGGTTGTTTCTTTTTTTTATCATTAGTGCAAATTTCTGTAATAACAGTACTGTCACTCCTGGCGTCACATATGTTCTGTTAGATAGGTGGGCGTGTGGAAGTAGTTGATGTGCTGGTAATATGTATAATACCCAAGAAGTCCCATTGCAGTGTAAATTCCTTGATTTGATATTGGATTTTAAAATGTGAATAAATATGAAAACATAACTCTTACAGTATAATTGTCTGGTTTTGTTCTGAGTATGTTTTCTTGAAACATTGGAATTCACTTAGGGATTTAACAAATTCAGCTTTTTAAACCAGTATTCTATCGCTAAGGTTCTAAAATAATTCTTCGATTTGTCAGAAAACGTACATACTGAGGATATGTGGCAGGAATTATGAATCACATTTTTATGAATTTCTTTTTTTTTTGAGACAGGGTCTTGCGGTGTCGCCCAGGCTGGAAGTGCAGTGGTGTGATCTCGGCTCACTGCAACTTCTGTCTCCTAGGTTCCAGTAATTCTCCCTGCCTCAGCCTCCCCAATAGGTGGAATTACAGGCACCCGTCACCCAGCTAATTTTTGTATTTTTTAGTGGAGAAGGGGTTTCGCCATGTTGGCCAGGATAGTCTTGAACTCCTGATATCAGGTGATGCGTCCTCCTCGGCCTCCCAAAGTGCTGGGATTAGAGGTGTGAGCCACTGCTCCCAGCCTCTTTTAGCATTTTTGCATTTCTTTGGAAATAAACTGATATGTTCATTAAACCATCAAAAGAAAAACCAAAACACACCCTTATTAAGAGTGAGTGAAAGAAAGAGTTGTCTTTACATTACTGAAAACTTCTGTGTTTCAGAAATCTGTGGACCGAAGCATACAAATGGTGGTATCTTGTCTGTTTAATCCAGAGAAGAGACTGATAAATTCCGTTGTTACTCAAGATGACTGCTTCAAGGTATGAAAGGAATGGCATGCATAATTAAAAAGCACACTTGTTCCCTCTCAAGTTAGCTGTTTTCCTTGTGGCACATGTATTTTGGGCTTTCTTAGAGGAATTTTTTTTCTTTTTTTTTTGTTTTGAGACGGAGTCTCCTCTGTCGCCCAGGCTGGAGTGCAGTGAGTGGCCCCATCTAGGCTCACTGCAAGCTCCACCTCCCAGGTTTACTTAACGCCATTCTCCTGCCTCAGCCTTCCGAGTAGCTGGGACTACAGGCGCCCACCACCACGCCCAGCTAATTTTTTGTATTTTTAGTAGAGACGGGGTTTCACCGTGTTAGCCAGGATGGTCTCGATCTCCTGACCTCGTGATCCACCTGCCTCAGCCTCCCAAAGTGCTGGGATTACAGGCATGAGCCACCGTGCCCGGCCTAGAACATTTAATTGAACTGTTGGCATTTGACTGTAACCCAGTAAACCAGTGTGGGTTTTACCTGGCAGTATATTTTCTGCTGCCGAGCCTTGATATAATGTAGTCAAATTTAGGGAAGAATCCTGCAGCAGAAATTTGTAATTGAAAGGGTTTACTAGAGAAGAGAGTTAGTTGACTACCTTGACCAAATAGTAAAATAAAATTTTAGATACAGAAAGGAGATCTTGGCTGGGTGCAGAGGCTCACGCCTGTAATCCCAACACTTTGGGGGGCTGAGGTGGGTGGATTGCTTGAGCTCAGGAGTTCGAGGCCACCCTGGGTAACAAGGCAAAACACCATCTCTACAAAAAAATACAAAAATCAGCCAGTTGTGATGGTACATGCCTGTAGTGCCAACTACTCCAGAGGAGTCTGAGGCAGGAGGATCGCTTGAGCCTGGGAAGTTGAGGCTGCACTGAGCCATGATTGTGCCGTTGTAGTCCAGCCTGGGCAACAGAGTGAGAGACCTTGTCTCAAAAAAAAAAAAAAAAAAAAAAAAAAAAAAAAAAAAAGTAGAACTTAATACATGCATATTGGACTAAAGAGAAGAAAAGAAATGATTTACTCAGATGATACACCTGAACAGTGTGAAGGGAGAAAAGGGGTAAAATGAAGCAGTAAAAAGTTGAGTAGAAAGAGAGGTTGATTCAGAGTTGGTGAAGCGGAAGAGAATGTGGCTAGTTGAATTCCAGAAAGATCTGACTTCTGATCCCACTTTCTATCCATGTTGGATAGATAAATCTTTTATTAAGGCTCTAATTCTTACAAGTCTAAAATGAGAAGGTACAGGACTAAAGGTTTCTGGGTCCCTGTGGTTCTAAGTCTATAAATACGAAAAAGAACTAACTTGGTCAGTCCGGTGGGAGAAAAATATTATGGTTAATAAAGGGAAGGTGTTTTTTAAATAACAATTTTATTAAAATAATACCAGTAATACAATTTATGTATTTAAAATGTGCACTTCACTGTTTTTTCATATATTCAAAGTTGTGCAACCATGTCCACAATCAATTTTAGAATACTTAAATCACCTCAAAAATCACCCCCGTACCTTAGCAGTCACCTGCTATTTTCCTGGAACTTGTGTGTATCCCTAGGCAAACACTAATTTACTTTTTTCCTCTAAGGATTTTCCTGTCCTGGAGATTTCTTGTATATGGAATCATACATAATGATGTGGCATTTTGTGACTGGATTTTTTCACTCAGCATAATGTTTGTAAGGTTCATCAATATTCTAGCACGTATCAGAACTTAATCATTTCTTTTTATTTGTAGATATTACCTTATTCTGTTTATGCATTCATCTGTTAAAGACATTTGGATTATTTCCACTTTTTAGCTGTTATAACTAATGCTGTGAACATTCATGTACAAGTTACTGTGGGGACATACGTGCTTACCTCTCTTGCGTATATACTTGGGAATGGAATTGCTAAGTCATATTTAACCTTTAGTGGAACTGCCAGATTTGTCAAAACTGGCTACACACTTTACATTCAAAAGAAAATGTTTAACCATCACTTTGTGTCTTACAACAGAACTAGCTTATTTTTGTCTGTGAATGGATATGGGATGAAGCCTAAGCCTTTTTAAAGGGTTATATTATGAATCTTCTGTATAATGTAGAAGAGTAGAGCCAGATAGCAGAATTAAGTTCTTAACATCTTTGCAACATGGAGTAAATATATTTAAATTTGACATTTGTTCTCTTGTTGCTTCGTTCTATATAGATAGTACAATTTAGAAAAGAAAGAACTGGAATTGTACATCAGCTTATCTTGCCGAAAATTCTGATTACATTGGTGTCTACAGTAGTACTTAAGTGATTTTCAAAGCAGAAGATAGTTTTTTGTGTTTCTTTCTTTCTTTCTTTTTTTTTTTTTTGAGGTGACCTCATTTGGTCATCCAGGCTGGAGTGCAGTGTCGCAATCACAGCTTACTACAACCTCAAACTCCTGCACTCAAGGGATCCTTCTGCCTCAGCGTCCCAAATAGGACGACAGACGTGCACCACCACACTTAGCTAGTTAAAAAGAAATTTTTTTTTTTTTTTTTGAGACAGAGTCCCACTGTGTCACCCAGGTTGGAGTGCAGTGGTGCGATCTTGGCTCACTGCAAGTTCTGCCTCCCAGGTTCATGCCATTCTCCTGCCTCAGCCTCCCGAGTGGCTGGGACTACAGGTGCCTGCCACCACGCCCAGCTAATTTTTTGTGTTTTTAGTAGAGATGGGGTTTCATCGTGTTAGCCAGGATGGTCTCGATCTCCTGACCTTGTGATCTGCCCGCCTCGGCCTCCCAAATTGCTGGGATTACAGGTGTGAGCCACCGTGCCCAGCCAAAAGATTTTTTTTTAAGAGAGAATCTTACTATATTGCCCTGGCTCGTCTTGAACTCCTGGGCTCAAGTGATCCTCCTGCCTCAGCCTCCCAAAGTGCTGGGATTACAGGCGTATGCCACCATGTCCAGCCCAGAAAATATTTTTTTAAACTTGAGTTCTCACCTGGTGGTAGACAAAAGACTCGCTTTGAAACTTCCAGAGTTTTCTGCTTATTTGGGAGAGGAATCAGAAGTTGGCATCCTGCAGTTGTCTGACATTTAGACCTATTTTAATTGACTGCACGTTGTTATATTGAATTAGAATGCCTGAGATATTTTTGAATGTATTTACAATTTCCATAGCCGATTTCTCTTCATTGTCTTAGTTATCTAGCCCTTTCACAATCTTGTTTCCTACATGACCTCTGAATATACATGTTGGTGACCAGTTTTCTAGATTTTAACCTAAATTGATTATCACTCTTTTGACAGATGAGGTAACTTCCAGAAGCCACTTTTATTTATATGAAAATGAAACTGAAGTCTTAAAAAAAGGGCACAGCTTTGTAGAAAAGGAAATGTTATTACTCGTTCACTCATTCCCATTCCTCCTTGTAAGACCTCTCACTTCTCTCTGCACGTCTGCAGGCAACATAGAGTGAAAAGAAAGTTTTGCATGTATTTTAAAGTTTTATCTTCCTTTCTAAAGAATGATATGTCTTCACAGGTTAATGATATGTTCTTCAAATGCCAAAACTTACATATTTTAATCTAAAAACACGAAATTTCAGATTGGAGAGCAGTTCGCAAGCTGTAGTTGGTATTAAATGCAGTTCAATTAGTGAAAAAAGTATTCTTTACAATTACATTTTCTACCAGCTGTCTTTGGGACATTACTGCAAAATTATTAACTAAGAAGTACATAAAATGATACTGAGTTTAAGTCCTTTTATTTCTCAGTTTACTGGAATTTGTTTTATTTAATTATTGATTTCTTTTTTTAACTGTTTAATAAAACTAGCCATCTTGGTACATTTGTTATCCCAGTGTTCAAATATGCTTCCTGAAAAGAATCATCTTTTTTTCTCATTATTTATAATGTTTAAACCCAAAACAAATGGTTTAAGTTTTGACAACTTTCAGATCCATAGTAGTCATCAGAAATTTTCAGTAAAATAAAAGGACTATTTCTGTCTTTTCCAGGGTAAAAGAGTGCATCGCTTTAGAAGAAGTTTGGCAGTATTTAAATCTGTTGGATCCTCTCAGCTATCTAGTTTCATGGGAAGTTGCTGGTTTTGAATATTAAGCTAAAAGTTTTCCACTATTACAGAAATTCTGAATTTTGGTAAATCACACTGAAACTTTCTGTATAACTTGTATTATTAGACTCTCTAGTTTTATCTTAACACTGAAACTGTTCTTCATTAGATGTTTATTTAGAACCTGGTTCTGTGTTTAATATATAGTTTAAAGTAACAAATAATCGAGACTGAAAGAATGTTAAGATTTATCTGCAAGGATTTTTAAAAAATTGAAACTTGCATTTTAAGTGTTTAAAAGCAAATACTGACTTTCAAAAAAGTTTTTAAAACCTGATTTGAAAGCTAACAATTTTGATAGTCTGAACACAAGCATTTCACTTCTCCAAGAAGTACCTGTGAACAGTACAATATTTCAGTATTGAGCTTTGCATTTATGATTTATCTAGAAATTTACCTCAAAAGCAGAATTTTTAAAACTGCATTTTTAATCAGTGGAACTCAATGTATAGTTAGCTTTATTGAAGTCTTATCCAAACCCAGTAAAACAGATTCTAAGCAAACAGTCCAATCAGTGAGTCATAATGTTTATTCAAAGTATTTTATCTTTTATCTAGAATCCACATATGTATGTCCAATTTGATTGGGATAGTAGTTAGGATAACTAAAATTCTGGGCCTAATTTTTTAAAGAATCCAAGACAAACTAAACTTTACTGGGTATATAACCTTCTCAATGAGTTACCATTCTTTTTTATAAAAAAAATTGTTCCTTGAAATGCTAAACTTAATGGCTGTATGTGAAATTTGCAAAATACTGGTATTAAAGAACGCTGCAGCTTTTTTATGTCACTCAAAGGTTAATCGGAGTATCTGAAAGGAATTGTTTTTATAAAAACATTGAAGTATTAGTTACTTGCTATAAATAGATTTTTATTTTTGTTTTTTAGCCTGTTATATTTCCTTCTGTAAAATAAAATATGTCCAGAAGAGGCATGTTGTTTCTAGATTAGGTAGTGTCCTCATTTTATATTGTGACCACACAGCTAGAGCACCAGAGCCCTTTTGCTATACTCACAGTCTTGTTTTCCCAGCCTCTTTTACTAGTCTTTCAGGAGGTTTGCTCTTAGAACTGGTGATGTAAAGAATGGAAGTAGCTGTATGAGCAGTTCAAAGGCCAAGCCGTGGAATGGTAGCAATGGGATATAATACCTTTCTAAGGGAAACATTTGTATCAGTATCATTTGATCTGCCATGGACATGTGTTTAAAGTGGCTTTCTGGCCCTTCTTTCAATGGCTTCTTCCCTAAAACGTGGAGACTCTAAGTTAATGTCGTTACTATGGGCCATATTACTAATGCCCACTGGGGTCTATGATTTCTCAAAATTTTCATTCGGAATCCGAAGGATACAGTCTTTAAACTTTAGAATTCCCAAGAAGGCTTTATTACACCTCAGAAATTGAAAGCACCATGACTTTGTCCATTAAAAAATTATCCATAGTTTTTTTAGTGCTTTTAACATTCCGACATACATCATTCTGTGATTAAATCTCCAGATTTCTGTAAATGATACCTACATTCTAAAGAGTTAATTCTAATTATTCCGATATGACCTTAAGGAAAAGTAAAGGAATAAATTTTTGTCTTTGTTGAAGTATTTAATAGAGTAAGGTAAAGAAGATATTAAGTCCCTTTCAAAATGGAAAATTAATTCTAAACTGAGAAAAATGTTCCTACTACCTATTGCTGATACTGTCTTTGCATAAATGAATAAAAATAAACTTTTTTTCTTCAAATGTGTTTTTGGCTTTCCGATGTAATAATGTAAAATGGTGGGGAGTTGCGTGGGAACTGTGTAACAAGGTTTAAATTCGTATAACAAGCTTTAGATTCTTAAAATGCAGAAGTATAAAGTTCAGTATACTAATCTGTCTGAGTTAGCCCATAAAAGCAAATGTAGGTACAAAGATAAGTTTAAGAGGTGCATCAACAGCAGTGCAGACTAGGAATGCTGATGAACACATCCGACTCTGCTATCTCACGGCTAAGGTCCCTCACATTTTGGACCCTATGAAGCATTTTGTCTACTGTACACTTTGGGCCTAGTCTCTAGATCATTTATTTCGGGGTATTGCAGTTGCCTAAGGGAGCTTAATTTTTTTATATTGCAGGTACTTCCTGTGGATACCATAAAAAAAAAAATCAGTACCGCTTCTTCTAGCTTTAGTGTTAGTACTCAGTTCTATAAGCTGAGTCCAGTGGAGAGGAAACTCCTCAGACACGTATTTCATTAGTTAGTAAGCTTGCTGATTCATAACCAGAAAGTTGACTCCAAGGATACGCAGGATAGCAAACAGTGCTTTCTGCATCACCAAAGATTAAATTGTGATGTTTAGTGTCCAATAATAGGCAAAAAATTAGTAATTCTTTTATGTGCCTATGTGTATATATGTGTACATATGTGTCTATATATGCATATATTTATGGTTATGTACATACTAACGATTATCCAGAATATTTGGTTCTAGCTGATCAAGCTAGTAGGTTTTCAGTATTTTCAGACCCCAAAACTAGACTACATATGGTTTAAGATAGTTGCTTTACACCAGCTTGTTTCTAGTTTCCTATTAAATTATTACCACAAAAATCTTTGGAATTGAAAAATAACAGTTAAGCACTTTTTTGTAAAAAGTTCAAGTTATGGTGAAATCAAGCAGCTCTAAAAAGGTTGGTCACTTCCTTAAGTGTATTCTGCATGTTGGTTTTTTTCTTTTTCTAAAATCAGATTACCTTTAATTCAAAATAACTTCAGAATTGGTAGTACCTGTCTGGCAAGGAAGTCATTGACTCTTAAAAATAAATACTCCACAGCATTTCCCTCTCGTTATAAAGCACCTCTAGCCCCCTCTTCACTAAATTTTTCTTGGCTTTTTTTTAAAGGTAAACTGATAAAAATGGGCTGCCACATTGCTTAATCGCCTTGCCTGCTTTCCTTGCTGTCAGTTGAGGGTAATGAGGAGCAGCAACGATAAGGCAGCGTGCCACCTTGCTTTCACAAAGATGCCAATAGAGAAAGTGGGGAAACATAAGGGAGAAAAAAGTAGCAGTATTTTACATTGACCAAGTCTTGTGAATGGGCCAGCTATTGAGTATGATCATTTGGAATCCCTAGATAAGGATTGCTCCTGTACATATTTTGATAAGTGTAATCTATCCCTTCCCAACATGTGTAGTATGTCTCTGTATGTAACTGATTGTTGTGAGCAATTCCTTGCCACTCACCAAAGACAGAACTTTCCATCTGTAGACAGTACATTTTGTAGTAGAAAACAATAGACATAAGAAGTTCAAACTATAAACATGTTTTTGAATGCTCATGCAAGATAATCTGCATAGCAAAGAAATAATAGACAATTCAACATTGCATTTAGAGTTAAAAACATCTGTCCAGTATGGATGTAGCTGTGGGCCAATCCTAAGTAAACGCAAAAAAAAAAAAAAAAAAAAAATTGTCTCTTGGTACAGAAGTTGAAACTACCACTCTACCACTGTACAATTAAACTCTATGGTCGCTGTATTTTACGTTTTTAACTGGTCTGAAACAGTTCTCTAGTTAAGTCTGTAGTTCGTTTTCCCAAGACAAGGCTTTGTATCTTACGTGCACCTTCATTAATGCTGCATGCCAGGAATTCCACATGAAACTTCAAGATGCCGGTTCACTAGGTCTTTTCCACATGAAACTTCAAGATACCGGTTCACTAGGTCTTTAACAATAGAACAAATACTTGCATGACTGGGATATTCAGGTCATGAACACTCCTTATAAATTTGAAGCAATAGTAACATTTTAAGCACTTTGGAAAATTGGAGGTTTCATAACCCTCAATCAGATCTTTTTATAGAATAACAAAAATACACTAAGGTTCTAATCACATCTATTGTCTTTGCCCAAAATAACATGGATAGAGACACACTCCATTCTGGCTCAATCTTAGATGAAACTCCAGAAGAAAGGCAGTTGATAATGATACAGCCAGGCCAGCTGTTTAAGTGGACGTGTCCCCTCTGCCCTTGTACATTTGTTTAAAAATTTTGATAGGACTCTTCCCGCCTCCTTCACACCCTCCATAAATCTGACTAGGCCCATAAGAATGGAGAGAGGTAATTTAAAAGGCAGAGGACATTTTTCTCCTTGTTTTTACCTATGCTGATCCCCTACCTGGTGTTGGAGCAGCTTCACTGTGAGTAAAATCTGAACAGTGTTTAAGCAGTAAACCCACTATATTGAGGAAAGCGTGACCTGCACTTTTTTTTTTTTTTTTTTCCTGAACATGACTTGGTTGTTGCTCATCATTTTGGTTGGTGATGGGTCTTTGACAAACCGATATGCTCACCATCCAAAGTTGTGTCCATGTTTAGATCAGCGCAGTATTCGATAGGGCACGTTTCCTCAAGATACCAATTTTACAGGGAAGTCAAAGAGCATCAGAGCTATCATAAGGGGTGTTTTTCAGAAGCCAAATCCTGGGCCCCATTCTCAGATGCTCTTATTCTAATGCTCTGGATGGGCCCAGTAATCTGCATTTTTAACATGTGCCCCAGGTGATTCTGACCACTGTAACATACTTTGAGAAATATGGCCTCAGTTGGGGAGCTCTCATTAGATCATCTCAAGCTACCCCTGGATTTAGGATAGAAACAGCCCTGTCAGGTCAACTATGACTTTCATAAAGGATTCCGTTGGCTTAATTCACCGAATTCATCTTTCCCTGCCAAGCCCGTGCCTGGGAATGCCAGCTGTCCACAGGCAAGAGTGACTCATGAATGGGCTGAAATAGATTGAATAGAAAGTTTGAAAACCAAGACTTGTGGCCAGAAATCAGTGACAGGAGGGAGTGACTACAGAGGCAAAGCTGGATTCCAAGGCCAAGAGCAGGCAAGCCAAGGGTGAGGGACTAGGCTCGAGTGGGAAAGGGCAGAGTGGATATCCTGGGGACAGAGACACTGTGTTTGCCTCCTGGAGTGAAGAACTATGCCTTTGACTCACTTGACACACTTTACAAATAGTATTACCCATGGTTTTTAGAAAAGTATGGCCTGTCATTGCTCCTTTTCCTGCTGTGGAATTAACTAATACCTCTTAACACCTTTAAGCAAGAATGATAATAACAGATCAATATCAAAAAAATATGTTGAGATCAAGTTCCAGAGACAGCCTTAGGCATTTGATATCCATATTCTTTTTGTATATGTCTGTGTTTTAAAATTTCACATTTAGTTCACTCAAAAGTATAAAAATATTTATTTAAAGAATAATAAATACCCAAGTTGGCTTGAGAAATAGAACATTTCATTAATTAAAAAATATGCCCTCCCTGATCACACCCTCTTCCTCCCCAAGAAGAAGAAACCACCTAAATTGAATTTTGGTTTAATCATCTGCTGAATAAAATGTTTCTTTTCACAATATTTTGAACTTTAAGAGAACATATACTGAAACTATTTTTTTTTTTTTTTTTTTGGCACATTGTTAGACTCATCCGTGTTGACTGGGAGATTCTATTTATTTTCACTGCTTTTTAGTTGTATCAGTTGAATATTTTACGGTTTGTTATTTCCCTTGCTGGGGGACAATTGACTTTTATTTTTTGTTTTAAAATTTTAAATGTAAATTGTGTTGATTCGTTGATTGCTGTTACAAACTATGCTCCTACGAACATTGTTAAATGCCTCTGATCACTTAGGTACTAGAATGTCATAAAAAAGAGTGAACTTTAAATCCCAGCCCCAAATACTTCCTGAGTAAGCTTGGACGAGCTTCTCACTGAGTCTTGGTTTCCTCCTCTGTAAAACAACAATACTAGTATCTACTTTATAGTGTTACTATGAGATTATTTGGGGCAACACATCAATGTGGTTAGCTTCCCATCCACAGATCTACCCACCTGCATCCCACTCAAACCCACCTAAGTTTTCTGCAGCCTTTACATTTCAGTAACTAGAACTTCCCACGTGGTCTGTGTATAGAGCAGCCATGGTTTGGTGAATGACTGTGTCCTGAAATGTAGTCTTTTGCGTATCTTCTTTGGTAGTAGGAAACAGCTCATTATGCTAGGCTCTTCAGGATATTTTCTAGAATAGTTCCCTTTTTTCTGAGAGGGCCTTGAATGAGTAGAACACTAACAAATGAGTGAAATAATGGTACATAGGCCAGCATTCCCTAAGCACAATTTCTGTTTTTCCTTCATGAAATGCTGGAGGTGGCAGGCAGGATTTCATATCCCATTCTTCTCATCACATGCATACTCCCTGAAATTTGTATAGGATTTTAGGGTTTTCAGAGCTACTTCGTATATATGATTTCGTTTGGTCTTCGTCAACTCCTTTGAAGTGCTAGACATGTCTAGGTTTTAGGTGTGATTTTCTTAAATTTACACACCCTGGGATTCAGATAAATAAGAAACTGAGACTTGACATCTGGGCCATTGCTTTTTATACTATCTCATAGATAGCAGACTCTCCAAATCAAAATACAGAAATATTTTTACTAATACATAATAATTATACACATTTATGGGATATCTGTGACAATTTCATGCTTCCATGCAATGTGTGGTGATCAAAACAGGGTAACTGGGATATCCATCACCTCAAACATTTATCATTTCTTTGTGTGGGGAGCATTTTCTACCTATTTGGAACTACACAATAAATTATTGTTAACTATAGTCACCCTCCTGTGCTGTCAAACACTAGAACTTATTCCTTCTAACTGTATTTTTGTATCCAGTAAACAACCTCCCTTAATTCCCGTCCCCCAACCCCAACACTCACTCTCTATAGCCTCTGTTAACTACTGTTCTACACTTTACCTCCATGAGATCAATTATTTTGGCTCCCACATATGAGTGAGAATAAAGACATTTGTCTTTCTGTGCCTGGTTTATTTCACTTAAAATAATGTCCTTGGTTCCATCCGTGTTGCTGCAAATGACCGGACCTCATCCTTTTTAACGGCTCAATAGTACTCCATTGTGTAGATGTACCACATTTTCTTTATGCATTCATCTGTTGACGGATACTTAGGCTGGTTCCAAATCTTGGATATTGTGAACAGTACTGCAATAAACGTGAGAGTGCAGAGATCTCTTCAACATGCCATGCTGTTTTTGTTACTCCTACAGTTTTGCAGTACATTTTGAAATTCGCTAGCGTGATGCCTTCAGCTTTATTCTTTTGACTCAGTATTGCTTTCGCTACTTGGAGTCTTTTGTGGTTCCATAGAATTTTATGATTTTTTTTTCTAATTTCTATGAAGAAGTATTTGGCATTTTCACGGGGATTGCATGAAATCTGTAGATCACTTTTGGCAGAATTGGTTATTTTAACAATATTAATTCTTCCAACCTGTGAACATGGGGTTGGGGTGTCTTTCTACTTTTTTGTGTAATCTTTAATTTATTTTGTAAGTTTTTTAATAGTTTTCCTTGTAGAGGTTTTTATCTCATTGGTTAAATTTATTCCTAGATACTTTATTTTATTTTTTATACCTATTATAAACGGGATTGCTTTCTTGATTATTTTTTCCTGCTGGCTGCTTGTTGGTACACAGAAAGTCTAGTGGTTTTTGTATATTAATTTTGTGTACTGCAAATTTACTGAATTCACTTATCACTTCTGAAAGTTTTTTTGGTGGAGTTTTAAGGGTTTTGTGTCTGCAAACAAATTTACTGAATTCATTTATGACTACTGAAAGTTTTTTGGTGGAGTTTTAAAGGTTTTATATCTGCAAACAGGGACAATTTGACTTCTTCCTTTCCAATCTGGATGCTCTTTTTTTTCCCTTGCCTAATTGCTGTGGCTAGAACTTCTGGTACTATGCTGAATAAAAGTTGTGAAGTGGATATTTTTGTCTCTTCCGTATGTTAGAGGAAATCCTTTGAATTTTTCCCTGTTCAGTATGATGTTGGTTGTGGGTTTATTATATATGGCCTTTATTGTGTTCAGATATATTCCTTTTACGTCTGACTTGTGGAGAGTTTTTATCATGAAGCCCTGTTGAATTTTATCAAATGTTTTTTCTGCATCTATTGAGATGATCACATGGTTTTTGTTCTTCACTCTGTCAATGCGATGTATCATATTTAAGTTGGTTTGCATATGTGGAAACATCCTGTCATTTTGTTAATTATTTTCTGGTTGGTTTGTATAACCTTTGTTGATTTCTTTCTTATTGTTTATCATTGCAGTTTAGTATTTTCCTGTAGTGATAAAGTTTGATTGTTTTTCCTTTCTCCCTTGTATATCTGCTCTACTGGGATGAATCCCTTGCATCCCTGGGATAAATCCCACTTGGTCATGGGGAATGATCTTTTTAATGTGCTGTTGGTTTCAGTTTCTTAGTATTTGGTTGAGGTTTTTTGCGTTTCTGTTAATCAGAGATACTGGTCTATAGTTTTCTTTTTTTGTTGTGTCCTTGTCTGGATTTGGTATCAGAGTAATGCTGACCTCAAATAATGAACTTTGAAGAATTCTCTTCAACTTTCTGGAAGGGTTTGAGAAGAATTGCTATTATTTATTTAAATTTGTGGTGTAATTCAGCATTGAAGCCCTCAGTTCCTCAGTTATTTGATGGGAGGCTGTTTATTACAGATTCAATCTTCTTACTCATAATTGGTCTGTTCAGGTTTTCTATTTCTTTTTTTTTTTTTTTTTTTTTTTTTTTTTTTTTGAGAGGGAGTCTCTCTCTGTCACCCAGGCTGGAGTGCAGTGGTGCAATCTCGGCTCACTGCAAACTCCTCCTTCCGGGTTCATGCCAGTCTCCTGCCTCAGACTCCTGAGTAGCTGGGACTACGGGCACCTGTCATGATGCCCAGCTAACTTTTTTGTATTTTTAGTAGAGATGGGGTTTCACCGTGTTAGCCAGGATGGTCTCCATCTCCTGACCTCATTATCCGCCCGCCTCTGCCTCTCAAAGTGCTGGGATTACAGCTGTGAGCCACCGTGCCCGGCCCGTGTTTTCTATTTCTTACTGGTTCAATCTTGGTAGGTTTTATGTGTCCAGGAATTTGTCTATTTCTTTCTGCTAGGTTCTCTGATTTTTTGGTGTATAGTTGTTCAGAATAGTCTGTAATGATCCTTTATATTTCTCTGGTAGTCTCCTATTTCATTTCTGATTTTATTTATTTGAGTCTTTTTCTCTTTTATTCTTGGTTTGTGTAGCTAACCGTTTGCAAATTTTGTTTACCTTTTCACAAAACCAACTTTTTCTTTTGTTGATCTTCTGTATTTTTATAGTCCCCATTTTATTTCTGCTCTGATCTTCATTATGTTTTTCTTCTACTAATTTTGGTCATGGTTTGCTCTTACTTTTCTAGTTCCTTGATATGCATCGTTAGGTTTTTAATTTTATTTCCACTTTTCGGATACAGGTATTTATTGCTGTAAGTTTTCCTCTTAAAATGGCTTTGTTGTATCGCATAGGTTTTCAAATGTTGCTGTTTTCATTTGTTTCCAGAAATTTTTAAATTATCGTTTTAATTTTTTCATTTGACTTCTCATTCAGGAGCATGTTGTTTAATTTCCATGTATTTGTGTAATTTCAAAAGTTACTCTTGTTATCGATTTCTAGTTTTATTCCATTGTGATTAAGAGAAGATACTTACCATGATTTCAGTTCATTTAAATTTGTTGAAACTTAATTGTGTGGATGAACATGTGGTCTGTCCCCAAGAACAGTCCATGTGCAGAATTTACTGATGAAAAGCATGTGTATTCTGCAGCTATTGGATGAAATGTTCTAGAAATGTCTGTTAGGTCTGTCTGGTCTCAGATTCATTTCCTGTTAAATGTTTCTTTGTTGGTTTCTGTATATATATATATATATATATATGTATATATATAGATATCTGTCTAATGCAGAGAGTGAGTGTTGGAAGTCCCCAACTATTACTATATTGAAGTCTATCTCACCCTTTAGATTTAATAATATTTGGTTTTTATATATCTGGGTGCTCTGATGTTGGGTGAATATATATTCACAATTGTTATATCCTCTGGCTCAATTGGACCCTTTATCATTACATAATGACCTTTTTGGTCTCTTTTTACAGTTTTTGACTTGAAGTCTGTTTCATTTGATATGTATAGCTACTCTAATTCACTTTTGGTTTTGGTTCACATGGAATATCTTTTTCTGTTCCTTCACTTTCAGTCTATGTAATCACACAAGTGTCTTTACAGGTGAAGTCAGTTACTTGTAGGCAGCATCCAGTTGGGTAATTTTTTTTTTTTTTTTTCAATCCATTCTGCTAGCCTAAGTCTTTTATGTGAGGAATTTAATCTGTTTACATTCAAGGTATTACTGATAGGTGAGGACTTACTCCTGTCATTTTGTTAATTATTTTCTTGTTGTTTTGTATATCCTTTGTTCATTTATTTCTGCCTTATTGTTTATCGTTGCAGTTTGGTCATTTCTATAGTGATACGATTTGATTATTATTCCTTTTGTTGTATATCTGCTCTACCAGTGATCTTTATACTTGTATATGTCTCTGTAATAGTGATCATCATCTTTTTACTTCCAGATGTAGGACTTCCTTAACCATTTCTTGTAAGGCCAGTCTAGCACTGATGGACTCCCTCAGTTTTTGCTTGCTTTAGGCAGACTTTATTTCTCCCTCATTTATGAAGGATTGCTTTGCTGGGAATAGCATTCTTGACTGAACTTTCTTTTTTTTTTTTTTTTTTTTTTAGCACGTTGAATTATATCATCTCATTTTCTCCTGGCCTGTAAGACTTCTGCAGAGAAATCCACTACTAGTCTAATGGAGATGCCCTTATATGTGACTTGATGCTTTTCTCTTGCTTTTGTAGAGAAAGACTTTCACGTGCATCTGAGTTTTAGTGTGCCAGTTGAGAAGGGTGCAGTGACTCTTTTTCAAGATAGTTGAAGTGGTATGGCCTCATTCAGCTTCTTTGGCTGCATTCAATATCAGCAGTAGCTGTGAGTACCTCAGTTGCCTAGGCCATACAAGTTTGTGGTAGTGATGATGGCATAAGTTGTTAATAACCTCCATATCAAAGGCTTTGGGGGTTTTCTTCATTCTCATTTTCCACACACTGGGGAGATTTAGACAAGAGTATCCTTTCTGGATTCAGGTCTGACATGGCCTATAAGTAGCTATAGCAGTGCTGGGTTCCAGGTTTAGGTGCTCCAAATGGCTATGGTGCTAGGGTCCTAGGCTCAAGGTTTCATGAACTATGTGTGGCACTTGGGTCTTGGGGTGCCTGTTTATTCTCTGTGGTGAGGTTGAATGCAGGTTGCCCAAAGAGCCAGGATCTGTGACTCTGAGGTACCCCCTAGCAGCTTGGTTACAGGGATTTGGGTTGTAGCTGTGATTCTATCCCTAGTGGCCAGGGAGCAGCACTGGACCAACTCTGGAGAAGAAGGGGTGCTCTGGATGTTTGGGCCTAGGGAGCAGGGTAGTGCTGCAATTCAGGAACCCAAGCCAATAGGTATCAGTGGCAATGTGGGTCCCATTGTAGTAGTAGTAGTGGTAGTAGTAGTAGTAGTAGTAGTAGTAGTAGTAGTTGTAGCTGTAGTAGTAGTAGTAGTTGTTGTAGTTGTTGTAGTTGTAGTAGTAATAGTTGTTGTAGTGGCAGTAGTAGTGACTCTAGACCTTGTGATGGTGGAGTCAGCAGTATTCCAGATTCTGTGAGGCCAGGTGTAGCAGTAGCAAGTACCCTGAATAGTGGAGCACAGCTGTCCTTTGGGCCCTGTTAGGCAGGAAACAGCACTGTGATGATTTTACTTTCCAGGGAGAGGGGTGTCTCAGCAGCTCCCGCTCTTGGTGGCTAGTCCAGCTCTCCAGGGAATTAGGATACTAGAGTTGTTTGGCCTGTAGGGCAGACTGTCTCAGTTCAGCCACGGTTTTGCCTCTCTGTGATGCAAGGTACTACAGCAGTTTAGCTCAGCTTGGCCAGGGCACTGATTCCCCAGGTGGCCCAGAGACCATTTTCTGGGATACAGGGCACTGCTAAAACTTAGGCACAGGGAGGCATGACTGCTCAAAGTGACTAAGGTATTGTTTTCTTGGAGGCAGGGTACTGTTTCAGATCTGGCCTGAGGAGTTAGGGGAAGAGTAGGTGGATCAGCTCCACCTCCACTTGGCCCCAGGAGAAGTGTGTAAGAGATGCTTATAGCTCACCTTGGGGATGTTCAGTCACTAGGCTGGGGGTGTTTTGGTGGCAGTTTAGCCTCAGGGATGAAGGGGACCTGTGCCTACTTGAACCCTGAGCACGACACACTCCAGCCGTAGGTCTAGCTGCAAGATGGTATAGCACAGTAGACATGTGGGCCACAGAGGAGAACATAGTGTTAGCTACTTCTCTGAAGGGAGCACAGCTTTGTGAACTCTAGACAGCTCCTTCAGGTGGGCTTAGGTAGTGCCTGTGAGGACCGTAGGGCACCTCTGCCATGGTGAGGTCTGTGGATGTCCAAGGTGTTGATCGGGGTTGCTGGTGTTCTCTTGCTTACCTCCTCACTGTATGAAGAAGTTCCTCTTTGTTCCTAGCTTATCTCAATTTGGGGATGGAGTGGTGAAGGCCTGGCATTTCCTTCCATTCTCTTTGTGGCTGTTCTGTTTCTGTGCTCATCAGGGTTCCTGCTATTCCTCTGAGTTTCTCTGGAACTCTCCTTCAGTTACTCTCATTAAAACGTAGTGTTTTTTTAGTCTTTCTGGCATCTGTGATGGAGACAAGCTCTAGGGGCTTCTAGTCAGCCTTGCTCTTAATTAATCCAAGAGACAGAAATATTTTTGACTGGGCTTTATGAAAGCTATAACTAGGACTATAATGCGAAATGGACAACTTAAAATTGGAGGGAGAAAAAAATTCAGTTAGAATAGGTTGAGCTAAAATTTACCATGTGTCAGCAGGCTCTGTACAAAATTGCATTAAGTAACTCCCCTCATTTAATCCTTACAACACCCTAGTGAAGTTATATATTGTTCTTATTTTTTATATATGGGAACACAAATACTTACACTATAAAATATCTTACCTAATGTCACAGAGCTAGTTAGCTACAGAGTCAGGGGTCTGACTGCAGAGCCCCCCAGTTTACCACCCTAAATTCCTCTGTCACTTAAACTTCAATCCCATCTCACTCCATGCCCTTTTCTTAGAAGGCAGTGGTTTACACAGAACAGATCTGATTTGTTTAGAATATGGAGAATCTTTTAAAAAAATAATTTGTTGAGGTGAAATTAAAATAATGAAATTAACCATTTTAAAGTAGCACTAAGTAGATTCATAATGTCTTACAAACAGCACCTCTATCTTAGTTCTAAAATGTTTTCATCATGCCGAAGTAAAAATACCTTTAAGCCGTTTTCCCCCATCCCTCTGCAACTGCAATCGCTGGAAACCACCTAGGTGCACTCTTACCTTTTCTGGATATTTCGTATAAATTGAATCATGCAGTATGTGATGTTTTATCTGCTTTCACTTAGCATGTTTTCTTCACTTAGCATACATTGCAGCAGGTATCCAATACTTCATTCCTTTTCATGGTTGAATAATATTCCGTTCCGTGAATATACCACATTATGTTTATCCATTCCCCCTGCTGGACTTTTGGGCTGTTTCTACCTTTTGATTATTGTAAATAGTGCTGCTATGAACATGTGTGCACATGTACTTATTTATGAGTCCCTATTTTCTTCTTTTTTAATACTTTTATTTTAGGTTTGGGGGTACATGTGAAGGCGTGTTACACAGATAAACTCATGTCATGGGAGTGTTTGTTGTACAGATTATTTCATCACCCAGGAATTAAACCCAGTACCCAACAGTTACCTTTTCTGCTCCTCTCTCTCCTCCCACCCTCCTGCCTGAAGTGCGCCTCAGTGCCTGTTGTTTCCTTCTTTGTATTCACAAGTTCTCATCATTTAGCTCCCACTTATAAGTGAGAACATGCAGTATTTGGTTTTCTGTTCCTGCACTAGTTTGCTGAGGATAATGGCCTCCAGCTCCATCCACTTCCTGCAAAAGACATGATCTTGTTCTTTCTGTATGGCTACGTAGTATTTGATAGTGTATACGTACCACATTTGCTTTATCCAATTTGTCATTGATGGGCATTTAGGTTGATTCCTTGTTTTTGCTATTGTGAATAGTGCTGCAATGAACATTTGTGTGCATTTGTCTTTAAGGCAGAATGATTTATATTCCTCTGGGTATATTCCCAGTAATTGGATTGTTGGGTCGAATGGCAGTTCTGCTTTTAGCTGTTTGAGGGATTGCCGTACCGCTTTTCATAAGGGTTGAATGAATTTACACTCCACCAATGGTGTATAAGGGTTCCCTTT
Organism: Homo sapiens; assembly: GCF_000001405.40. NCBI lineage: Eukaryota > Metazoa > Chordata > Mammalia > Primates > Hominidae > Homo > Homo sapiens. The sequence goes on from NC_000024.10 coordinate 24,919,613, forward strand.
TCTCTGCAACCTCACTAGCATCTGTTATTTTTTGTTGAGTTCCGATTTTTAATTCTCTGGGGTGTATACACAGCAATGAACTTAAGGGTCGTATGGTAATTGTGTGTTTAATCATTTGAGAGATTGCCAAACTGTTTTCCACAGCAGCTGAACCATATTACGTTATAACCAGCAATGTACAAGTTCTGATTTCTCACCAGCACTTGTTAATTTTCCATTTAAAAAAAGTATAGCTATCCTAGAGGCTGTGAAGTGATACTTTATTGTGGCCTTTATTTGCATTTCCCTACTGACTAATGGTATTGAACATTTGTAAAACATGTTTGTTTGCCATTTGTATATATTCTTTATAGAAATATCTATTCAGTCCTTTGCTCCTTTTTAAATTGGATTGTTAGGTTTTTTGTAGTTGAGTTGTTAAAAGTTGTTTATATGTATGTTCTCAATACTAGATCTTTATTAAAATATGATTCACAATTATTTTCACCCATTTTGTAGGCTGGATTTTTACTTTCTTGGTAATGTCCTTCCTTTGATGCATAAAATTTTAAAATTTTGACAAAATATAATTTATCTATTTTTGTTTTTCATGCTTTTGGTGTCATATGTAATAATCTATTGCTGAATCCACTTTGAAGAAGATTTACACCTGTGTTTTCTTCGAAGGGGTACAGTTTTAGCTTTTATATTTAGGTTATTGATTCATCTTGAGTTAACATTTTATATAGTATGAAGTAGGGTCTCGACTTTCTTCTTTTGCATTTGGATATTCAGTTGTCCCAGCATCATTAAAGACAATTCTTTCCCCCACTGAAAGGTCTTGGTACCTTTTTGTTTGTTGAATAGTGATTGAAATCACTTTAGCTTAATCCAAACAATCAGTGAGACAAGGAAGTGCTGGGACTCTGCCCCATGTTTTCTTGATATGTCTGTCATCCATGCAGGTTCTTCTCAAGGTTCAAAGAAGAACCCAAGTTCTTCTTTGAACCCAAGGTTCAAAGCCCCATCCCAAGTGTCCTCCTCTCCACTGGCTGCTTCTCCTATTAGTAACAGACTCTAAAGTTGAGGAAGTCACCAGATTCTTCTCCCTAGTCCAGACCCACAAGATGGTTCCTTGTTGTTAGCAAGGATACCAACTGGATGCCATGGGTCTCATTCAGGCCCATTCACAGCCTTGTTGGTTTCACTATTTTTTCCTTCCTCCTTTTAATTTTAACAGGTTCATTGCAATATAATTACTGTACATAAACTGCACATATTAAAATTGTACACCTTGCTGAGTTTTGACATATGTATACAACTGTGAAACCATCACAACAGTGAAGATAAGAAACATTCCCATCATCTCATTGTAATTCATTCCCCAACCCACCCTCAACTAATAATCTGTTTTCTGTCACTATGAATTACTTCAAGCTTTCTAGAAGTTTATATAAATGGAATCATACAGTATATACCCTTTAGTCTGTGAATTCTCTCATTTCTCATAATGATTTTTAGATTCGTCTGTGTTGTTGCATGTATCAATAGTTTCTTCCTTTTTATTGCTGAGTAGTATTTCATAATAAAGATTTTACACAATTTGTGTATCCGTTCTTATACTGATGGTCATTTGGGCTATTTCACGTTTGGGGCTATTGCAAACAAAGGTGCTACTAACATTAGTGTGTAAGTCTTTGTGTAGATGTATGCTTTTATTTCTTTTGGGCAAAGACCCAGGAATTGAACAGCAAGGTCCTATGTTAGGTGCATTTTAAGTTTTTAAAGAAATTTCCACGCATTTTCTGGAAACACACAAGAATAAATTAACATATTCTTATCTCTTGTCATCTTTGTGCTACTATAATATTTGGAGGTTCTTTTAAAAATAAATGTGTACATCTTTGTCTCCTATGCCTTTGATTGCCTGGAGCAGATTTGTTTGTTCTTTTTTGCACCTTCAATTCCTAAGACAGTCCTTTGCATAAAAGGATGGTTAATCAGCTTTGGATGAACGAATGTCAGATAATGGCTTATCTGAACCAAAATGAATGAGAGGGCAAAATTGGAGAGGATGAGAGGAGTAGAATAGGTAAATAAATAAAATAACACTGTCTTTTAAAATTATGCACATAATTCATGATGGAAAAAGATCCAAAAATAAAGAGTAGCTTAAAGAAGAAAATAAAAATCATCCATGATCCTTCATAGTCACTCTTTAAAAAATTATTTTGTTGTTTTATTTTCTCCCCAATATTCTCTTAAAGTTAAGGCCACTAGTTCTCAACTCTTCCTACACATCAGACTACTCAGGAAGCTCTTTTAAATAGGTCCAATGTCTGGATTCCATTAGAGATTCTAATTTTAATTGGTCTGAGGTGGAGTCTGGGTGTCAATAGTTTTTTTTTTTTTAATCAATCTTTCAAAGGTAGTGATTTACATACAACAAAATGCATTTATTTTAAGTGTACAGTTCAATGAGTTTTGACAAGTATGTATCCTCCCTATAAACACTGCTCTAATCAAGTATACAATATTTCCATCATCTTCAAATACCCCACATTTCATCCCAGGCAACCCCTGATCTGGCTTGTTACTATAGATTAATGGTGATTATTCAAGAATTTCATATAAACAGAACCTAACAGTCTGGCTTCTTTCACTCAGCATGTTTATCAGAGTCATCATATTGTTACATATATCCATAGTTTATTCTTTTTCACTACTGATTAGTATTTCATTGTATGGAGGTACCACATTTTGTTTATCCATTCACCTCTTGATGGACATCTGGGCTGTTTGCACGTATTGACTGTTAGGAATAGAGCTTCTATGTGCGTTCTTATAAGTCTTTGTGTGGAGATATGTTTTCATTTCTCTTGGGTAAATGTGTAGGAGTAGAATTGCTGGGTCTTATGGTAAGTGTCTGTTTAACTTTATAAGAAATTTACAAATCATTTTTCTTTTTTTCTTTTTTTTCCAAGACAGAATCTTGTTCTGCCTCCCAGACTTGAGTGCAATGGCGCGATCTCGACTCACTGCAACCTCGGCCTCCCAGGTTCAAGCAATTCTCCTGCCTCAGTCTTCTGAATAGCTGGGATTACAGGCACGTGCCACCATGCCCGGGTAATTTTTGTGTTTTTAGTAGAGGCGTTGTTTTCACCATGTTGGCCAGGCTGGTCTCCAACTCCTAACCTCGTGATCTACCCTCCTCGGCCTACCAAAGTGCTGGGATTACAGCCATGAGCCACTGTGCCTAACCTCCAAACCATTTTTCAAAGTAGTTGTACTATTTCACACATCCACCAGTGATGTGTGAGTGTTCAGTTGTCCTACATTTTTGCCACACCACCAATATTGTCAGTATCTTAAATTTAAACCATTATAGGGGTCATTAGCAGTTTCTAAAAGCTCCCCTAGAAATGTGTACTTCTCTGTATATAATACATAGTAAAAAGTGAAGAAAAAATAACTCTCGAAATGATTGTAATGTGCAGTCAATATTGAGAACCACTGAGAACCACTGAGCAAGACTAGACCGACAAGTCCCAAGTATTTAAATAATGACATATTTTCATTTGTGCGTTATTTTTTTCTTACCCATTCATTTATTCAAAAATAACTATACTAGCTCTATACTAAGTGTTGGCAACATAGAGATCTACAACAATATTTTTCTGCCCTCAAGAAGCTGACAAATTTCTTTTTTCTCTTAAGAAAACAAAATTTCACCTGTGTGACCACAGTCATTTCAGACAATTTAGTTTTTAATTGGTCTTTCTCAGTATTGTGCAGCCCAGGCCTTGAGTCGATCTTGATGAGGGGGAAAAAGTAACGGGATCATTCATGGTATTTGAGATGTTGCTTTCTTGATTTTACTCTTTTCCTTCCCTGCTTCCTGTCTCCCGTATTTGCTTTCATACATAATTCAGCTTTGGGAACAGTGTCTTTAAATGAAGTCACCACATGAGCCATAACAATATAAATAAAACAAAAATACTTTGCCTCTGGAATTGGCACTTTGGTGACTGCACTCCATAGAGGCTATGGCTGATTTCTAATTTTTGTATTTTATTTTTCTCCTTTGTTTCTTTGATATAGGAAATCTTCAGTAAAAAGCATATTCTAATAAAAATAAGACTAACTAGTGTAACATTATAAAATCCTCTCCAGAAGCCTATTAAATAAGTATAGTAGATGGGTAAAAAATAATATGGCCCATAAACCCTACAAAACTCACAAGTAAAATTATGTAATCAAATTGTAAAATATTCTCTTATTTGCTATTAAATGTACACTATAAAAAAGACTTTGAAATTGTACAATAATGTTTACCTCCTTGGAATTGTTAGAAATAAGTACATAATACTTAATTTCTGTGCAGAATTTTTTTAATATTCTAAGAATTGTTAAGGTCAGTGTGAGAAGTGTTAACATTGGCTGCCACTTGCTTACAAAAGAGGTTCTACATACAGCAACTGATAGGAGATTCCATTTTCCTTTTTACTGGGGCTTTAGTGATTTCAGAGACTCCAACATTCTTGTGAAAAATTGACTATAGAAGTCCAATAATGAGTAGAAAGTTATTTGTCTAGCTGTCGGTTTAAAGAAATTTCATCCCCAACATAGGTGGCTTTCCATCAAGAAAATATTTTCCAGCACAATCTCAAGCCAATTTAATCCCTTGATTGTATTCTGTACCATGCAGCAAAGCCAGTTTCCATGTTTGCTGTGTTTAATTTTATTTCACTGAACTTTCTTTTCACTGCAATTCTTTCCTTATTTTCATTGTTTTTACACAAATTAGATTCATTGATCAGTTTTTTTGTATCACATTAATTTTTCCTTATTTAGTTTCAACCACTGCAATTTTTGCTTTTGTTTTCCAAATCCAAATCTCTCTGACATCAAATTTTGCAAGTCTAAATGTAAAGAAAATGTCTTTTGCAGCAACTTGGGTGTAACTGGAGGCCATTATTCCAAATGAAGTAACTTAAGAATGGAGATGCAGAAACCATGTGTTCTCAGTTATAAGTGAGAGCTAAGCTATAAGGACACAAAGACATTCAGAGTTATACAATGGACATCAGAGAATCAAAAGGGGGAGAAGGTGGGTGAGGCATGAGGGCTAAAAGCTGCATATTGGGTACGATATACACTACTCAGGTGATGGGTGCACTAAAATTTCAGACTTCACCACTATACAATTCATCCATGTAACAAAAAACCACGTGCACCCCTAAAGCTATCGAAATAAAAAATAAAAACAAAAACAAAAAATAAAATTTGAATGCATTTTATCAAAAGGATGCGAGCCTTCTTTCCATTTTTAACCAATAGCATTGTTGCCATGTGTGGTATCATCTGTTGTCAGTTTTATTTTATGCTGATTATTTCTACCAGCCGTAACAATTGGGAAATAGGCAAAAAGTTGGTTGTATTTATTTCCTAGATAATCAATAACAAACTTCAGAGCAATCTAATGAGACAGAGTTATAGGTGCACAGAAGAAGAAGAAAAGCTACAGTTGTGTGGAGCATGGATGGCTAAACTCCTGGTTAACTCGATGGGGTCAAAAGGACAAATGTGGGGCAGAGTTCAGATCTTTTGACAGGGTCAACGGATCTGGCATCAGTCCCTGGCTGCTCTCTTCTAAGTTTTCAGTCGTGCTCTTCTCCATTCCTCACCAGACCCCTGGCCTCTTTGGAGCTGCCTGGACAGGAGCTCTCCTGGCCTCTGGCAAACTCCTGGCTGGGTTGCGGATGGAAATTCCTGGTACCCTTAGTTGAGTTCATACAAGCTGAACGTTTTCAAAAGGAACTAATTTTACTTGAGCCAACTAAACAAAACTGAAATACACACAGAAAATACAAAAGCACAGAAATAGATGAGGGTTCCATGCCATGGGCATTTTAATCATGTGTATCAAGAACCTTTATAGAGTTCATGTCTGGCCCAGCCAATCCACTTCTAGGAAGTTATCTCAAGGTGATGTACTGGATATGAGTTGAAAGATGTGTATACGACGTATTTATCAACAAAAATTGGAACAAGGTAAATATGTTCTGATAGAGGAATAATTCAAATAGAGTATTTTCATACCATTTAATACTCAGCTACGAAGCAGGGCTGGTAAACTTTTCTGGAAAAGAATAGATAGTAAGTATTGTAGATTTGTGGGCCATATGGTGTCTGTCAGAAATAATCGATTCTGCTATTGTAGCACAGCAATGGGCATAGATAGTACATAAAGGAATCAGCACATTCATGTTCCAATAAAACTTTGTTAATTTACCAAAAAAAAAAAAAACACAAAACCCAGGTGGAATTGGCTTATGAGCCTTAATTTGCAGACCCCTGGTTTACAGAGATGATATGGATTTGTATTTACTGACAAAGAGAGCTGATTATAATATACTATTGGGCAAAAACAAAAGCAGATACTAGTATAGCATTTATGGTATGATGTCACTTATGCAAAATGAAGATTGATATATATATATATATATATATATATATATATATATATATATCAGTAGAGAAGTGTCTAGAAGGATGTTCAGCAAATACTAACGAAGATATTATCACTAGGTTGAAGAATTTGAGATGATTTTTTTCCTTTATTTGTTTTCACATTTTTTCATTACTAGAAAAAATATTTTTATTTAATAATTCATACTCTTTGACAGAGTACTTCCACGGTTGTTGTTGGGGTTGCCGCACAGCTGTGAAGCCTGTGCAGTTGCACACTTCCAGGAGATGCCATCACATGGACTACAATGTGAAGGATTCCCCCAGAGTTGTGTGGCGAGGCAGTCTTCCCACCTCCCATTCTCTGTTCAGCTCTGTCCAATTAATTCAGCAAGCATTTGTTTGTCATCTACTACACTAGACATTGTTCTAGACAGAAATATCGGGAAACAAAGCATACAAAAATGTTTGCCCTTGTAGTGCTTTATGTTCTAGTGAAGGAGAAAGATGATAAGGAGAATAAAGAGTGACACATATGCAAGCTTCCTGGAGGTCAAGTAGCCCAGTTTTTGGCAGAGGGAATAGCCAGTGGGAAGAAGGCAGGCAGGGCAAATATTTACAACCCTCGTTTTACAGAAGAGAACATTGGAACTTAGGGAGGTTTAAGGGATGGCTGAGGGTCAGAACGTGGTCAGCACCAGAAGCAAGGCCTTTCAATTGCAAGGTCAGGGTTCCTTCCACACTGGGACAAGAGGCAGCACCTGCAAGATAAGGTAGAGGTGAATGAACCTAGGTGGCTTTAGTTAGATTCTGCAGACTTTTATGACAGGCCAATGCATATAAATGATAATAGCTGACATCACATTAAGAAAAAGATGCAGCATCTCATGAGATCTACTACATGCTCCTGATTAGGAAAAGGAATGTTGAAAAATAGCACTGAGTTTATAAAAATAGCGTTTAGGGTGTAATTCTCATTTTTTTAGTACATGAATGCTTAAGAAAGATGTTCATCAAATGTTAGCAATGCTTATTACTTGATGGTAGGATTTCAAAGAGTTTTAAATTTTCTTCTTTATTCTTTTCTGAATTGTTTGAGTTTTTTGCAATGAGAGTGTGAAAACAGAAGAAATAAAAAAGTTTGATGTTAGAAAGATACCATTAAGCTAACATTTACACACTCTGTGCTGTTCCACAGCACCTGTAGTACCACTATTTCTTTGTAAATTCTTCCAGGGCAGAGACTGTGTTTTATTCATTCTTCTTTGCCCAGCATGTGGAACCTCCTACAAAACAAGCATTCAACAGGGTTTGTGGAACAAATGCAAAGTGCATTTGCGAACTGCAGCTTATATAATCTACAACAGACACCTAGGGGGGCTCAGGAATGACACGAACAGTTTCCAGCCGAAGGGAATTTCATTTTCTTTTCTAGTTGGAGTTTCCATGGCACCCAGAAGACCAGGGATCCTGGTAAGAAAGTTTTAAAACGCTGAAGTGGTAAGTTTGTAAATTTGTGATACCTGGTGTCAAGTCCTACTTCAGGAATCTACAAAAATTGGGCCTTTTGAATAGAAGTGTTTTAGTGAATAATGAGTGATGTGGCAACTTATTCTGATAATATTTCAATCTAGCTTTTTGCTTTTAATGGTAGTTGCCATTTCTATTGGGCTGCATCATTCCCAGGAAAGCCTTCTTTTAAAATCAGTACAGGATGTGTGCATCCTAATACAAAAATCCCAAATCCAGAAATGCCCCTGAATCTGAAAGTTTTTCAGTGCTAATATGAGATAGTGAAACCTTTGCTTTCAGATGGTTCAGTGTACAAAAACATTGTTTCATAGACAAAATTATTTAAGGTGTTGTATAAAATTACTTTCAGACTATGTGCCTAAGGTATATATGAAACATAAATGAATTCCATGTTTAGATTTGGGTCTCACTCCCAGATATCTCATTATATATATGCAAATATTCCAAAATCAAAATCAAAAACAAACAAACAAAAAAACCGCCAAATCCGAAACACTTCTGGTTTCAAGCATTTTGGAGAAGGGATTTTCAGCCTCTCCCTAGAGATTAATTTGTTTGATGTGGTCAATTGCCTGATTATTCAAACTCCTCAAAAAGTGCAGGTCTTTCCTCCATACCACCTGTTTAGGTTTTGAATAGTTTAGAAAAAAAAATAAGTGACTGTCTTTAAGTCATTGATTAAAAGTTAATAGCCTTAAAATGTTTCCATTCCTATTTTATTACAAAGTATTGCTCGAAACAAGTTTTAATAGTGAGAAGGAAAGTTGTCACCCATAGGTTTAGGCACAATTTTTCAGTCTCCTTTACTCACTTAGCATTAGACTAGAAACACTTTCCCAATGATTTTTTGAATACTTGTGTAGCATTTGAACTTGTAGATGACCACACTGTACAAAACCATTGCAGAATTAGCATACATTCATATTAGTGTTAGTTTTTTAGTGATTTTTAATTGAACAGGGAAATTTTACATATTTGGCTCTATTCTGTAACTACAAGCAAAATTCTAACTGACTTTTCCCTCTTTCAGATTCTTAATTATTAAACTCATCTGACCATTTTTATTTTTATTTATTTAATTGACAAAGAGCGTATATACTCAAGGTGTACAATGCAATTATTTGATATGCCTAAATTAGGTTGGTGCAATTAGTTTGCACCAACCTAATACATTGTATAATTACTACAATCAAATTAATTAATACATACATTATCACCCATGCTATACATTAGATTCTCAGAAATTGCTCATCTTATAACTGAAAGTTTGTCCCCTTTGGTCAAAATCTACCCATTTCCCCCACCGCCATTCCCTGGCAACTGCCATGGTACTCTATGTTTTGATGAGTTCAACTCTCTTATATTCTGCATATAATACACTGTTGACCCTTGAACAGCGTGGAGTTTGAGCACTGACCCCTGCATAGTCGCAAATCAGCATATAACTTTTTCTTAAGGCATGGGGTCTCACTATGTTTCCCAGACTGGGCCTTGAATTACCTTGGCCTTAAAACTTGATTCTCCAAAAGCTTAACTACTAATAGCCTACTATTGACCAATAGCCTTACCAATAACGTAAACACTTGATTAACATGTATTTTGTATATGTATTATATACTGTATTTGTACGCTAAAGTAAACTATAGAAAAGATGGTGTTATTAAGAAAATCATAAGGAAAAGAAAATATATTTACTATTCCTTAAGTCAAAGCGGAGAGGTCTTCATACTCCTTGTGTTCCTATTGGGTAGACTGAGGAAGAGAAGGAAGAGGAGGATTGGTCTTGCTGTCTCAGATGTGACAGAAACAGAAGAAAATTCACATATAAGTGGACCTGTACCATTCAAACTCATGATGTTCTATTAGTCTATGTGTTTGTTTTTATGCCAGTACCATACTCTTTAGATTAACATAGCTTTGTAACATAGTTTGAAATCAGGAAATGTGATGCCTCCAGCTTCGCTCTTCTTTCTCAAGATTGCTTTGGTCAGGTTTTTTTGTGGTTCCATATGAATCTTAGAATTATTTTTTCTCTATCTGTGAAGAATGCTGCCATTGGAATTTTGATAGAGTTTGCAATGAACCTATAGATCACCTTGGGTAGTATGGATATTTTAATAATATTAATTCTGATACATGAACATGTGATGTCTTTCTTTTTATTTGTGTCATCTTCAATTTATTTTCTCAGTGTTTTATATGCTGATATTTAAACTTCTTGGTTAAATGTATTCCTAAGTAATTTTATTGTGCTTGTTGCTATTGTAAGTAGGATTGTTTTCTTTCTTTCTTTTTCAGATAATTTGTTGGTGCTGTATAGAAGTGCAATTCATTGTTCAATTCCCACCAGTGATTGAGAACGTGCGGTGTTTGGTTTTTTGTCCTTGCGATAGTTTGCTGAGAATGATGGTTTCCAGCTTCATCCATGTCTCTACAAAGGACATGAACTCATCATTTTTTATGGCAGCATAGTATTCCATGGTGTATATGTGCCACATTTTCTTAATCCAGTCTATCATTGTTGGAGTTAATGGGTGCAGCACACCAACATGGCACATGTATACATATGTAACAAACCTGCACGTTGTGCACATGTACCCTAAAACTTAAAGTATAATAATAATAATAATAATAATAATAATGAAAGAATTGCAATTCAATTTTAATGTTGATTTTGGTATTCTGGAACTTTACTGAATTCTCTTTTTAGGTCTAACAGTTTTTTGGTGGAGTTTCTGTATACAAGGTCATGTCATCTACGGAGACAATTTTGCTTCTTCCTTTCTGATTTGGATATTTTTTATTTCTTTTTCTTGCCTAACTGCTCTAGGTAGCACTTGTGGTACTATGCACAATAGAAGTGGTGAGTGTGGGCACCCTTGTTCCTGATCATAGAAGAAAAGCTTTCTGCTTTTTACCATTGGGTATGATGTTGGCTGTGGGCTTGTCCAATATGGCATTTATTCTGTTGAGGAACATTCCTTGCATACCTAATTTGGTGAGAGTTTTAACAGCATTTTGAAGTATAAGTGACATAAAATAAACAGCATATGTATCTAGTGTACAATTTGATAAGTTTTGACATACGTATATACCCATGAAGCCGATCAATATAGTGAACATAAACATCATCCCAAAAGGTATCCTTGTGCTCCTTTGTAATCTCTCCTTCCTGTCTCTCTCCATGTACCCTCTTCTCAGGCAACCACTGATCTCCTTTCTGTCATACAGATTGGTTTTAATTGTCTAGAGGCATATACCAATGTAATAATACAATAAGTAGTTTATTTTGGTGTGGCTTCTTTTATTCAGCATAATTACTTTAACATTCATTCATATTGTTGTATGTATCCATAGACCTTTTTTTTTTTTTTTTTTTTTTTTTGCTGAATAGTATTTCATTGTATGAATACACCAACATTTCTTTATCTAGTTACCTGTTATGGACATTTGGGTTGTTTTCAGTGTGAGACTTTTACAAATAAAGCTGCTATAAACATTTATATATGAGTCACTTTATGATACGCTTTTAGTTCTCTTGGATATACAAGTGCTGGATCACATAGCAGGAATACGTCTGACTTTTTAAGAAACTGCAGGTTTTCCATTTTTCGTTTCCAACAGTATATCAGTTCTAATTCCTCCACCTCCTTGACAACATTTGGTATTGTCAATCTTTTTAAATTTAGCTATTGTGGTAGGCATATAATGCTTTTAACTTGTATTTTCCTAACTACTAATGATTTTGAACATCTTTTCATATGCTTATTTCCCATCCCTGTATCTTCTTTGTGGAAGTATCTGTTCAAGTATTTTGCCCATTGTTTTATTGTTTTTCTAACTCGATTTTGAGAGTACTTTATACATTCTGGATGAAGGTTGTTATCAGACATATTCTGTGCAAATATTTTCTCCCAGTCTGGCTTGTTTTCTCATTCTCTTAGTAGCATCATCTGAAGAACAGAAGTTTTGAATTTTGATGAAATCCAGTTTATCAGTTTGTTCTTTTATGGATCATGCTTTTGGTGTTACAGCTAAGAAATCTTTGCCCAGTGCAAAGTCACAAAGATTTTCTTTTAGAAATGTTATCGTTTTTGGTTTCTAACTTAGGCCTGTGACCCATTTTTCAGTTCATTTCTAGGTATAGTGTGAAGTATGGATTTTGCATATGGTAACCAATTATTCTAGCACCATTTGTTGAAAAGACTGTCCTTTCTCCACTTAATTACATTTGCACATTTGTAAACACAAACACACAGACAGACAGACAGACACACACACACACACACACACACACACACACACACACACACACACACCCCATATATATTTAGGTCTCTTTCTGGGCTCTCTATATTTTTTAATGATATCCCTTGTCTATTGTGATGTCAATACCCACTATTTTGGTTACTGTAGCTTAGTAATAAGTCTTGACGTGAGACAGTGTTAATCCGCCTAGTTCTTCTTTTCCCAAATTGTTTTGTCTAGTATGGTTCCTTTTCATTTCCACATTAATCTTAGAGTCAGCTTGTCAATTTCTATAAAATGTCTGCTAGGGTTTTGATTGTGATTCCATTGAATCCATAATTTGGAGATAATTGGCATATTAATAATAATGAGTCTTTTAATCCATAAACATGGTCTATCTCTCCATTTATATAGGTCCTTAATTTCTTTTGGCAATGTATTATAGTTTATAGTGTACACATCTTTCACATTTTATGTCAGATTTATCCCTATGTATTTCATATTTTTATGTTATTCAAAGTATTTTTAAAATTTCAACTTGTGATTGTTCTTTGCTAGTCTGTAGAAATACAGTTGATTTTTTATTGATATTTTATCCTAAAACCTTAGCTAAAATCAATTATTACTTCTAACTTTTTTGTGTTTCTATTAGATTTTCTAGATAGATAGTCATGTTGGCTATATATAAAGACAGTTTTATTTCTTCCATTCTGGATGCATTTTTTTCATGTCTGATTATATGTTCCAGTATCTCCAGCACAAGGTTGAATACAAGTGGTGAGAGCAGACATCCTTGTCTTAGTCCTGATCACAGAGGAAATGCATTCAGTCTTTTATCATGAAGTAAGTTTTTAGCTATAGATTTTTCATAGATGCTGTATTATTCAGGAGTCTCCAGAGGAACAGAACTAATAGGAGAGATGTGTATATGAAAGGGAATTTATTAAGGAGTATTGACTCACATGATCACAAGGTGAAATCCCATGATAGGCCGTCTACAAGCTGACGAGCAAGAAAGCCCAGTCCAAGCCCCAAAACCTCAAAAATAGGGAAGCCAACAGTGCCGCCTTCAGTCTGTGGCCGAAGGCCTGAGAGCCCTTAGCAAACCACTGGCATCAAGCCTGAGACTCCAAAAGCTGAAAAACATGCACTCCGATGTTTGAGGGCAGGAAGCATCCAGCACAGGAGAAAGATGAAAGCCGGAAGGCTCAGCAAGTCTAGTTCTTCCATGTTCTTCTGCCTGCTTTATTCTAGCTGTGCTGGCAGCTGATTAGATTGTGGCCACCCAGAATGAGGGTGGGTCTGCCTCTCCCAGTCTACTGACTCAAATGTTAATCTCCTTTGGCAACACCCTCACAGACACACCCAGGAACACTACTTCGCATCCTTCAAGCTAGTCAAGTTAATACTCAGTATTAACCATCACAGATGCCCTTTATCAGTTTGAGGAAATGCTTTTCTATGCTTAGTTTGCTGAAAGTTTTTATTTAATAATACATGTTAGATTTTTGTTACCTGCTTTTTCTGTGTCTTTTGAGATGATCATGTGATTTATCTCTTTGCTAACATGGAGAATTGTACTGATTTATTTTCAGTGTAAAATCATCCTGAATTCCTAGGAAGTAAAATCCCAATTTATCATGATATTGTATTCTTTTTATAGATTTTGAATTCAGCTTGCTAAAATTTTAATTTTTTTCTTCTATATTCATGAAGAATCTTGGCCTATAGTTTGCTTTTTTGTTAACATCTTAGTAAGGTTTTTGTGCCATGGTAATTCTGGTCTCTTACAAATATTCCCTGCCTCATAAGTTCTCTGGGATAGTTTGTATAGAATTGGTATTATTTCTTCATTAAATGTTTGGCAGAATTCACTGGCAAAGCTATCTGGGTCTCAAATCTCCTTTGTGGGAAGATTTCTAACTACAAATTGAAAATTTTTACATTTATTTTTATTTGTACATTTATTTATTTTCTGAGATGGAGTGTCTCTCTGTCACCTAGGCTGGAGCCCAGTGGTGCGATCTCAGCTCACTGCAACCTCTGTCTCCTGGGTTCAAGCAATTCTTCTGCCCCAGTCTCCCTTGCAGCTGGGATTACAGGTGTGTGCCACCATGCCCAGCTAATTTGTTTGAATTTTTAATAGAGACAGGGTTTTGCCATGTTAGTCAGGCTGGTCTTGAACTTCTGACTTCAGATGATCCACCTGTCTCAGCCTCCCAGTGTGTTGGGATTACAGGCGTGAGCCACCGTGCACACCCTATATTGATTTTTTTTTTTAAATATAAGGCTATTATCTGTTTCTTTGTGACTGAGCTTTGATATTTTATATGTTTTAGGACATTTGTTAATTTCATTTCCATTGTAAAATTTATGGGCATAAAATTTTACAAGTGATATTCCCTTTTTATACTTTTTAATATCTTAGAAACCACTGATACCCATTCTCTCATTCCTAATGTGAAAAATTTTGATCTCTCCTTTTTCCTAATCAATCTATCTTGAGATTTATCCATTTTCTTTTGCTTTGTTTTTTTTTTTTTTTTCCTCTCTGAGATGGAGATTCAGTCTTGTTGCCCAGGCTGCAGTGCAATGGGTTGATCTCGGCTCAATGGGGCAACCTCCGCCTCCTGGGTTCAGGCAATTCTCCTGCGTCAACATCCTGAGTAGTTGGGATTACAGGTGTGCACCACCAAGCCCAGCTAATTTTTGCATTTTTCAGTAGAGATGGTGTCTCACCATATTGGTCAGGCTCATTTAGAACTCCTGACCTCAGGTGATCCACCTGCCCTGGCCTTCCAAAGTGTTGGGATTTCAGGCATGAGCCAGTGTGCCCAACTCCATTTTATTTTTCTTGTCAAGAAACCAACTTTGTTTTTGTTGATTTTCTCTATTTTTGTCTTCTATTTTATTGATTTCTCTTTTGATCTTTATTATTTCCTACTGTCTGCTTCCTTTGAGTTTAATGTGCACTCTTGTTTTTATTATTTATTTCTTGTGATGGATCCTGAGGTCATTGCCTTGAATCATTTTTTTTTTTTTTTGTAAAATAGGTATTTGGTGTTATACAGTTCCATTAGTATTAGTATTAGATGCCAAACATTAGTGGCATCCTACAAATTCTTATATACTGTATTTTCATTTTCACTCACCTCAGAATATTTTGTAATTTCCCTTTTGATTTCTTCTTTGAACTGTGAGTTATTTAGAAGCATGTTATTTAGTTTCTAGATATTTGGGTATTTTTCAGTTATCCCTCTTCTATTGATTTCTAATTTAATTTCACTGTGGTCAAAGAACATATTTGTATGACTTGAATCTTTTTACGTATATTGAGAATGGTTTTATGGCTCAGAATGTAGTTGGTCTTTGTAAATGGCCCATGTGTACTTGAAAATAATATATATTCTGCTGCCATTGGATGGAGTGTTGTAAAAATGTCAATTAGGAGTTGTTTGATAGTATTGTTCAAATCTGTTATATCCTTGCTGATTTTCTGTCCACTTGTTCTATTAATTATCGAGAAAGGATTATTGAAATTCCCAGCTACAATTATGGATGTGTTTATTTCTCCTTACAATCTATTAGTTTTTGCCTCATGTATTTGAAGCACTGTTATGAAGTACCTAAACCCTTAGGATTGTCACATTTTCATTAACTGACCAATTTGTCATGCTGAAATGACTCTCTGCCTACGGTAACATTTTTCACTCTAAGATTTACTTCTTTTAGTATATTAATATAGCCTCTGTCGAGGGCTCAGCTGGAGAGAGAGCTGAGCTGCCAGGTTTTAACGTGGTCAGTTAAGAAAACGGCCAAACTTAAAAAGAAAAAAAAAAAAGAAACCATCAAGACTTTATTCACTTATGCAACAGTATAAGCAAGAAGCAAAAAAGGAAGAAGTGCCAGCTCCCAGAATGTTCCATGTTTTCCCCCATGGAGCAGCTCAGAGGAGGGGAGTTTGGGGTATGGGGATGATCATCTCCCTGCTTAGCGAGACGGACTGCCGAACATGAGCCTCCTGCTATTTCGCTGTTGCTGGGAATTTATGGACCCTGTGGTGAAGGGTGGGAGTTTGGGGAAGGCTAGGAGTGGAAGATACTTAATACTGAGGACCGCGGAGGCGGAGGTTGTTGCAGTGAGCCGAGATCGCGCCACTGCACTCCATCCTAAGCGACAGCATGAGACTCAGTCTCAAAAAAAAAAAAAAAAAAAAAAAAAGAAGAAGAAGAGGAGGAGGAGGAGGGAGGGGGAGGAGGAGGAGGAGGAGAATGAGAAGAAAAGAAAAAAGAAGAAGAAGAAGAGGAAGAAGGGGAAGAAGAAGAGAAGGAAGCGGAAGAGGAAGAAGAAGAAGGAGAAGAGGAAGAAGAAGAAGAAGCAGAAGAAGAAGAAGAGGAGGAAGAAGAAGAAGAAGAGAGAAAAGCATGTTTTTCAGGTTACTCTCAAGAAGTTGGTGTCTAGTAGAGGCAGCCAAGAAAGACCTCTGCCAGGACCCTCCTGATCCGGGGACCTCTGCATGGACGTATCTGGGCTGGGAATGCAGGTATGTGTAAGAACATAAGTGCGGGGGGACGTGAGTCTTTGATACAACTCCCCTAGGGGACTGTGTGCTCTGGTTCTGGTTGTGCACCGAGGCCGGTGGGGAGGACCCATGGAACAAACTTGTGGTAAGGCCTTTGTAGTGGCTGAAAACTCACACACAGAGTTGGGTTTTGGCTCTCAGAAAACTGCTCAGCCACTCCAGCTTCCTCTTGGCCAGTGTCAGCAATGGCATACCCTTGTCAAAACTTAGACTATTTGGCCAGGCCCCGTGGCTCATGCCTGTAATGCCGGTACTTTGGGAGGCTGGGGCAGGTGGATCCTGAGCGCAGGAGTTTGAGAACAGCCTGGCCTCAAGAAAAAAAAATTTTTTTTCACTTTTAACCCATTTGTGTCTTTATATTTTAAAGTGCATCTCTTGCAGGCAGCACAAAGTTGTCTTGCATTTTTATCCAATCTGACAGTCTGCCTTTTAATGGGGCTAATTGGACTATTTTTATTTAAACTTTTTATCTGTAATGGCTAACTTTCACTCTATCACATTGGCATTTGTTTCTTATTTGTTCCACCTGTTCTTTGTTCCTTTTTTCCTCCCTCTCTGTCTTATTTTAGATTAATTGGATTAATTTAGATTAACTGGATTGATTTGAATTAGTTGAGTATTTTTATGATCTATTTTTATCTCCTTTATAGACTTATTAGCTTTAACTCTTTGTTTTATTATTTTAGTGGTAGCATACATCTTTTCTTATCACGATATATTTTGAGGGATACTATACCTCTTCATATGTGGTATGATATCCTCAAATGGGTATACTTCTATTTCTCCCCCCACCAGCCTTTATGTTATTGTTTTTGTCTTCCAATTTATATAAGTCATAACCCCTATAATACATGGTTATTATTTATGTTTAAATAGCCAATTATCTCTTATTTGGTAATTTTTATTGTGATAAAATATACATAACATAAAATTTACCATTTTAACTGTTATCAGTGGTGAATCCACACAAGACTGCAGCAACCTCAATTCTTACCTCCTTCAGAAGAAAGAATTCAACCAAAGGGAATAAGGCAGAGGGAGAAACTGAGGCAAGCTTAAGGGAAGGAGTGAAAGTTTATTAAGAAGTTTTAGAGCAAGAATGAAAGGAAGTGAAGTACGCTTGGAAGAGGGGCAAGCGGGTGACTTGAGAGATCAAGTGCAAGGTTTGACCGTTGACTTGGGTTTTTATGCTTCTGGGGTGATTGTGCCCTTCTCCCCTGATCCTTCCCTTGGGGTGGCCTGCCAGCACTTAGGAGGGGCCACGTGTGCAGTGTGTTTACTAAAGTTGTATTCAGGCCGCCTTGAAACATTTTTCCCTTACCGGTTGAGTATTCCCTAAGGAAGGTGAGGTACCAGTTAATTCCACCATTTTGCCTCTTAGTGTGCATGCTTGAGTTCACTCACCCAACTCCTGCCATCTAATCAGGAAGCTGCTGATCATCAGTTTCAGGTGTTTTCTATCTATTGGGAGACTGCGTTTCCCTGGCGCTGGCTGCAACCAATTATTATTTTAGAGACAGTTTAACAACCACCTCACTATCACCTTATGGTCGCCTGACATTCCTGGTGAAGAGGGCCCTCTCCTTCCCTGCTCATGTCTGCCTAACTACCTATGGTAACAAAAGCTTTTTTTTTTTTTTTTTTTTTGAGGCAAGGTCTTGCTCTGTCACCCCAGGTGTCGTGCAGTGGGGCAATCATGGTTCACTGCAACCTCAACCTCCAGGGCTCAATTGATCCTCCCACCTTAGCCTCCTGAGTAGCCAGGACTACGGGTGTGTGCCACCACACCTGGCTAATTTCTGTATTTTTTGTAGAGACAGGATTTGCCTTGTTGCTTAGGCTGGTCTTGAATTCCTGGGGTCAAGCTATCTGTTGGTCTCTGCCTCCCAAAGTGTTGGGATTATAGGTGTGAACCACTGTGCCTAGACCCCCAAATTATCTTTTTTTCAGAGACAGTGTGATAGTTCTCAAACTATCACCTAACATTCCTGGTAGGAGAGGAAAGATCTCTCTCTTGCCCCAGTCATGCCTGTCTAACTACGTGTAACTAGTTAGCTCAGCTTACTGTTATAATTTTTCTCACTGATAGAATTTTTGCAAAGACACTTTCAATACTACCAAAATAAATAGTAATCAACCACTTGGAAAGCATTTAGAAGTAACTGAAGTCCCTACTTACACCAAATGAGGAAAAGCCAAACTACACTGTGGGACACACTGTAAGTCCCTGCATCAGTCAGCTGTTGCTGTGCAAACACCTCCTCAAGACTCGGCAGGATAAAGCAATGACCATTTATAATTGCTCACATGTCTGCAGGTCAGCTGCTTTTTGGCTGACCGAGGCAGGGCTTAGCTAGGCTGGCTCTGCAGCGTGTGTCTCTCATTCTCCTCCTGTGGCAAACAATGGCAGATGACAATGGCAAATGTGGAAAGCCTTTAAAGAAGAAATCTCATAAGGAGTTCCCTGTCACTCCCATTCATCTCAGTCTTTCAGCCAAAGCAAGTGATATGGCCAAACCCCATATCAAGGGGTGGGGAAATATAATTTGCTTATTTATTAGGAGCAAAGTCACATGGTGGTCATTGCAGAATGGGTTGAATGACATAACCTATCATCAGCCCTGAAGAAACTCATCATTCATTTCCTTCCTCAAGACTCCCCTCATCCGGGCATCTCCAGATCTTACTCTTTCCCACACTCTGTATCAAACAGTCCACTCACACTAGCTACCCTGCTTCCTTTGGCACCCTCTTTCCACTAGATAACCTGTTCACTCAGCATTTCTATTTTCATTTGCATCTCCACCCTTTGCCCATTACCCCAGCAGCTCACAGAGGACCCTGACAGAATAGGCAAAACCCAGAAGTTGGGTGGGTAGATAATGTGTGAAAGCTCACACGGTTCTGACGCCTCCTTGACGCAGCACATTACTAGCGAATGACATGTATAGGGCCTGGGGTGTTTGCAGAACCAAATCAGGTGTGGAGGAAATTATATGTAAATACCTCCATGGGTGTGTGATTGTATCATACCTCACCATAACAAAGCTCAAATGACATTTCATTTCCAAATGTGGCTAGGTTTCCCTGTGTTATATGTCGTTGAAAGCCAGTATAAATAAATATCTGTGAAAGTCCTAGCTGACTGCCTGCTTTGTTTCTGCCACTAAACTGTAAGCTCCTCATGAACAGAGTGTTTCTGTACAATTCACTAGCTGTCTCTATCTTTACCTCACAGCCAATCCACAAATGAACGCTGTCAGCCTTGCCCCCCATCATATCCCAACCATCCATGTCTGGCTACTCCATTGCTAGTCCAACCGAAGCCCCTTGCATCTCATGCCTGGGTTATTTCACAGCCTTCTAGGCTGGTAACTCCCGCTGCTACTGTGCCTGGCTCCAGTCTATTCTGTACATGGTGAAGAGGATCCTTTGAAAAATGGATAAAATGAGTAGCAAATTGTGTTTCTCCTGCACTCAGAATCCTCCTCTGGCTCCTCACTGTAACCTCTGGCTTCAGTAGTTACGGCAAATATTTAAAAGTCAGCCTGCAGGAAGAACCCTGATTTACTGAGTTTTCCAATGTTAGTAGTATAAATACTCATCATGGCCAATTTTAAGCTGGCTTCTTTCCTTCACTCCGTCCCTCCCTCCTCCCCTTCTCCCCTCCTTCTCTTCTCCCCTCTTTCCTTCATTTCCTCCCTCCCTCCCTCATTTCTTCTGTCCTTCTCTCCTTCCCTTCCTTTCCTTCTCACGTCCTTCTTTCCTTTCTTCCCTCCTCCCGTCCTTTCTTCCCTATTCTCTGCCTCCTACTCTAGAATTGACATTTCATGACAGGCAATCCATGTCTGTCTTAGTTATTGCTTAGAAGTACCTGGCACATAATGGAAGGCTCAGTACATATTTCTTGAACAAATAGTTGACTAATTGAATAGATGATCCTTTCTTAATTCTGTACCAGGATTTAAGAATTATTCAAAGAAGATGTCATTGTTTTAAAATGACCAAGTACTGCTCAGCACTTTCAAGTTCACAAAGCATGCCTCATGCATCATCTCTATGATCTGTACCCGGGTGCCATCCTGAGAAGCTGGGAAAGGCTTTTCTCTTCCTCCTCACTTTACAAATGAGGAAACAAAGACTCAGAGGGATGGAGGTTCCCGCTCAAGGCCAAACAGTAAGTATGTATCCACAAGTCTGACTCTCAGTCTGGCAGTCTTCTCAGTGGTCTCCAGGAACTGTTTAGCTCTTGGGGGGATCTCATAAGGGAAGCCTGGAGGCTTCAGGGAGAGCTGTCCCAAGGAAGAGGAGAGAAACACATGGTGGCGAGGAAGGAGGATTGACGACCAGGGAAGGCCTTACGTAGGCCTCTACCAGGCTGAGCCTCTGGTGTCAGGCCAGTAACATAGTAATTCAGGTCCCCAATCCTGATTCTGTCTCTAGATTCCCACTAACCTCCCCACAGACATGGAGCATTGAGCCCCCCTTCCCCACTTATAGAGTACCCCAGATAGCATAGGCTCCACACCTAGCACCCACCTTCTTGCAAGTCTATAGCAATGAGCAGCAGAGCGCCAGCTGAGATCCACAAGCTGAACCTGGTCCCCAGGGATAATTTCTTTAGCCCCTGTAGTGTTTAAAAAATTGGGCCAGCATTTACAAGCAGGATATCCCAAGTGGTTGGTTGATTTTGGTAAACAGAAAGATCTTGCCACACATCCTGGCCATTCTGGGCTGACAGCAGTCATCCACCTGAGACCAGATAAGTGTTGTCCTGTTCAATGCAGCCACTCAAACCAGTTCAATGCAGTCCAGTTCAATGCAGTTTCCTATCACCTCTCCAACTTCCAGGGCAGCCATTGACTGCAGTTTATTTCCATGCTGGAAGTTTTACTTGTGTCAAAAAACATACCTCTGAAACCGAAACTTATACCAAAAGAAGAAAAAATATGTAGGGCTTCATGATTTTACTACATGGACTGACAGAACCCTGAGTTTACGAGCTTTGGGCTATGCCTCAGTTTAAAATACATGCCTGCCTTCCTTCCTTCCTTCCTTCCTTCCTTCCTTCCTTCCTTCCTTCCTTCCTTCCTTCCTTCTTTCCTTCCTTCTTCCCTTCTCTTCCTTCCTCCCTCCATCCCTCCCTTCCTTCCTTTGTTCCCTCCTTCCTTCCTTCCTTCTTTCCTTCCTTTCTCTCCTTCCTTCCTCCTTCTCTCTTCTCTTTTTTCTTTTCTTCCGTGAAAGAGTCTCTCTGTTACCCAGGTATGGTGTATAATACATGCTAACACCACCACACCCAGCTAATTTTTTAATTTCTATTTTGAAGAAATGAGATCTTGCCATCTTGCCCAGGCTGGTCTCTAACTCCTGGCCTCAAGTGATCCTCCTGCTTCAGCCTCCTAAAGCATTGGGATTGCAGGCATGAGCCACCTAGCCCAGTTAAGTACACCTTTTCCTAGTTCTGTCAACAATCTCACAAAGCTGGCATCCAGAACCCTCCTTTAGGTGAGGATCCTTGAGTTAAGAGGCGTTGAGGGACTTGGCCAAGGTTAAATAACTAGAAGTAGACACAGAATGTGAAGATAACATCTCATCCAGCGCAGGCATCCCCATAAATTGCATTCCCACCCACACACCACCAGTGTGTTCATTGTGACAGGATGTGTGACCTGACACAACAGCCCTTGTGTAATCTGACACATTCCCATTAGGTAGCGACATAAACCAACAAAGCTTTCCAGGACAATGCCTTTGTGGAAATTGGTTTTCTTGCATTACTAGGGATTTTAAGGCACAACAGGTTTTCCCCTCTTTCTGTCTCTCAAAAAAAAAAAAAAAAAAAAAAAGTCCTTTCAATACCCAATATTGCATGGCTTTCATGCCAGGCATAAAATGAAATTTGCCATAATCCATTGCCTAGGGAGAAAGTCGTATGTGTGTGTCACAACTGACATCTGTTAAATTAAATAAGCAAGCAATAAGAAGGTCTGAAATATGTTCTTTGTTCAGGAATTCGTGCAGACACTGATCAGCTGCTCTGTACAATTGAGAAGAGAACAAGTGCCTTTTCTTCCCCCAACATGTGCCACTGAAAGCCTCCAAGGAGGACAAAAGCAGAGGATGGATGAACTTGCACACCGTGAAGTTAACACTTCTGTTTGAAGTTCAAGCAAATTGGCTGAGCACAGCAGGAATGACCACATTGCCAGCTCCATCATACCTGCTCCCTCCCCAGGGCTGAACAGGAGCTCAGGCTAGTCCTTCCTTACCTGCTACTTCTTTTGCAAAGTGTAGGAAGGTGTGAGGCTTCATCCAGACTGCCTGATCAGTTTTGACCATCAGCATGTTATTATGGTGGATCTATTCTTAAAATACAGTTGTTCTTTTGTTTTCCTCACTGGCAAGGAATTTTGAACCAATAGCTCCAGAGTTAGCCCTTGTAATTTATTAATCAAGCTTCATTATTAATATGAGAATGAGAACAGATGTAATTCCAATGTGCAGCTGGAATATCAGCCAAGATGTGGTCCTTATAGAGATATACTAGGATCATCAAACGAGAAAGAGAAGCTTTGCCTATGCAACCAATTATAATTGTGGGATGGTGTATTTTGGGTATTGGAATTTTTTTGATAAACATGAGGATAGGCAGAAAGCCCTTCAGTTTCAATCCTTTGTTTTGTCCTTTCCCTCATCCCTAGAAATAGGTTATGTATCTATGACAATAACAGTGAGTGCCTCCCAAAAAACCACACACGTTTTCAAACCTCCCCTGCAGTTGAATTGAACCATGTGGATGGGTTCTGATAAATGGGAAAATATTTACTTATATTTTCTTTGAGTTCTATTGCGGTTTTATTTTTGTGTTTAATCCACGTGGAATTTATTTTAGTATATTAGTTTCAAGGCAGTTGTTCCCGGACTATTTAATTAATCTTTCCTTTTCCTACCGATTGCAAATACCAATCAGTATATGACAAATTCTGATTTCTGGTTCGGTAATCAATTTTCTCATTCCTATGTTGGTATCAAATTCCTAAATTATAGTAATTTTAAAATATATCTTACTATCTAGTAAGAGCTATCCCCTTTAATTTTTTAAATGGGGTCTCACTGTGTTGTCCAGGCTGGTCTTAAACTTCTGGGCTCAAGCAACCTTTCTATCTCAGCTCAGGCTCCAGAGTAGCTGGGACTACAGGCTCATACCACCACACCTGGCTCCTTTAAAAAAATTAATTCAGTTGCTTTTACAAATGTATTCTTTGAGTAGAATTTAAAAATCAGTTTGCTAAGTTAAAAAATTAAAGATTGATTAAATTCACAGGGTGACTGGGAAATAATTGATATCTTGTCAGGCCTGAGCCTGCTCATTCACGTGTGTGATGTTTCCCTTCATTTCATGTCTTCTTCCGTGTCCTTAGGCCGTTTTGTATTTCTTCTGTGTTTGATTCTGAGTATTCTGTGATTTTGGTTGCTTTTGTAAATGGGATATTTTTCTCATTTCCCATCATTTTTTCTAATTTATTATGGCTGAATGTTATTCGACTGTATGTATATATCACAATTTATTTATCCATTCATCCATCAATGGACATGTGGTTTGCTTCCACCTTTTGGCTGCTGTGCTGCTATCAACATGTGTATGCATGTACTTGCATCCCTGTTTTCAATTCTTTTGGGTACAGACGCCTGGGAGTGGAATTGCAGGGTCCTGTGATAATTCTGTGTTGAGTCATCTGAGGAACCACCAACTGTTTCCTGCAGTGGCTGAACCATATTACATTCCCACCAGCAATATACAAATTCCAGTTTCTCCACATCCTCACCAATACTTGCTGTTTTCTGTTTTCTTTTTAAAAAGTCATTACCATCCTAATGGGTGTACAGTGGTGCCTCCTTTTTATTTGCATTTCCCTAATGATGAATGATGCTGAGAATGTTTTCATGTGTTTGTGGGCCATGGCCTCTCTTCTTTGGAGAAATATCCACTCAAGTCCTTTTTCCACTGTTTAAGGGATGGTTTGTGTTTTTGTTGTTAGTTTCCTAACTTTCTGACAGGAAAACATTAACCGAAAGTTGCTGTGTTACATAGGATACTTTCAAAAGCAACAACTAGAAGATGCAACTCAAAATGGCTTAAATGATGAAAGAATGTTAAATGTTTGAGTGATCAGGTATGGTTCTAGCACTGTCCACGTATTAATTCATTTAATTCTAACAAGAATACTACAGGGTAGGTACACAAATCAGAAATATGAGGCACAGAGAAGTCCAAAGTCACACAGCTGGTAAGTGGTAAAGTTGGAATTTGAACCTAGGAAGTCTGACTCCATAGTCTCATCTGTGAGTGACCAGGTAATAAGTCTACAGGGAGGCAGTACTGGCACTGATTGGTTTAGCACATCAACCTAATACGGAGTCTAGATTTGTCAATGTTCCTATTCTGTTACCCTAAGCATGTTGCCTTTGCCTCAGGGTCCTCCCCTCATGGTTGCAAAATGGCCGCAACAGCTCCAAGCATCACATTATCTCCCAGCAACATCCAAATGACAGAAACAGAAAGTCTCTTTGGTTTCTTCTTTTTTAAAAGTAAGGAAAACTCTTCTAGAAGTACCTCTAGCAGACTTCTCATTGATCAGAATTGTGGCACATGCCCCATCGTAAACCAATCACTAACAAGGGACACAGAACTACAATTTTGGACACAGACTAATCAAGGTTGACACCTTGAAACTTCAATGGGGTCCAGATTCTAAAAACTATCTGCTGCTCAGTTCCTGAACAGAAATCATTTTCTGTTAACAAAGAAGAAGGAGGTAATCACTGTTGAGTTGGTGACCAACAGCTGCTGCCACAAGCTGTCATTTACTTCTGTTAGCCTCAAGGTTAGTGATATCTTCTCTGTGGGCTGGTGACTTCTCACCCTTGATTTCTCCTAGGCCATGTGTCTGATATCTTCTAGGCCACAGATGCAACACGTACATGAAAACCTGAATCCCCACCACACATTTGTTTGCAAAACTCTGTTTGCCGTTTCTCTCTACTTCTGACAGCTACCCCTACAGATCACAGGGGCATGCATCTCTTTAGGGTGACCTTTGCATGTTTATGCTAATTGCAGATTAAATCTGTAAGCCCTAACACTCATAATCTCCTAGCTTCCCTCTGTAAAAAGTCCCCCTTAGTGATACTTAATTTCACATGCTTGCCAAATCTTAAATCCAAAAGCAGAAGTCGATTTACCTCTGTACTGAAATTAAAGCTATACAAAGTTTTTGGCTTTGGGGGCACACTTCACTGTTCTCAATGGCCCTTTGTAGGTCAGATTTAAGTTAAGAGTCTCCCTGACATTTCAAAATGTCATCAAATGATCCTGGCTAAAAAGAAATGAAGACGCTTTCTTCCACATTTATGCAAGTCACAGGAAATCTTTCTAAGTGGACAAAGTGAAATAATCTTGGGACAAACATTTTATTCCATGTTTATACAATGAATACACTGCACTGAGCATCAGTGAATTTTTCTGCACATGGCTCCTAATCCAATTTTAATGTATTTCTGGTCACAAAAACAAAAACAAACACACTTAACCTTCAAAAGGGAAGATGAATGACACTGACTTCAGGTTTTTCACAAATATCTGTAAATAGCAGAACAACACAATCTACGTGATGATCTTTCTGCTATTGCTGGATGAGTCAGGTTCTCCCTTCCCATTTACTCTGGAGCTTATGTGAGATGGCTGTGATTTAACCAGAGGAAGCTCAAGTCATAGGGCTTTGTGGTAGTGAGTTTTTCCTCAAAGAAAGGTAGTAAGTTTCCCATAATAGCAAGGATTCAAGCAGAGGGTAGACGACCTTTCAGGATTGTGCATAGTAGAGGTTGAACTTAGAGAACTTATTGAAGGTCTCTTATTGAAGGTCTCTTTCAAAAGGTCCTAAGATAAGTCAGGAAAACAATCCTTATACACCTGTGGTGTTTTACGAATCAGAAAACCCTTAGACACATGCTTTGTCTCATTTAAGTATCAAAACAACCCTATGAGGTAGGTGGGTTGATTATTCTTGTTTTACAGATGATGAAATTGAGGTTCCGGTAGAGGTTAAGCAACTTATCTAGGGTCACACATTTAGGAAGTGAGGTCCTAGGACCTCCAGGTCAGAGATATCTCCATCCTCAGGACAAGGCAGAGAGGAGGCAGGCCCATTCTGCATGGCTGGAGCATTGCTAGGCGGGTGGCTACACTGCTGGGCACAGAGAAGTGGCTGTGGCTGCTCCGGCCTTTCTCTTTCTCCTATACCCTAAGGCTGGTCATCAACAAAGCTCTCTGTCCTCAAGGACCCCTATGTATTCTTTCTCAGCTGCTGCAGGTTGGAGCTGACCTGCCTCCCAAAAGGCAAGTGTGTGAAGCCTGTGATTTACACTTGCTTGGTGTTTCAACCCATGCCCCGAATACACCCTTTTTAAAAGGACCACCGCAGAAACACCTCCAAAGCAGGGGGCTATCAGGCGGGTTCTCTCTCAGCCCACAGTTTTGGCAAGGGAGAAGGGGAACACTTCTGCTCAGTAGGGTCATTCCAGTCATTCCGTACAGGCTACTCCACCTAGTCTGAATTGTGTGAGAACACAAAAGAAAATGCCACTGCTTCGTGGGGAAAGAATGTTGGTGGAGGGGACAGGATGTTCCGTTGCAATCTCCTCATAGTCCCCAGGCTCTGACATAGATGGGAGCACAGAGTTGCTTGTGTGAGGGCCTGGGAGCTGAGCTTTCTTCCACGTAGTTCTCCCAATCACATTGTGCCCTTTTCTGGTAATTGAGTGGGAAACGAATCCACCCAAGAATCTGGGCTGTCCCACAAAAGGAAGGTAAATATCCCAAAGAAAAAAATTATTGCCAATTACAGAGACCATGTGTTCACAGGAATAAACAGGAATACAGCTGAGCGGAAAAATGGGCGTATCACCACACATTCCATCTGAGCAGGCAAGAGCCGGGCCAGAAACGAGTTTCGTATCTTTTTTCATTTGGGTCAGCCAGGAGGGGTATGTATGAAAGGGAATAAAGTATACACAGATAGCTTCAAAAATAATATCTCTAAGCTTTTAGAAAGCCAGCCAGTCTTGCTACTCCTAATGCAACAGGAAGTTGTTGCATTTGCATTGAATCCAGAAGATTTTTCTCTCTCTGCTTGACTGTATTTGACCATACAGGATGAGCCTTGGGCCTGCTGGCAGTATGTTTTCTAACTCTGAGGGCCTGAGGAAACTGATGTTTGGAGAGAGGTCAGTGGCTTGCCCAGGGTTACACAGCTTGGAAATGAGAGGTCAGGACTTTCCCTGTCAGGTGCATCCCACACACCTGGACAAGACCCAGGCATGAGAGGAGCCAGACACCCACTGCACACCAAGGTGATGCGCGGGTCCTGATTTCCTCACTATTTTCACCCCAAGGGCTTTCTCCCATTGGAGCTACACTGGGAGGTATCTGCTGTCTAAAAGGAGGGATGCTGGGGAATATGAAGAGAAACTCATGTTTTCTGTTTCCACACCAAAGGTTTGAGATGCAGGAGCTTAAAACCCTGACCCTTACAGTTCAGGTACTAAGTTGATGCCAGAAGCATTTGACTTGGAAGAGTAAATAAAGTTGGAAGAACTGGTTCTTCTCACTCCAGAGAGCGGGAGAGAACAGAGACTAGGGACCACGAGAGTTTGGCTGTTGGTAAATGTCACTGAGAAAAGGGACTGTGCCTCATTCCTGTCACAGACCTTTCATAGCAGCACCCAAGGGAGATGTGGGAATTGCTGAGATGATTCACTCCAGCCTCAGAAAGCCCTGGCTGATGGGGCTAAGGCAGATGAGGTCTTCGTGGACCAGTGATGGAGAGCATAGGAGAGCAAGGACATCTCGGAGGCACAACAGAGTGGGTGGTGATGGAAACCAGGTGGCCCCTGGGATCATGACTGTCACAAACCCTGGGAGTGATGGAGACAAATTATCATCTGGGCCATATGTAGTTGCAATTTTTATAGTTTAGAAATGATCAAATAGCAGCAATTTCATATTGTTTTGTGTAACATCATGGGAAAGCCTGAACTGCCTGCTATTTCATTTCTACCATGCAGTAGAATAAGAGTTTGAAGTGGAACCAAATTCAGTCTTAGTCAAAGACAATCAGGCTTCTCACCCATCTGCATAGAGGCTATGTGTAGCACTAACCACACTGAAATGCCTCGACACTACCTCGCCACCAAGCAGTTCTTCAGGTGCCTGATGGTTCAGATCTCCTTCCCCAGGAGGATCCTGGGATGTCTTCATAACATTCGACTCTAATTTGAACGGATTCTCCTCCACACCCTGCTGTTTAAGATTTACACATAGTTTCCAGTATTCAGATGGGACGTGCTTGGGAGCTGGGGAAAACTTGTTCTTTCCTCACAATTCAATCCAGTTTTCAGTCTTACCTATGTCACATGCCTGTGAGCACAGGATGAGAGGAATATAGGTAATTTCAGAAAACATGCAGGAGCCTACCATCATCACCTTTACTTTTTAAATGGGTTTGGTTTTGCTTCATGTTGGGAAGCTTGGTTCCTCCTGGCTGAGGAATGGTAGCCAGGAAACTGCTGGTCAAATCATCAGCCCTTTGTCCTCCTGGCATGACACAGGAGCCTGTAAAGGACAGAGGAAGTGACTGCTAGGCAGGTTAGAAGGCATTACTCCTCCAGCACAGCCATATCTAGACATAGCATGGTGACTTGTATGCCATGGTTCTCAAATTGTTGCTGAGGCTCTCTGAGGTGCCTCAGTGAACACATCAGAACACTGCAAGGTAGTTTAGACTTTTGAAGGAAACTCATTAACATCCGTCAGATACTGTGCAAAAACACTGGTTTTGATGGTTTTGCACAGTATCTGAGTTTCAGACAGTTGCTATGATAAAAAAGACGCATTGTGAAAAAAATCAACGTGAAATAGGAAATGAGAATGGCAGTATCCAATCTGAGTCCAAGGTCTGAGTAATTGTTCAGTGCCCAACAGGCACACACCTCACATTATTAAGAAATTGTGGCTGGGCACGGTGGCTCCTGCCTGTAATCCCAGCGCTTTCGGAGGCCGAGGTGGGCGGATCATGAGGTCAGGAGATTGAGACCATCCTGGCTAACACGGTGAAACCCCGTCTCCACTAAAAATACAAAAAAAAAAGAAAAAACAGCCAGGCATGGTGGCCGGCGCCTGTGATCCCAGCTACTCGGGAGGCTGACGCAGGACAATGGTGTGAACCCGGGAGGCGGAGATTGCAGTGAGCCGAGATTGGCCCACTGCACTCCGGCCTGGGCAACAGAGTGAGACTCCGTCTCAAAAAAAAAAAAAAAAAAAAAAAAAAATTGTGATCATTTGAAAATAAAGTAAATGTATTTTTACTTCAGTCTGTCTGTATTATTTTTTCCTGAAGTGGCCACTGTGTTTTCAGGACATAAATAATTGGTAAATTATTTGGGCCTGACTAATTCATAAACAAATTTTGGGGTATTTATTTTGACCTGTATGTGCCATGAAAAAATTATAGAGATACTAGGGGAGCTGTGAACTGGAAAAACTTGAGAATCTCTGTCTTAGTGAGAGGTGACAGCGTGCTGGCAGCCCTCGCTTGCTCGCGGTGCCTCCCCGGCCCCAGTGCTCATTCTGGCTGCACTTGAGGAGCCCTTCAGCCTGCCGCTGCACCATGGGAGCTCTTCTCTGGGCTGGCCGAGGCTGGAGGCGGCTCCCTCCGCTTGTGGGAGGTATGGAGGGGGAGGCACGGCGGGGGGATCCGGGGCTGCTCCCGGCGCTTGCGGGCCCGCTTGAGTTCCGGGTGGGTGTGGGCTTGGCAGGCCCGCACTCGGAGCAGCCAGCCAGACGGCCCTGCTGTACCCAGGCAGTGAGGTGCTTAGCACCCAGGCCAGCAGCTGTGAGGGTGCACCGGGTCCCCCAGCACGGCTGGCCCACTGGTGCTGCCCTCGATTTCTCGCCGGGCCTTAGCTGCCTCCCCGTGCGGTAGGGCTCCAGACGTGCAGCCCCCCATGCCTGAGGCTCCACACCCGTACCGCCGCCCGCCCTCCGCCGCTGTCCTCACAAAACCGCCCCCCCCAACCGCTCCCACCCACCCAATCCCTCCTGCCACCCCCCTCAGTCCCCGCCATCACCCCCCCTCCCCACCATGGGTTCCTGCCTGGCCTGAGCCTCCCCAGTGAGCACCGCCCCCTGTTCAAGGGCACCCGGTCCCATTGACCACTCAAGGGCTGAGGAGTGTGGGTGCATGGTGAGGGACTGGTGGGCAGCTCCACCTGCCTCCCGGTGTGAAATCCACTGGGTGAGGCCAGCTGGGCTCCTGAATCTAGTGGGGACTTGGAGAACCTTTGTGTCTAGCTAAGGGATTGTGAGTGCACCAATGAGCACTCTGTGTCTAGCTCAAGGTTTGTGAACACACCAGTCAGCACCCTTTGTCTAGCTCAGGGTTTGTGGATGCACCAACCGACACTCTGTATCTAGCTAATCTGGTGGGGACTTGGAGCATCTTTATGTCCAGCTAAGGGATTGTGACTGCACCAGTCCACACTCTGTGTCTAGCTCAAGGTTTGTAAATGCACCAAATCAGAGCTCTGTATCTAGCTAATCTGGTGGGGACTTGGAAAATCTTTATGTCTAGCTAAGGGATTGTGAATGCACCAGTCGGCACTCTGTATCTAGCTCAAGGTTTGTAAATGCACCAATCAGCACTCTGTGTCTAGCTCAGGGTTTGTAAATACACCAATCGACACTCTGTATCTAGCTAATCTAGTGGGGAGGTGGAGAACATTTGCGTCTAGCTCAGGGATTGTAAATGCACCAATCGGCACCCTGTCAAAACAGACCAATCAGCTCTCTGTAAAACAGACCAATTGGCTCTCTGTAAAACAGACCAATCGGCTCTCTCTAAAATGGACCAATCAGCAGGATGTGGGTGGGGTCAGATAACAGAATAAAAGCAGGCTGCCTGAGCCCACAGTGGCAACCTGCTCGGGTCCCCTTCCACTCTGTGGAAGCTTTGTTCTTTTGCTCTTTGCAATAAATCTTGCTACTGCTCACTCTTTGGGTCCACACTGCCTTTATGAGCTGTGACACTCACTGCAAAGGTCTGGAGCTTCACTCCTGAAGCCAGCGAGACCATGAACCCACTGGGAGGAACGAACAACTCCAGACGTGCTGCCTTAAGTGCTGTAACACTCACCGCGAAAGTCTGCAGCTTCACTCATCAGCCAGCGAGACCACAAACCCACCAGAAGGAAGAAACTCCAAACACATCCGCACACCAGAAGGGAAAATCTCCGGACATGCTGCCTTTAAGAACTGTAACACTCACCACAAGGGTCCACGGCTTCATTCTTGAAGTCAGTGAGACCAAGAACCCACCAATTCCGGACACATTTTGGTGACCACGAAGGGACTATCGCCAAGCGGTGAGACTGTCGCCTGTCACCAAGCAGTGAGTACCATCAGACCCCTTTCACTTGCTATTCTATCCTATTTTCCTTAGAATTCGGGGGTTAAATATCGGGCACCTGTCGGCCAGCTAAAAGCGACTAGTGTGGCCACCGGACTAAAGACACGGGTGTCAGGCTTTCTGGAAATGGGCTCTCTAACAACCCCCAGCTCTTCGGAGTTGGGAGCGTTGGTTTGCCTAGAACAAGCTTCTGCTTTTCCTGTACTTCTGGGCTCAGCCGAGGGTCAACAGAGAGGAAAGCCATTCAGCTCCGGGGTCCCGACAACACGTTGGTTGACCCTACGGCCATGAGTGGAACTCTCAAAGGCATGTCGCCCAAGCGAGACTCACCCATCTATCTTATCTATCCCTGACCCTTGCCCTCTGTGTCCAAATGCTTGCCACACAAACTTCCTCTTGACTCTCTTCTCTGAGGTTAGTCCTCCTTCTAAAAATTGTTACCTGTCTCTGGTGCTTTTCTAGTTTCTCCTATAAGAATGATTTCTAGTATAAAGTCCAGGACTCTGTTACTTTCTTCAGGCACCTGGGCTCACCAATCAGAAAGACATAACTTTTGCCCAAAGCCCTGTCGTAGTGGGGACTACCTGGAATTTTAGGATCCCTCCTCCGACTAATAGGCCTAACAAAAACTATTCCTGAAGCTAGGATATGGGGAGCCTCAGAAATTGTATCCTTCCTATTCATGTAAGTGAGGACAAAATGTGTCACTCTTCCACCCTGGAGATCCCCTCCCTCCCTCAGGGTATGGCCCTCCACTTCATTTTTGGGGCATAACATCTGTATAGGACAGGGGTAAAGTCCCAACACTAAAAGGTGAATGCTTAGGACTCTAACAGGTTTTTAAGAATGTGTCGGTAAGGGCCACTAAATCCGATTTTTCTCAGTCTGTCCTCTTTGTGGTCTAGGAGGACAGGCAAGGGTGCAGGTTTTTGAGAATGCATCGGTAAGGACCGACCTTCCTCAGTCCTCCATGTGGTCTGGAAGGAAAGCTAGTGTTTCCGCTGCAGCGTCGGTGAGCACAACTATTCTGACCAGCAGGGTCCAGGGACCATTGTGGGTTCCTGGGCAGGGGTTGTTTCTGCTGATGCGTTGGTGAGTGCAACTATTCTGATCAGCAGGGTCCAGGGACCGTTGCGGGTTCTAGGGCAGGGGGAGAAACAAAACAAACCAAAACCGCAGGCGGTTTTGTCTTTCAGATGGGAAACACTCAGGCATCAACAGGCTCACCCTTGAAATGCATGCTAAACCATTGGGACCAATTTAACCCACAAACCCTGAAAAAGAGGTGGCTCATTTTTTTTCTGCACTACGGCTTGGTCCCAATATTCCCTCTTTGATGGGGAAAAATGGCCACGTGAGGGAAGTAGAAATTACAATACTATCCTGCATCCTGACCTTTTCTGTAAGAGGGAAGGCAAATGGAGTGAAATACCTTATGTCCAAGCTTTCTTTTCATTGAGGGAGAATACACAACTATGCAAAGCTTACAATTTACATCCCACAGGAGGACCTCTCAGCTTACCCCCATATCCTAGCCTCCCTATAGCTCCCCTTCCTATGAATGATAATCCTCCTCTAATCTCCCCTGCCCAGAAGGAAATAAGCAAAGAAATCTCCAGAGGACCACAACCCGCCCCCCAGGCAATCGGTTATGTCCCCTTCAAGCTGTAGGGGGCAGAGAACTTGGCCCAACCCAGGTGCATGTCCCCTTCTCCCTCTCTGATTTAAAGCAGATCAAGGCAGACCTGGGGAAGTTTTCAGATGATCCTGATAGGTACGTAGATGTCCTACAGGGTCTAGGGCAAACCTTTGACCTCGCTTGGAGAGATGTCATGCTACTCTTAGATCAAACCCTGGTCTTTAATGAAAAGAATGTGGCTTTAGCTGCAGCCTGAGAGTTTGGAGATACCTGGTATCTTAGTCAGTAAATGATAGAATGACAGCTGAAGAAAGGCACAAATTCCCTACTGGTCAGCAAGCCATCCCCAGTATGGATCCCCACTGGGACCTTGACTCAGATCATGGGGACTGGAGTTGTAAACATCTGTTGACCTGTGTTCTAGAGGGACTACGGAGGATTAGAAAAAAGCCCATGAATTATTCAGTGATGTCCACCATAACACAGGGAAAGGAATAAAATCCTTCTGCCTTCCTCGAGCAGCTACGAGAGGTCTTAAGAATATATACTCCCCTCTCGCCTGAATCCCTCGAGGGTCAATTGATTCTAAAAGATAAATTTATTACCCAATCAGCCACAGCTATCAGGAGAAAGCTCCAAAAGCAAGCCCTGGGCCCTGAACAAAATCTAGAGGCATTATTAAACCTGGCAAACCTCGTCGTTCTATAATAGGGACCAAGAGGAACAGGCCCAAAAGGAAAAGCGAGGTCAGAGAAAGGCTGCAGCCTTAGTCCTGGCCCTGAGATAAACAAACCTTGGTGATTCAGAGAGGACAGAAAATGGAGCAGTCCAATCACCTGGTAGGGCTTGTTATCAGTGTGGCTTACTAGGACACGTTAAAAAAGATTGTCCAATGAGAAACAAGCTGCCCCCTCGTCCATGTCCACTACACTGAGACAATCACTGGAAGGTGCACTGCCCCAGAGGATGAAGTTTTCCTGGGTCAGAAGCCCCCAACCAGATAATCCAACAACAGGACTGAGGGTGCCCCGGGCAAGCACCAGCTCATGCCATCACCCACACTGAGCCCCGGGTATGTTTAACTATTGAGGGCCCGGAAATTGACTTCATCCTGGACACTGGTGCGGCATTCTCAGTGTTAATCTCTGGTCCTGGACGACTGTCCTCAAGGTCCGTTACCATCTGAGGAATCCTGGGACAACCTGTTACCAGGTATTTCTCCCACCTCCTGAGTTGTAATTGGGAGACTTTGGTCTTTTCACATCCCTTTCTTGTTATGCCTGAAAGTCCCACACCCTTATTAGGGAGGGGTATATTAGCCAAGGCTGGAGCTATTATCTACATGAATATGGGGAAGAACTTACCCATTTGTTGTCCCCTACTTGAGGAGGGAATCAACCCTGAAGTCTGGGCATTGGAAGGACAATTTGGAAGGGCAAAAAATGCCCACCCAGTCCAAATCAGTTTAAAAGATCCCACCACTTTTCCTTATCAAAGACTATCCCTTAAGGCCTGAAGCTAATAAAGGGCTACAGAATATTGTTAAACATTTGAAAGCTCAAGGCTCAGTAAGGAAATGCAGCCATCCCTGCAACACCCCAATCCTAGGAGTAGGAAAAGCAAACGGTCAGTGGAGACTAGTGCAAGATCTTAGACTCATCAATGAGGCAGTAATTCCTCTATATCCAGTTGTACCCAACCCCGATACCCTGCTCTCAAATACCAGAGGAAGCAAAATGGTTCATGCTTCTGGACCTCAAGGATGCCTTCTTCTGTATTCCCCTGCACTCTGACTCCCAGTTCCTCTTTGCCTTTGAGGATCCCACAAACCACATGTCCCAACTTAACATGGACGGTCTTGCCCCAAGGGTTTAGGGATAGCCCTCACCTGTTTGATCAGGCACTGGCCCAAGATCTTGGCCACTTCTCAAGTCCAGGCACTCTGGTCCTTTGGTATGTGGATGATTTATTTTGGCTACCAGTTTGGAAGCCTCATGCCAGCAGGCTACTCTAGATCTCTTGAACTTTCTAGCTAATCAAGGGTACAAGGTGTCTAGGTCGAAGGCCCAGCTTTGCCTAGAGCAGGTCAAATATCTAGGCCTAATCTTAGCCAGAGGGACCAGGGCCCTCAGCAAGGAATGAATACAGCCTCTACTGGCTTATCCCCACCCTAAAACATTAAAACAGTTGCGGGGTTCCTTGGAATTACTGGCTTTTGCCGACTGTGGATCCCCAGATGCAACAAGATAGCCAGGCCCCTCTATACTCTAATCAAGGAAACCCAGAAGGCAAATACTCATCTAGTAGAATGGGAACCAGAGGCAGAAACAGCCTTCAAAACCTTAAAGCAGGCCCTAGTAGAAGCTCCAGCTTTAAGCCTTCCCACAGGACAAAACTTCTCTTTATACTTCACAAAGAGAGCTAGGATAGCTCTTGGAGTCATTACTCAGACTCGTGGGACAACCCCACAACCAGGGGCATACCTAGGTAAGGAAATTGATGTAGTAGCAAAAGGCTGCCCTCACTGTTTAAGGGTAGCTGCAGCAGTGGCCGTCTTAGTGTCAGAGGCTATCAAAATAATACAAGGAAAGGATCTCACTGTCTGGACTACTCATGATGTAAATGGCATACTAGGTGCCAAAGGAAGTTTGTGGCTATCAGACAACCACCTACTTAGATACCAGGTGCTACTCCTTGAGGGACTGGCGCTTCAAATACTCATGTGCATGGCCCTCAACCCTGCCACTTTTCTCCCAGAGGATGGGGAACCAATCGAGCATGACTGCCAACAAATTATAGTCCAGACTTTTGCCGCCTGAGATGATCTCTTAGAAGTCCCTTTAACTAATCCTGACCTTAACCTATATACCGACGGAAGTTCATTTATGGAGAATGGGATACGAAGGGCAGGTTATGCCATAGTTAGTGATGTATCCATACTTGAAAGTAAGCCTCTTCCCCCAGGGACCAGTGCCCAGTTAGCAGCACTAGTGGCACTTACCCGAGCCTTAGAACTGGGAAAGGGAAAAAGAATAAATGTGTATACAGATAGCAAATATGCTTATCTAATCCTACATGCCCATGCTGCAATATGGAAAGAGAGGGAGTTCCTAACCTCTGGGGGAACCCCTGTTAAATGCCACAAGGAAATTATAGAATTATTGCATGCAATGCAAAAACACAAGTAGGTGGCACTCTTACACTGCCAAAGCCATCAAAATGGGAAGAAGAGGGGAGAACAGCAGCATGAGTGACTGGCAGAGGTAGGGAAAGACCAGCAAGAAGGAGAGAAAAAGAAAGTCAGAGAAAGAGAGAGAGAGAGGAAGGAACAGAGGGACAAAGAGAAGGAGTCAGAGAGAAAGAGGGACAGACACAGAAAGTCAAAGAGAGAGTTAAAAAGAGAGGAAGAGACAAAGAAGGAGTTGAAGAGAGAAAGAGAGAGAAAGAAATAGTAAAGAAAAAAAAACAGTGTACACTATTCCTTTAAAAGCCAGGGTTAAGTTCTGTCTACCCAGACAAGGCAGATTCTTCTTATGTGGAACAACGACCTGTATCTGCCTCCCCACTAACTTGACAGGCACCTGCACCTTAGTCTAAGTCCCAACATTATCATTGCCCCAGGAAATCAGACCTTATCAGTACCCCTCAAAGCTCAAGTCTGTCAGTGCAGAGCCATACAACTAATACCCCTCCTTAAAGGGTTAGGAATGGCTATGGCTACAGGAACCAGAATATGTGGTTTATCTACTTCATTATCCTACTACCACACACTCTCCAAGGATATCTCAGACAGTTTGCAAGAAATAGCGAAATCTGTTCTTACTTTATAATCCCAAATAGACTCTTTGGCAGCAGTGACTCTCCAAAACTGCCAGGGGGGATTGAGAGGTGACAGCATGCTGACAGCCCTGGCTCACTCTCGGTGCCTCCTCAGCCTCAGCGCCCATTCTGGCCATGCTTGAGGAGCCCTTCAGCCTTCCACTGCACCATGGGAGCCCTTGTGTGGGCTGGCCGAGGCCGGAGCCAGCTCCCTCAGCTTGCGGGGAGGTGTGGAGGGAGAGGCAGGGGTGGGAGCCAGGGCTGCGTGCAGTGCTTGTGGGCCAGCTAGAGTTCTGGGTGGGTGTGGGCTTGCTGATCCCTGCACTTGCAGTGGCCGGCCAGCCCTGCCAGCCCCAGGCAGTGAGGGACTTAGTACCCAGGCCAGCAGCTGCAGAGGGTGTGCCGGGTCCCCCAGCAGTGCTGACCCACCAGCGCTGTGCTGGATTTCTCACCCGGCCTTAGCTGCCTCCCCACGGGGCAGGGCTTGGGACCTGCAGCCCACCATGCCTGAGTCTCCCCCAACCGCCATGGGCTCCTGCATGGCCTGAGCCTCCTGGACGAGCGCCACCCCCTACTCCATGGTGCCTGGTCCCATCGGCCGCCCAAGGGCTGAGGAGTGCAGGCGCACGGTGAGTGACTGGCGGGCAGCTCCACCTGTGGCCCTGGTATAAGATCCACTGGGTGAGGCCAGCTGGGCTCCTGAGTCTAGTGGGGACTTGGAGAACCTCTGTGTCTAGCTAAGGGATTGTGAGTGCACCAATCAGCACGCTGTGTCTAGCTCAAGGTTTGTGAACACACCAATCAGCGCCCTGTGTCTAGCTCAGGGTTTGTGGATGCACCAACCGGCACTCTGTATCTAGCTAATCTGGTGGGGACTTGGAGAGTCTTTATGTCTAGCTAAGGGATTGTGAATACACCAATCAGCACTCTGTATCTAGCTCAAGGTTTGTGAACACACCAATCAGCACCCTCTGTCTAGCTCAGGATTTGTGGATGTACCAACCGGCACTCTGTATCTGGCTAATCTGGTGGGGACTTGGAGAATCTTTATGTCTAGCTAAGGGATTGTGAATACACCAATCAGCACTCTGTATCTAGCTCAAGGTTTGTAAACACACCAATCAGCACACTGTGTCTAGCTCAGGGTTAGTGGATGCACCAATTGGCACTCTGTATCTAGCTAATCTAGTGGGGACTTGGAGAACCTTTATGTCAAGCTAAGGGATTGTGAATGCACCAGTCAGCACTCTGTGTCTAGCTAAAGGTTTGTAAGTGTAGCAATCAGAGCTCTGTGTCTAGCTAATCTGGTGGGGACTTGGGGAATCTTTATGTCTAGCTAAGGGATTGTGAATGCACCAGTTGGCTCCCTGTATCTAGCTCAAGGTTTGTAAATGCACCAATCAGCACTCTGTGTCTAGCTCAGGATTTGTAAATACACCAATCGACACTCTCTATGTAGCTAATCTAGTGGGGATGTGGAGAACCTCTTTGTCTAGCTCAGGGATTGTAAATGCACCAGTCAGCACCCTGTCAAAACAGACCATTCAGCGCTCTGTAAAACAGACCAATCGGCTCTCTCTAAAATGGACCAATCAGCAGGATGTGGGTGGGGCCAGATAAGAGAATAATAACCATGGAAATATCTTGAAAACTGTTGTGCAGATGTAGGTAGTCATTCTTGTTGACACATTGATGAAGATGCTAATAACTCATGAGACCATCTTAAAAGGGGCTGGTTGGTAGGAAGGAAAGCCTGAATTAGTGCAAGGTCTGAATAATCGGGTTTCTTCTTACTTTTTTAAAAAAATCAAACTTAATTGTTCACAGCAGTTTAGAAATACATTTCAAGGGCTGCCACTTAGAGGCGAATTTTAACAAAGAAAGGCCAGGCACAGGGGATCGTGCCAGTAATCCCAGTACTATGGGTGACTGTGATGGAAAGATAACTTGAGGCTAGAAGTTTGAGCCAGGGCAACACAGTGAGCCCCTGTCTCTACAAAAAATAAAAATTAAAAAATTGCCAGATATGGTGGCATGTACCTGTAGTCCTGACTATCTGAGAGGCTGAGATGAGAGGATTGCTGGAGCCTGAGATTTGGAGGCTGCAGTGAGATTTGATCATGTCACTGCACTCCAGCCTGGATGACAGAGCAAGACCCTCTCTAAAAAAAAGAAAGAGAGAGAGAGAGCCAAAATTTCAGTCCCAGTAGCTCACTTACTTAGGTGGTTTGAGTATCATTAAATTCATCAGGGTCACCAAACAGTTAATTAAGTAGATAAAGAGTCCTCCATTTTATTGATACCTTTTGTTTATTAAAAATTTCCTTTTTCTTTTTCAACATTACTGTTAAGCTCTATTCCTTCCCCTGGGTGAGTTCTTGCAATATTAAATTGGTAGGATCTGAATTCATACCTGTTTTGGATAAATCTATCAAATTTAAGAAGGAACCTAGGAAAGAACAACTTGAGAGGTGGCCGTAGAGCAGACAGGAGCCCTGTATGACATTGATCATTTGGAGGCCACCTGGCCTCCACTTCTCTCTGTGACTGCCTCCTCTTGAGGGATTTTCCATTGTGTGGGGCTTTGGGAGGTGAGAACACAGCTGGGGAAGAAGACTCTACCACTTGGGCTCAACTTTCCCTGAAGACTCTGAATCCTGTAAACACGGGGCAAGCAGTGGCCTTGGTACATCTCGGACTGAGGAGAAGCTCAGATCAGGTAGTTCCTATGACAAGGCCCCTCTTCAGGAGCTCCCTGATTCTGGGACACCCCTGGCCTAAAATCAAGTTAGTAAGCCCCAGATATCCTCCAATTACCCTTCTTTTCATTCAGGAGAGCCAAAAATCGGCTTTTATTTGTAAGTAGATAACATGGCTAATAAGGTGTCCTTTTCCAAACAATTTTTCACCTACAAACAATTTTTGTGTGTGTGTGCTAATCTGTAATGTTGCTGAGTGAATTGTTTAACAAGAAGCACATCAGAGTGATTTTAGCAACAAGAGCACTCATTCCTGTCTCGGTCTAGAACTCCTGAGATTTAAGATGGATCTGAAAAATTCTGTGTTCTCTTAAAGTGTAGTCATGTTTTCATAATCGGTGTGTTGTGCCTTTTTCATATTCTTTGTCGGCATGCAGCTGTTCAAATTTAAAGGAAAGTTTCTGTCCCAAAAGCGTAATTCCTCGACAGAAAGTTGTTTGTTGGTTTTTGTTTGTTTGTTTGTAAGTCATAATCATGTTTTTGAGAATGTTTATTTCACTTTACCGTAGCATCATACAATTCAACCTCATGGGCATTCTTTATTCTGACACTTATAACTCTGAGTAAGAACACCATCTCTCTTGGGAGAAAAAGCAAAAGAGAATGTTTCTTTAATAAATATGCTTAATGTTCAATTAAAGTGTGTCTGTGGTGGAGAAGAGGGACAATAGATTTTTTCTTGAAATTTGTAAGAGGCTAAATTATTCAACACAGACAGTCTACCTTGAATAAACTTTATCATCTAAAAACATTAAGAATTTGGGCCTCTGGGCCTCTCAAAAAAAAAAAAAAAAAAAGAAGAAGAATTTGGACCTCTGGATGCTGACATTCTTAACCTTGGATACAAACCCAAGGGAAGTGATTGCAACACCAATTGTTATAATTTGGCTGTAATATTCAGTCTGAAGAGACTAATTGTGAATGCAACTCTGCCTTTTTGTGTGTAAAATTATTTAGCTTACTATCATAATTTTCGATTCAGTTCTCTTTGCTAACCACCCAGTTTAATCCATTCTCTCAAGTGATTTTCTTCTCTCTGCACCATATTGGTTGAGGCTGCCTCATCTCCTGCTCATAGTAACATGGCACATTTTTATCTGATTCTGTCACTCTCTTCTCACTCCAATTCGTCTTCTCCAGTCCATTTTCAATAGCTACAGAGACCTGTTAAAACACAAATCTGGTCACTTTATCTTCTGCCAAAGATTAATGTGCTCCCATTGTTCTTAGGATGAAAACGAAAGTCATTAATTAATATGCTAAGGCCAGCATTATCACTTTATTTTTAACATTAAACAAAACCTAAAAGGTTTGTCATATAATTGATATCTACCATATCCTATAGTCAATTATTTCAAACAAATTAACCAGAGATGGATTTTGAAACTTGAAATCTGCCACAGCTTCATCTTTCCATAACTCTATCAGTAAATAATTGGTCAAATTTCATGCTTTTGGTGGAGAAAAACTGCAAAGCCACAGAAACATCTAGTTTTGCCCAAAAACTAAGCAAAAACATGTAATTTGCCAAAAATTTGAGCCAAGAAACCATGGAGAAAACAGCCAAGCCCATCCATCAGGAAAGGCTTGGTTAGTGCCCATATCCGGACTGGAATATACAATCCCAAGAGTTGAAAAATGTGTGGGCAAAATGTAAGTTTGAGCAATAGTCACTTTCGTTTTCTTTTTTTTTTTATTTAAAGAGGTATGTGCTTGTCAGTGGGAATAAAAATAAAATGACATGCTTTTGGGATAAAATTGCTACGGCTGCAGTATCTTCCTTAGTGGGTAATTGGCCATGCATCATAAAGAATGCGGTACCAGAAGGAGATCTTTAATACCACATCTTTAGTATCACGGCCCTATTAACCTTGACTTCAGATGGATTGGCCATGGGGTTCACTTACTCCAGAGACCCAGCCTACAGAAAAAGACTTATGCAAAACTAGGTTTATTTTTTATTACTCTAGAGGGAAGGGCTGTGTCGAATGTATAAAGATCCACTGCTTTCTCTAGGTAGAGGTTCAGAATTGCAAAATGGTGTGGTTGGAGTTGCAAGATCATTGATCTGTGCTAGGATGTAAAATTCAGAGAGAGCTGAATCAAAAATTAAGATGATAAGCTAAAATTATTTAGCTACAATTATTTAAAATTATTATATATTAGGGACTTCCCATAAGCCACACTGTGCTGTTTTATCTCATTAAATTTTCACAATGTAGCCACAGTTTTCCCCCATTTTACAGGTGACAAGATACAGTCCCAAAGAGAGAAGAGACATCTCTGTCCTCCCCATGCTCAGCATCCTTCGCCCTTTTTCTGGTGCCAGCATCCTGGCTTTCTTTGAGGGACGTGCTTCCTTCCCCTGTGTTGGTAGACAGATGCCTGGAAGCTACCACTCACGGTATCCTGCTCTCCCCTGGCCAGCCGTACCCTCTTCCCAAAGAACCCAATCATGATTAAATAACAGGCAGGGATAAAAGGTTTGAGAAAGATCCATCTCTCCCACAAAGTACCTTCTGCCACCATCCCCCTTCTTCCCTTTCTGTCTTCTGGTTCTTCAGTTTATCTTCCTTTTGGCTTAGGTTTCCCAGAGTGGATTTCTGTTGCTTGCAGTGAGCTAACTGTGGCTGAAATAAGAGGGTTAGTAGCTTTTCTGCACACACACATTCCAACTGCTACTTTCCTCACCCTTTCTGCCTCATCTCCCTGCTGCCTGTGGTAGTGATTGCTGGGCACTGGGTGCTTGATGCATGTGCATCCTGACCCTCCTTCCCACACTAGGATAGCGGAGGAGGTGGTATGCTTTGGTCTCTGGGAAGAAGCAACCCCAACCCAACACTTTGGGTTGCTGTTTCTCTGTACTGCTGGACTGCACAAAAGCCGAGCTTCCGTCTCAGTGTGGTTTGAAGGTGGCCAAATGGCCATTAACTGGGTGCTGCGTCCAGCAGTATCACTCAATTCCACATGTAGAAAAAGTTAGCCAAGGGATAAGAGCTAAAACACCTACAGAATGGGACGAAGATATGTCAAAATACCCTCTGTGGCTCTGGCACAGGCAGGACAGTAGCATCATCAGGCTGCTGGGCCCACCAGTATGCAATAATTCCCTCTTTATTCAGTGTCGTAGCAGAAGTGTAACATCCTCTGTGTGCAAATCGTCAAAATTTTTCTTTGTGGGCACGGTTCAGATAAAAACAGGAGAGTCACATGACCTAAATGCTGTGCTCAGCAATATGTCACAATTCCACCATTTGAAAGGCCCAGGCAGGGAAAGAGAGTCATGTCAGTTAGGTTATGGCCTCAGAGATATGTCCCAGTGTCCCCATTAGGCAGGACTCAGGCAGAAAAGGAGAGTCTTATCACCTAGGTTCTTCTTTAGGTATACGTCACAGTATAAGACATAGACAGAAACCAAGCAGAAGAACCACATCACCCGGGTGTTGGGTCCTGAGATATGTTGCAAGGCTCCCTTAGGATAGAATCAAGGTGAAAGAGTTACATCACCTTGGTGTAGGTTCAACTTTTATGTCACAGTGCCTTACGTGGGTGAGGCCCAAGCTTTGAGTCACATCACCTCGGTAA
The DNA here is from genome assembly GCF_000001405.40 of Homo sapiens. Lineage (NCBI taxonomy): Eukaryota > Metazoa > Chordata > Mammalia > Primates > Hominidae > Homo > Homo sapiens. Next base: position 24,963,749 of record NC_000024.10, read on the forward strand.
TATGCCCAAAGATATGTCACAATGCCCTGTTTAAAACACAGCCCTGGCAAAAGAGTACCGTCACTTGTGTGCCTGGGCCTAGCAATATGTTACTACCACCTGCTGTGTTCAGGGTCCTTTCCAGAGAGGAGAGTTACATTTCCTAAGTGGTGGACACAGTGATATGTTACAATGATGTCTGCGGAAATGGCGCAGGCAAGAATGTAACATCATCTGGGTGTTAGATCTGGTAATATTTCACAATCCTTAGAGAATGGCAAAGGCAGGATGGTCACATCCTCTAGAAGCTGTAACATCACCTGGGTTTTACATCCAGTGATATGTCACAATCCTGAGAGGACATCCAAGGGAGGAGAGTCATATCATCTAGAAGTTGGCCCAGGTAGAGATCACAATCCCTTATGTGGGCTGAAACCAATCTAGAGGGTCAAATCACACAGATGCTTGCAAATATTTGTATCACATTCACACTGGTAGAACATACCAGAGATGAGATTTATAATACCACACATGTCCTGTTTTCATGAGTGACAATGTGAGATCTGACAGTCCTTACTTTAAGGTGGGTGTGCATGTGAAACTTACAATTTCATCCTTCTGGGTTTTGTTAAGACACTCTCTGTACAAGTCATGGGCTTTATAAAATATCTGAGGCTGTTATAATCTTCTGTGGCCTTTTTACCAGAAAGAGATCCAAGACATCACTCGTGTTTCTAGAGCAAGTTACAAAAGTCAAATTAACTCCTGTTTCTGGGGTCCGCATATCAGAGTCATTATGATGCCTGTGAGCTGTGCCAAGGCATATGTCAAAATTTACTCTGTGGTAATGAAACAGGCATGACAGCCATATAACCTAAATGCCGAGGCAGAAATATTCCAATATTCTCTTTTCAGGCAAGTTCCTGGCAGAAATGTCACATAACTTTGGGGCTACGCCTAACTCTGTGGCACAATGGCCCTTGTAGGCAGTTTCCAGGCAGAAGAGGAGAGTCATATCACCTAAATAATAGGCCCAGAGATATGTCACAATGCCTCCTGTTGAAAGTGGCAGGAACGTATTAACGTATTATTTCTGATTATATCCATCTGAACTGGAGTAATCTGGTATCTTATTGTGGCTTTAATTTGCATTTTTCTAATAATTAATAGTGTTGACCATCTTTGCAGGTACTTGGCCATTTGTATGTCTTCCTTGGAGAAATTTCACTTAAGGTCTCTCATGTATTACTAAATTCTGGTTATTTTTGCTTTTGTGTTTGTTATATATTTTGTGTGATTATCCCTTGTCGTATGTATATTTTGCAAATATATCCTCCCACACTGTAAGTTGTCTCTACTCTATTAATTTATTTTTGCTATGTGATATTTTTTAGATTCTGTTAAATTCACTTGCCTGCTTTTGCTTTTGTTGCCTATGCTTTTGAGTTCTTATTTACATTTTCTTCCTGTCCTATTTTGTAAATCATTTCCCTATGTTTTATTCAAATAGTTTTTAAGATTGAGTTGTACCTTTAAGTCTTCTAATTATATATAATTAAGTTGTTTTAATATGGTAGGTAACCAGTTGACATCTAGTTATATTCATTTAAATAATCAATTTTCCTAGCACCATTCATTGAAAAGATTGTCGTTTCTTAAGTGCATATTCCAAACAGCTTAAAAATTACTTGGCCCTAGGTTTCTGAATTTACTATTGGGATCGCTGCATACTTTGGTCTATGTGTCTGTTTTCTATGCCAGTGTCATGCTCTTTTGCTTGTTGTAGCTTTGTAGGATATTTTAAAGTCAGGTGCTTTGATGCTTTCAGGTTGTTCTTTTTTCATAGGATTACTTTGGCTATTTGGAGAGGTTTTCTTTTGTTTTCTATGAATTTTTGGCCTGTTTTTTCCATTTCTGTGAAAAAAATGTCATTTGGTATTTTATAGAGTTTGCATTGAATCTGTAGATGCCCTTGAGTGGCAAAGCCATTTTAACAATATGTTTTATAACTAATGAGCAAAAATATCTCTCAAACTTTTCATGTCTTACTTTCTTTATAAGTGTTTTATGATTTACAGTGTAGACAGTGTTTATTTCTTAATTAGTTTTACTGCTAGGCACCTTTATTTTTTATTCTAGATGCAAAAAAAGTATTTGGAAAAATCTAACATGCCTTTGTGATTAAAACAACAGAAGAAATTAGGTATAGATGGTATCTACCTGAATACAATTAAGGCAAAATATGAAATTCATTAGCTGATATCACACTGAACAGGAAAATAGGAAAGTTTTTCTTTTGAGATCTGGAACAAGACAATGATGTCTACTTTTACCACTTTCATTCAACAGAGTACTGGAATTCTCAGCCTGATCATTTTGCAAGAGAAAGAAATAAAAGACATCCAAATGAAAAAGGAGAAATTCAGATTGTCTCTGATCACAGATCATACAATTTTTTATATAGCAGAACTAAATAGTACACTAAAAATCTTGAGAATTAATAAAGAAATTCAGTAAAGTGGCGTTATATCAAATTCACATACAAAATTAGGAGCATGTTTACATGCCAAGAATGAGCCATCTGAAAGAAAAGTTCAAGAAAAAAATTATTTACAACAGCTATAAAAATAAGTCCTGTTTCATTTTAAGTTCATCCTTGTGGTAAGGTTCAAAAATTGTTTTTTTGTTTGAGTATTCAGTATTCTCTACCTCATTTGTTAAATAAACTGTTCTTTTTTCATGTAAAGTGATAGAGACCAGAGATAGCCAAGGGACCTTTTCTCATTTTGAGTAATAGAGACAGGAGACAGTCAAGAGTCCTGGCCAAAACTCCACTTTTAAGCCTAAAACAGCCTAAAGGCTGATAAATTGAACTGCTGATTTCAGATAAAATCGGCCCTTTCCTGACTGTTTCTCTCTGAGTAATGCCCACACGCGCACTGGGAAAAGGAGGTGGAGCCATGGAAATGTCAAGGAAGGGGACACAAGCAAAGAAAAAAATGGATGCATGAGAGGCCAGTAATTCAATCAGGAAATTGGCAGATTTAAAATCTTATAGGTACTGGGTTTTTCTTCTGCCTGTATGTGTGTAAAAGAGCTCCAATAAATTTACTGAAAAAATGATAAGCACTTGGATCAAATATTTTTGAAGGAAAGATGAAAGATGTGTATGTTTTAGTTCACATGACTTTAATGCTTGAGAAATAAAAACAGCCTTAAGATTATCAGTAAAACACAAATGTCATCAATATGTGAGTAGGTGGACTAAATTATGCAGGTCAGATACTAGGTTTGCTGAATGTTTTAAGGTTATAACTGCTTTTTTGGTTTTTGAAAACAGTTCAACTTTGCTTCACAATTGGTCAAGCCTGAGGAAAAATGGAACTAAACACACCCTTAATTATGGCTGCTCCTAGCACATAATTAGGACAATTTACCTGGCTTTACATTAAAGTTAAAATTGCTAAAATTTACCGTGATAATATGTAATTGAAACCACTGGAAGTACATTTCCAGACAAGGTGTGTAAGGACGGTAAAATGTGTTTTTAATACAACATTATAAGAAGGCATGCAAATATAAATTCTTGCCTAGGATCAAACAACCGTTTTGAATTACAGATGATAAAGCTGAAAGTTCAAACAAGTTATGGAAGAATTGTAAAAATAAATCTTTCCAAGAAATTCTGTGTGTGAATATCAATTAAATTCAAGAGGATATTATATGTTTTTTTGTTTTTGTTTTTTGTTTTTTTGTAAATTGAGCATTGAAATGAAAGCACAAAAAGTACTCTTAAGGCACTAATCTGCTCTGAAGGAAAATTTTTAAATAATGTAAAAGTTTCTGCTTTTTTATTTATAGGTCATTATTTTCGTTAAATAAATAATTTATGGTAATCTGGAATTTTATTTTATAACATCAAGCATTTCAAACTCCTAACATGTAATATCCTTCTCAAAATCAAACTTTGATTACAAAATGGTCTTTCCTAATTCCTGGTTTTTGAATGCTAAAGAGGGTGCCTGGAGTATCCACGAGAGCTTTATACAGGATCATACAACGTGTTTAGTTACAAGGAATCCCAAAAATGGTTTTCAATATTCTTTAGATGGCATTTTCATGAATAATACTAATACATGTTCCTAAATTGTATGGAATTTCTAAAATTCTAATGTCTGACATATATGCTGTCAACCACAATTAATGCTGTTATGTTAAGTTATTGCAAACCATAGACATAACCAAAATTTTTGTCAATCATCTTTCTGACTGTAACTACTCTGGATGTTTTGTTAAACACAGACAATTGTCATCTGGTTTTGACATTTTTCCAAAAATGTTTTTTAATCAGCTATAGAACTTTGACTGGTGCTCACAAATGCAGGCTTCTGAAAACTTTGGAGCTGTGACAGGAATACAGGAAAAACCTACCAGGACCCATGAAGAGCTAAAATGTTTATGAATATTAAACAAAACAAGAGTTAACTGAATGGACTGGACTGATAGAAACATGAAGTAATCTTTCCTATTTTTGCTTGTAACATTACTGACTCATGTATTGTTTACCATAGTCAAGGAAACTTATTTTGAGCTGTTTACAGCCTTTAATATTTGAGTAAGGTGTACTCCTGTGAAGAAAATTTGAATCATGTTTATCTCTCTCTTCCTGGCTTCTTCAGAATTTGAAAAATAGTTATGAGTGTTCTTAACTTATGGCAATATAGCTGTTTGAATCAGTGTAATAATAGTCTATTTTATTTGCAACAGGACACAGTTAGAGAAACTGGTTGTTTTATCAAGGCCTTGATTGAAAAGTTCTGCTTCCCTTTAAGCAGTCAAGCTCAACTTGCAGAGCCAATAATAGCCCCTTGGATAAACTGGCCTTATACCTTATCTACAGAGTCCTTGTGCAGGGTTCCAGATCTGTGGTAAGTAAAGAATGACACTTTGGACAGGCCCAGGGGCTCCAAGTTTATTTTGGGACCATAAGAGAAGAGGATAACCCAACTCATAACTAACTGATGGTACAAAACCATGGCTGGGTTTGACTTCAGAAAGTCCTCTCTGAAATTTCTTGTGGAAGAGTTCTATTAAAGCCAATGTAAAATAACTATGTAGGAATAATTTTTCTTGCTGTGCTTTATGTAAATAATGAATCCAAGCATACGACTAAAGCTGATTTCACAAAGAACTCAGTTCTATCATTATTTGTTTCTAACAACAACAACAAAAGAACTGAATGGAAAAGATTATTTGTCAAAACTAATTATATGGTTGTCATTAAATCCTAAACTCATTAGATTTGCATTTTTCCTACATTTTAGAACAAACCGGCTTATTCTTGTAAGCCAATTAGTGATATTCAACTGCAGCTCAGAAGAAATGAAAAGAAACTGGTAAAAATCTGGATTAATATTCTAGTTCTGGGCAATTATCCTGCAAACCCTGCATTGTTATGGGAATAAATAGTGTGCCCACCCAAATCTTAGCAAGCATAACTAGAGCCACGAGATATCTGGGTGTGTTACAAGACATTATTTCTCTCCCTCGTGGAAAGAGGACTCAATCCCACAGCTTCATCTAAAAATTCAGCTAACTATATGGAGTCCATGCAAATCCCTGAGCCACATTTTTGTCCCAACCTCAGTTTCAAGCTTCAGGTTGAAGCCCTAGGAAATAACACCGGATCTGAGAAATCCAGAAGGAGATGATAATGGAGGATAAAAGGCACAGTGCAGGTGAGCATGACAAATTCCAGACAATTAAGCCAAGCCTCCCATTTCATCGATAAAGATTATGCTAGTGTCCTTGGCATAAATAAAGTCTAGTGAACTCCAGAACTACTGACAGCAGAGTAGATAGGGCATACGTGGGTAAGAGCAGACATTTCAACCACCCTAGTTCTCTCCGTTAACATGGGTGAAAGCTGCTTTGACACCCATGGACGGACCTTGTTACAATCACTGGGACTCGGGGATAGAAGAATAGGAGCAGGAAAGAGAAGATTTTTTCTCCTATCCCTCAACATACCCTGGAAATTTGCAAGAAAGAGAAAGGAACCAGGGACAACTGCTTCTCTCTTTCTAGATGAGTAGCCATTTGTCTTCAGTCTATGTGCCTTTTGAATGCAAACTAAACCCTTGGGACTTCTCTGAAAATAATGTTTTTTGTTTTTTCTTTCTCCTCTGTCCTCTATTTACAGATAGGTAATCATGTCTTCATACTATGGGACACTTTCCTCAGATGCATCCTCAAAGCCTGGAAGAGTTAATTTCCCAAAATTTAGACTTGTTTGCTTAGGATCGAACTCAAGGCAAAAGAACCCAGAAGACTGACATGCTGGCCAAACAATTTTTTTTTTCTTCCATTGGAGTTTTTGTCCTTCCTCTTTCTATGGGAAAAGACCTTCCCTTTTCAAGGGAAAAGACCTTGGAAATTTTGAGCTGACCTTGCCATTTGCCCCTTGTTTCATTTCAGTACATGTTTTTTAATAACCCAGTTTGATTCTTTTTATTTTTAGCCTACCAAAGTTCAAAAAGTCACTCAACCAGAGCCTTGAACAGTGGCCCATTTCACTGGGGACAATTAGATAGGCCTCTTAGTGAGATCTGATTGCCATTTTTTTCCAAAAAAAAAAGTGCCCCCTCTCAGCAGGAAGCACTTAAAAGTTGTTTTTGTCCTAATCCTTATCCTTCTTCTAATGGCAGTCAGATGTACTCATTTAAAGGGGGGAAATAACGAGTTAGAAAAGAGCCAAGGGTCCTTGGCAAAACCACACATTCAAGCTTAAAACAGCCTGAAGTCTGAAAAATCAGACTGTTGGCCCCAGATAAAGCCTTCCTTTTTCCAACTGATTTTCTCTCAGTAATATCCACCTGCACAACTGGGGAAGAGAGTGGAGCCATGGAAAGTTCACCTCTTGTGCAGGGAGGAGAAGCCTGGACTCTTCAGTTTCCTGTGATGGTCTGGTGTTCATCAATTTGGGAGGTGGGGGCCTGTAAACAGGTCTCCAACTCATTTTGTTAAAAGTTTTCTTCTTCTTCTTCTTTTTTTTTTTTCCATTTTCCCCAATCAACTCTACTCCTCATCCTTCAGAGCGTCCCTGACTTAATATATTCTAGTCATGTGACCAGAACCCAATTTTTTTTGATGTAAGGAAAGTGTTCTGCAACATGAGGATTTGCAACCGTCGTTTAAGATAAGCTGAGTATACGCATGTGGGTTACTTTCTGGCTTCTCTTATCTCTTTCAACATTTATTTTTCTGTCTTTTTCCCAGCACCACACTGTTTGATTACTGTAACTTTGCAATATGTTTTAAAATAAAAAAATATATGACTCTGACTTTATTATATTTTCCCAGGTTGTTTGTCTATTTGTGGTTTTTGAGCATTTATAAAAATTATAGGGCAATATTTGGTGGCTCACTCCTGTGATCCCAGAACTTTGGGAAGTCAAGGCAGGTGGATTGCTTGAGTCCAGAAAGTTTGAGACCAGCATTGGCAATATGGTGAAACCCTGTCTCTACAAAAACCCCCAAATCTTGCTGACCGTGGTGGCATGCACCTGCAGGCCCAGCTACTTGTGAGGCAGAGGTGGGAGGATCAATTGAACTTCAGAGCTCAAGGCTACATGCAGTGAGCCATGATTAGGACACTGCACTCTAGCCTGGGTGACACAGCCAAATATTGATGCCAACACTTCAGAATATTTTAGTACTTCTGGAAAAACTACCATTGGTTTTTTGAAAGAGGTCTCATTGATCTGTAGATCATTTTGAATACCATAAACGTCTAAAGAAACGTGCATGTTCTAACTCTTTTAAAATAGCGTGCGGAAGAATTTGTCTACTTTTCATATACATGCAGACATGCTAGCTTTCTTTTGGTTTTGAACCTCCAGTTATATTTTACTGTAGTCAGAAGTAATACTTTTTTATAACCATTTGTTCAAATATGCTAAAACTTGCATGCTAGCTAAGAAGTTTGCCTATCTTAGGAAATAAACTGTATGTAATTAGAAATATTATGTATTATGCTATCGTTGCGTGAAATGTTTTGTAGATTATCCCTAGATCTTATTTTTCTTTTTAATCTTTTATTTTTCTGTACATTTGTCTTTGTTTTTATCTTGTTTCTCTTTATTTTTATTTACTTTCATTTTTTCTATTAATTTAATTTTACTTCATTTTTTATTTTTTGTTTTTTCATTATAGTCTCAATTTCAAATTTTCTAGATTTTTGTTGTTTGTAATTTTATTCAATTTCTTGTTTCTTTTATTTATTTCCATGCATATCTCTTTGTTATTTTATTTTTCTCTGCATTTCTTTTTTACTTTCACTTGTCTCTTCTTATTCTTAAAATTTTCTTATTTCTCAATTTTATTGTATTTACTGTTTATCTTCATCTTGATTTTATTTTCACTAATCTTAGTTATATTTTTCTTTACTTTTCTCTATTTTGTTTCAGTTTATTTTATTTGCCCTTACTATTTTCCAATTGCTTTATTTTTAAATTTTATTTCTCTTGAATTATTTTTTCTTTATTTGTCTACATTTTGCTGAGGCAGGGTATAGTCAGGGGCTCCTATCAGAACTGCTGTTATCCCTGGACAGATCTTTTATTGTTACAAGCCCATCTAGCATTCAGTTTTACAGGCCATTTCTACTGCTTTCGAAAGCCCCGTGCAAGCCTCAGTATTGCTAGGCTGAAGCCCTGATTGCCTCTTTATTTGTGTACGAATGGGTTCCCTACACACAATCCAGGGCACTGATTGCTCTTCCTACTTTACAAGGACAGAGCCGCACCCACTCCACTCCAACAAGTAATGTCTGCACCATATGTGAATCTTTTTGCCGTTAAAAAATAAAATTTTGAGACAGAGTCTTGCTGTGTCACCCAGGCTGGAGTGCAGTGACGTGACCTCAGCTCACTGCAACCTCTGCCTTTCAGTTTCAAGTGATTCTCCTGCCTCACCCTCCAAAGTAGCTGGGATTACAGATGCCAGGAATTTTTTTTTTCTTTTTTGTATTTTTAGTAGGGACGGGATTTCACCACGTTGGCCAAGCTGCTTTCAAACACCTGACCTCAATGATCTACCCTCCTCGATCCCCCAAAGTGCTGGGATTGCAGGTGTGAGCCACTGCACCCAGTCAAAAAAATTTGTTTTAAGTTTTAACTTGACATATATTTGATTTATTTTGAATATATTAGCTTTATGGGTAGATACACATTCATATATGTACAAAAATGCAATTGATGTGAGAAGATGAATATTTCTACATTTTATCTTATGATTTCATGGAGTTGCTATTTTACCTTTTCCTTTCTTTATCTTTATATGTTTAATGGGAAGATCCTCAGTGAAGACCCCTCACTGTGATAGACAAAATATTGTACAATAAATCATGGATAGATGCAGTGAAGTAACTTCTGGTTTTTATTTGGAGATCTCATAGCTGGGATTAAAAACTCTGGTGGTAAAAATCACCTGATGAGGACTTTTAATATGCTGTCTTCTTCTGCACATTTTCCCACCATCACAATTTTTTGAATTTCCCAAGAAAAAATGTGGAAAATTATTTCCCTCATACCTACTCATCTCCCTTTTATAGGTTTTCAGGTTATGCTTTGTGCAGATTGCTTAGAAGCTCACGATCACAGACATCATATTTGTCAAGAGAAAGCTTTGTTGAACCAGGATTAAGTGTAGGTGTTTACCTCCTAAGGGCCCATGGTTCCTCTAGAGGTTGGATGGATCTTCAAAACCATTACTGAATCCAGGAACTGAAGACAGAATTTGAGGGCATTGAAAAATGCTCCCTTTTGATTTCCAAGTGTTCGCTGCTTATTCTGGCATTAATCTTGATTGTGACCACGATGTTTCTCTTAGTCATCTTTCCTGGTACACCACTGATTGTGCATCTAAGGAAAAGAGGCCTGAATGAGAGTGTTAAGGAGAACAACAGCATCTTTCTTAGCTGATGCCTCGGTGAGCTTTGAAGCACATTGAGCAGAGTCTGAAATCCTTCCTTAATATAGGATAAGTTGCATCAAATTCAACTCCCATAGAAATGGCACCAGGTTCAAGATGTCAAAGAAGAGACTTAGAACAAGTGAATGAGATACGGAGTTTTACTGGGGACTTAAAAAGAGGGGAAAAAGTCCACTGTCAGTGGGCTTAGCATGATAACCATTCCCACTTACAAAAAGCATGCAGTTTGTATAGCATTGTTATTTAGCACTTTTTTCAACAACTTTTCACCTGTCAGCATTTATTTAACAAAAAAGGAGTGGCCTCAGTCCCCTGTGTGGTCTGTATTCCATGCCACAGGATGGAACAGACCTGGTACTGAGATATTCCTCATAAAGAAAGAATAATTTTCAGGTTAGCCACTACTAGGTTTTTTATCTTGGATCTCTGGGCACTCAGAAGCTTTTTTTTTTTTTTTTTAATACAAGGTCAGTCTCCAGGTATGCCCAAGTCAAGTTAACACTGTCAGTTTCATCCATCATACAGGCTGGTTAAGGCAGTGGAGGGTCTTCTTCCTGAGACTCTAAATTCAAAATGGTTTGATTTTTCTTAAATCCTTGAGTTGACAGTTTACTAAAAGGCCCATTGTGTGTGCACATTGCTGGTATGGTTGTCTAAGATAATGAGATGGCTTCTTAGTTGGTAGGGTGTGTTTCTGTTACAGGTGTGACTGGGTTTGTACAGGCTGCTGAGGTGCCCCTTCTCCAGACTGTCATTGGATCATGACATTCTGGGGTCCCAGTTCCACTATTTCCCAAGGTGGGACACGCTGACGCAGAACCTGAAATTGTGATTCACGGTGACTAGGCTGAGGCTGGCCCTTAAAAGGCAGAACTGCCAGGTCTGTGTCTTATTTTCTTTGTCATTCTAATTTATCTTTTTTTTTTTTTTTTTTTTTTTTTTTTTTTTTTTTTTTTTTTTTTTTTTGAGACGGAGTCTCACTCTGTCGCCCAGGCTGGAGTGCAGTGGCGGGATCTCGGCTCACTGCAAGCTCCGCCTCCCGGGTTCACGCCATTCTCCTGCCTCAGCCTCCCAAGTAGCTGGGACTACAGGCGCCCGCCGCTACGCCCGGCTAATTTTTTGTATTTTTAGTAGAGACGGGGTTTCCCCGTTTTAGCCGGGATGGTCTCGATCTCCTGACCTCGTGATCCGCCCGCCTCGGCCTCCCAAAGTGCTGGGATTACAGGCGTGAGCCACCGCGCCCGGCCTCTAATTTATCTTTTGGTATGGAGAGCAGAAAACAGTCTGAGGATGTGACAGCCCTCCTCCTAGAGTTGGCACTATTTATGCATGGTTCTTAAGTGTCAAGGTAGGTTGAGAGATCTCTCTTCCTGGCACAGCCTGAGTGGGCTAGAGTGCTGTGACCCTTAACTCTAGTCATGCAGCCTTCAGAGGAATTTCAAAAACCACCGGATGTGGGGGATAGAGAAAGAGCTGGTACAAATGACAAGTTGTAGGTAAAATAATTGGAGACAGGAAGAGAATGGGACCTGCTTGGGTCAGTGCACACACTGCATGGGTGCAGCTTAACAGTCAATCCATTTCTCTGATTTGGCCCTTGTGTCATGGAATTAACATGTCCACTTCTGCTCTGGCCTCGGAGCTGAACTCTTTGTTTCTAGAACCAAATTTAAATTCTCATCTCTGGAATTACATTTGGGTTTCACAGGCCACTGGAGTGGGGAGGCCCAGGTGCGCCCACAAAAGAGGCTGTTGTTGGGCTTTCCTCACATGAGTTTTGTGCCTACGCTCACAAGGATAAGGGATCTTCTTCCTCAAGGCATGCCAGGAAGGCTTATGGGAGCCAGTGAAGAAAAAAGGTGATGCCTCAGCCCAGTGCTGTTGCCCCTCCTGGCTTGTGGCTTTGGGCTCTCAATCATGCTCATCAGAAAAATGAGCAATGAAAGCCCCTCAGTGACTGACTGCTTACCCCACCTTTACCATGCCACAGGACAGTGCCACCCCTGAAGCTCCAAGTACAGCCTGTGCTTCAAAAAACTGAAGAATCTCTCGGTTCAGTTCAGGGCCCTAAGAGGGTTCTCCCCTGCAGGGAACTCTGATGCCTACCCCTCCTTGCCCAACTGACAGCTAAGCATGTCTGCTGTGTTGCACCCTTGTTGCCTGCTCTTATCAAGCCCGTGTCTCCATGAATTGACTAGGGGCACAGGCTCACTGAAGCCCAAGTGACCTGTCTAACACTCCTTCAACGCACAGCCTCAGGCATGTGCCATACAGGTTTCTCCTAGAATGTAATCTTAGGGTGTCACACCACCAAATTCTGCTCTAACTTTTGGACTAGCTAATCAGTAAGTCACTTAATGTTCCAAGATGGGTGTGAGCCTTGACTCTCTTTATCTCCTTCCTCTAGTGGGGCTGCATTGTGGGTTGCCATCCTGATTTCTTTGTGGAAAAAGATAGCAGATGAGGCAGGACCCAAGGGCCAGGGACAGGACAGAACACCTAGGCTGGCCTCCCCTAATGCCCTCTGAGGTCCCTGCAGGAGAGAGGGCTCAATGGAGTTCCAGGCCCCTTTTCTAGGATGGTGGGAATAGCCCCTTCCTGGACCACCAAGAAAAGCCTACTGTTTCTGCAACCTGCACCTACGTGTCTCTAGATGAGCATCCGTTTATCTTTGTGGTCATGGCCTTCTGCTTCATTTCCATAAGATATTCTCCTGGAACAAATGCCTAGGGAATCCTGGGCCTATAGTGAAGGTTCTCAAAGTGCCAAAGTCCATAAGATTCTCAAAAACATAATTAGTAGTATTTTCTACACATTGCTGTCTCAGGGTTGATTTTGCCAAATAATCTGTAAAAACAAATATTAAAATTTTTATCCTTTACATTATTTTAATTACATCATCATACAGAGCTTTTATTTTCTGAAATTTATTGTTATACCAATCATTGAATTTTTCTTTTCTTCTTTGTCCAAATCGTTACCTGTTTTAGACACCAAATCTTAAAAAAAATGCTGCACAAATGCTGATAGGTGACAGCAATTTATTTAAAATTTAATCAAGTTTCTTAAATAAGTAAATAATTTCAGTAAACTTAGTTTATGTTATTTACATAAATTATTTTTCATCTTATCCTCAATCTTAAAATAAGGTTATCTTGGTATGCAATTCAAAATCAACAGATTTTTTTAAATAGGCAAATTAAAAACATTTTTTGGACATGTTGGGTAATATAATTCTCAAATAGCTTATCTTTCTCAAGTAAAAAAAGAAATCAACGCACTTGAAAATTGATATTCATAGTATCTTTAAAAGTTACATTATGAATATGCTTTTATAGTTGCCAAAAACTTAGTAAACCTAAATCTAGTCTTCCACAGTAAAACTTAAAGATTATACAAAGGAGATTAAATTTACAGGCTAAATTTCCCACAAAAAATTAAAAAGATTCTTTGCTTTATCTTTCAGTATCTGATAATAAGCAGATTTTATGACATTCAGAATCTGCTTGAGTAAAGAAATAAGGCTAAAGAGCTCTTGTGAAAGAATCATTAAAAAATATACAGAGCAAACCTATTATGTGTATTATTTTTAAAAATCACCCAATTCATATTTCAAACAAATACTAATTTTACTGGGTTTTACTACTTGCAGAAGGTGGATTGACTTAGAACCTGATGGAACGTAACCACTCTTTATATACCCCCCCAACTGCCCGTAATCTACCCAGAATTGAAGGCTGATCCTTCCAGTTCCTAAGAAGACAAACTTGACGCACACGGAATTCTCATTTAGGCTTGTTTCCCACTTCTGCCTTCCAGTAATGTCTGCCAGCCCTACACTTCTGAGAATCCAGGACAGCAGGGCACAAACAAAATCTCCTTGAACTGTAATAAATGTTTGGTTTTGTTCTTCCATATTACACAGCTTTTCTATCTGCAGAAACATTAAGTTGAAAATGTGCTGTGTCAAGATCTAGAATCCAGTAGGGCATGGTGGCTCATGCCTGTACTCCCAGCACTTTGGGAGATCAAAGAGGGAAGATCATAAGGTCAAAATATCTAGACCCTCCTGGCTAACATGGTAAAACTCAGCCTCTGCTAAAACATATAAAAAATTAGCCAGGCGTGATGACACACACCTGTAGTCCCAGCTACTAAGGAGGCTGATGCAGGAGAAGCACTTGAACCTGGGAGGTGGAGGTTGCAGTGAGCCAAGATCATGCCACTGCACTGCAGTCTGGGTGACAGAGTGAGACTCTATCTCAAAAAGTAAGTAAGTAAGTAAGTAAGTAAATAAATAAATAAATAAATAATCTAGAATCAAATCTACATGAAATGGCTGGATAATTCTGTCTAAGCCAGAATTTAGAGGACGAAGACAAAAACAATACTTTGTTAATCTAAATGAAAAGAGTTCAGGGCATTTTAGGTGTCAATACCTGGGGTGAATACGGTTAACATGTGTCAGCCATTTCAAGTTTGACTGGATAGACTTGTGCACTACTTCTCTCACTAAATGTTTAAATGCAGAAACATAATCTGAAAATTTTACAACGTTTTCACTTAGTTTTGCTAAAATGTCCATCTCTTAATCTTGTTTCAATTGTGAGATTCACTAGTGCAGCATTGGTTACAATTATGCTCTCCTCGTATGCAGAATTAATGTCATTTATTTACTATAGATATTTTAAATTTCTCACTTGAGACCACAGGCTAATTTTAAAAGGAATATTTATTTCTAATTACATAGCTTCCATTACATACCTAGTATTGTATTTGTTTACTTCATGTGTATGTCAAAAAGACCTCATGACTTACTAAACGTTCTATTGTTTACTTAAATATATTGGCCCAATAAAATTAATAAACTCAATTCTGTCAACTTTATAGAGTAAAATAGTCAATAAGTAAACAAAAAAATTGGATTAAATAGAATTCTGAAATTGAAAAAATACAAAATGTACTAAATAAATAGCATACCATACATGCACTGTAAAATTACTCACATGTAAAAATTATTTTCCGAATAGCGTTACATTTTATCAAAGTCACTTTCATAATTTCTGAGGGGATTGTACAGAGAATGTCTTTTCACTTGTTTGTTTGTTTTGAGATGAAGTTTTGCTTTGTTGCTCAGGCTGGAGTGCAATGGCACCATCTTGGCTCACTGTAATGTTCATCCCCTGGGTTAAAGTGATTCTCCTGCCTCAGCCTCCTGAGTAGCTGGGATTACAGGAGCCCGCCATCATGCCCACCTAATTTTTGTATTTTTAGTAAAGACAGCATTTCACCGTGTTGGCCAGGCCGGTCTGAAACTCCTGATCTCTGGAGATCCACCTGCTTCAGCCACTCAAAGTGCTGGGATTTCAGGCATGAGCCACCAAGCACAGTCCAAAGAAAGTGTTATGAACTTTGATGAAAAGAAAATTATATATTATGTCTAGGGTGAGCAACAGGCTAACCTACAAAAAAAGAAAAATTTGCAGAAGATGATTCTAAGCCACTAGCAATCACATTTTAAATCAAGGAGCTTAATACAAAGCAGAGAAAATAGATTTGCTTTGAAAATCTTTGAAGTTTCTGGCTTGCTGGTAAGATGTCAACACTTGTAAAAGGATTTGTTTCATTTTAATATTTTTATTTTCTTCTCAATGTAACCAACCATAAATAAATATGATTATTTTCTAGAAGTTTGTTACATACCTAGAGTTTATTTTACAGTAATATATTTCTTATATTTAAATTCATGTAAATCAAAACTAAAGGTCTGTGTGTGTTTATCAGAGCAGAGCAGTCATACCTTTAATAGAGAAAAAGTAGGATCAAATTTTATAAATAGTTGTTCAGTATTCAGAAACATAGAGCTCCGTTATACTAATATGATCTTCATTACAACCATCATAATAACCTGTAGTTACAAGGAAAAAAAATGTAAGTTGTAAAAACCACACTTTCCAAATTATTTCATTTTAAAAACCACTGACAAAGGAATCACTACAGATGTTATTCCACTGTCTCTCAGTAGTATATTGTTACCATCAGTTACCTACAGCCTTGGTTAAGATGGGATAACTTATCATCAGTTGCAAGATACACATTCAATGTCAAATAGCTTTAACAAAATAACAATATTGATTTACTAAAAGAAATTAAGTCCACGCATTTTCATTAAAAAGGCATTTTGGAATTCACTTTATTCCAATTACCTTAATTTGCAAATGGTAAAGCAATGTCCAACTAAAAATCAAATTGTTTCTCTCACTATGCAGAATGTTGCCCTTACTCCACTCCTATCATCCTGTCATTTATGATACTGTCGTAAACCAACAACTAAGTTGCCTTTGTACATAGAAATTCTTCAGGTATCTTAGATTTCTGTTTTCTTAATCTTCCATGGAAAAGTGTATAAATCTGTCCTTGTAATATAGAAGAACCTCTCATAACTCTGGTGCAGCAGCTATTGACCATGCTCTTTCACATAAATTCTAGAAATAAAGATATATCACCAAAGGTAAGAGATGAATTACATCAATATTTGCTTTTGAAAATATATGTTCTCAAAAAATATTAAATTCTTTTAATATAAAAAGTATATTCCTTTTAGAGGAAGGTGATCAAGATTGCTGACTAGAAAGAGGCAGCTAGACTCTGTAGTTCTCATAGACAGGAATGCAAGGTGTGCATAAATACGTGACGTTCAGCTGAAACACCAGGTACTTGCATTGAGACTAATCAAAGAAGCAACTTAACATAAGGAGAATGGAGTAAAGCAAGGCAGGACACCGGGACACCTGAAAGCAACATGGAGCCAGGGACACCTTCACAGCCAGTAAGGCAGTAAGTGAATGCATGATCCTGGGAACCCATGATTCTTCCACAGATCTTTGCAACCCTCAGGTAAGGTGATCCCCTAATAAACCCACTTCACCGGGGCCTTTTGTATAATGCACATAGCTACAGGGAGTCTCAGCAGAGCAGCCACTCAAGACTGCAGTGATTCAAGAGCCTTAGATTCGCTGACTTTCCAGCCTTCCCAGAAAAATTCGCTGGAACTCCAGCAAAGCAGGAGGTTACAATCTTGAACATATCCATAGGAAAAAGGCAGAATTCAGGGCGCTTAGCATTGATGGTCTGTAGGACGCATTTTCTCAGTGCCTCACAGGGTAAGATGTACTGGCTTAGAATTCCAGCCAACCATTGGTAGCAGCACTGCATCTCCCTGGGATGGAACTACCAGAAAGAGGAGTGGGCCGTCATCTTTGCTGCCTGGGAAACTTAGCCATTTCAGCCTTCAGGCTTTGAAGAGCCCAAGCTGACTAGAATCACAAAGCATAGTACAGGTGCTCTAGAAAGACATGGCCAGACTGCCTGTTAAAGCAGGTCCCCAATCTCCTTCTTCCTCACTGGAAAGTACTTCCTGATGAGTTTCTCCAGCTAACACCACTGGTACTCTTTGGTTGATGGAATTTTGAAAACTTTTTGGGCTACAGTTCCTAGAGCAAAGAGTGAGCTGCCATTTTTCCTGTTTGTGTCACTTACCTGTTCCATCCTTCTGGCTTTGGAGAATCCAAATAAACTGGATGGAAGTGGTACCTCTGCACAGCAGACCTGTTCTACAAAAGATGGTTACAGTGCTTCCTTCCTTCCTTCCTTCCTTCCTTCCTTCCTTCCTTCCTTTCTTCCTTTCTTTCTTTCTCTTTCCTTCCTTCCTTCTTTCTTTCTTTCTTTTCTTTTATTTCTTTCTTTCTTTCTTTCTTTCTTTCTTTCTTTCTTTCTTTCTTTCTTTCTTTCTTCCTTCCTTCCTTCCTTCCTTCCTTCTTTTTCTTTCATTTTCTCTCTTTCTCTCTCTCTTTCTCTTTCTTTCTTTCTTTCTCTCTTTCTTTCTTTCTTTCTTTCTTTCTTTCTTTCTTTCTTTCTTTCTTTCTTTCTTTCTTTGTCTTTCTTTCTTTCTCTCCTTCCTTCCTTCCTTCCTTCCTTCCTTCCTTCCTTCCTTCTTTCTTGAGACAGAGTGTCACTTTTGTTGCCCAGGCTGGAATGCAATAAAGCAATCTCAGATCACCACAACCTTTGCCTCTTGAGTCCAAATGATTCTCCTGCCTCAGCCTCCAGACTAGCTGGGATTACAGGCATACACAAACACACCTGGCTAATTTTGTATTTTTAGTAGAGATGGGGTTTCACCATGTTGGTTCAGGCTGGTCTCCAACTCCGGACCTCAGGTTGATCCACCCACCTCAGCCTCCCAAAGTGCTGAGACTACAGGCAAGAGCTGCTGCACCCAGTAGGCTGCTTTCTTAAGTGGATCCCCAGTCATTTTCTTTTCACTGGGGAAGACCTTTCCACAGGCATTTCTGGCTACTTCCTACAAGTGCTTTTGGGCTGAAAACAGGTCTATACCTCCCTGGGATGGAGCTCCCAGAGAAAAAGGCATGTGCCATTGTTGCTTTTTTTGCACATTCACTGGTGATAACTTCAGGTACCGGAAAATCTGAGGTGACTAGATACTGTAGTGGACACCCAGCGTATTGCAGATGCAGCAGCTTTTCACAAAAGGGGTCAGACTGTTACATGTGTTCCTGTTCTTATATATTCTCAGTGGGCAGGTCCTCCAGGCCTGGGCCACTAGCCAATCATTGCCAGAGCTATTGAGCCAGCAAAAACTTAGGAACTCCATGGACACAGCTTCCAGGGGCAACTGAATATATTTCATCATTGCCTGTGCAGAAGAGCTGTCCCTGCTACCCTCAAACTAATGAAATATCCCAAACCCTAATTGCCTTATTCACACCTCAAACGAGCTGCATTATGCCCAAGGAGAGGAGGTTAGACCATCCTCCATGGGGCTCACAAACTCCCCAGTGCTCCTCACCAGACAGTGAGCCCCTAACTTGGCTGAAAGCACATATTTTCCATCCAGGGCTGACTGCACCGAGGGATTGATGACCTACATCTCTCTCAAGTGCAGCCCCCCAGAAGACCAGCAAAGAGGTGGGGCAGTAAGCCAGCTCATATGGTTTCCAGAGGGTTTGGTGCAAGAGCATCTATAGTAAAATAAGGCCAGTGATGGCCATTTCTATAGACTAAACTTGCTCCCATAAGAGACTTTAGCCTGAGGGGAACTAATTTCTACAGGATAATGTTGCAAATCAGAAGGGGTGGTCCAACCGAGCACTCCTTGGTCTTCGGGCCTCTCCCAGGGTCCCAGTCTAGCTACAGTTGCTTACAGGGCAGTCTCAGTTACCCTGGAAGATAATACCACAGCATCGGCAATGGTAATCCATGCCTGACCCCTGAAGAACTACAGCAAGGCAGACCCTATCACTGCAGCTTACATGTATCTTCCCCATTCTGCAGCCCACATGTATCTTCCTCATACTGCAGCTTCCCCTGATACCACGGCAACTCTCCATATTACTTTCCTGGCATATGTCTGCAAAGGTGGGTTTGGCTTTGCTTGCCCCACCAGCAAGTGGGAATGCAGTATGCCTCTGCCACCCTCAGCAACTTCTACTGTAGATAAAGCTCTGGTGGGTAGAGAACCAGAAAGCCTCACCCCTGCTTTTCTGCTAACACTGTGTGGTGAGCAGTGTATCCTCCCACACTCTGAACAATTAGAACTTCATGAGGGGCCACAAATAAGACTTTAGTGCAACAGCACACACAGTCTCCAGCAGATACAGCCTACTCCCCTCTTAGCTGCTTTGTTCCTGTCACTGAGGTGAATGCCCAAAGACAGGCAGAAACCCCATATCCACTAACACTCTTCTGAAGCTGTGACACATTAGTCACAAAGAGTGGTGGACTCTAAATATCAAGGAGCCAGAGAAGACAGCTGGAGCTCAATACAGGTTCCTAAGAGTATGAAGCCTCCGAGCAGTGAGCTGAGCATAGCCGCTCCACCACCAAAAAAAAAAAAAAAAAAAAAAAAATCTCCCAGGAACAAAGCCTGTTAGTTGCAAACACCTTATTCCACATCAAATATTCAAGACCATTAAATAGGATCAAAAAAAAAAAAAAAACAAACAAACAAACCCAAAACCCCATTCAAAGGTCAGCAATCTCAAAGATACACGCACAAAGATTAGACAAAATCAGTGCAAAAATGTTGAAAACACAAAAAGCCACAGTGACATCTCTCATCCAAATGAAAAAATTACATTTCCACCGAGGCCTAAGATGACAGAAGTATAATTCAGAATACGGAAATGAATAAACTTCATTGAGCTACAAATGGAGTTGCAACCCAATGCAATGAAGGGAAAAAAATTGCAGGAATGGATAGAAAAAATTGCCAATGAGGAGGAAAATGTGACCAATCTGATAGAGCTGAAAAAACACAATATGAAAACTTTGTAATGTAATCACAAGTATTAACAGCAGAATAGGCCAAGTAGAGGAAAGAATCTCAGAGCTTCAATACTGGCTTTCTTAAATAAGACAGACAAGATGAGTGAAAAAAAAAAAAAAGAGGAATAAACAAAACCTCTAAGAAATATGGGATTATGTAATGAAACCAAATCTATGATTAAAAAGAGTGCCTGAAAGTGATGGGGAGAATAAAAACAACTTGAAATACTTATTTTCAGATATCATTCAAGAGAGCTTTCCCAGCCTATATAGAGAGGCAAACATTCACATGCAGGAAATGGGGAAAATCCCAGTAAGATACCTCACAAGAAGGTCATTTTCAAGACACGTAATCATGAGATTCTCCAAGGTCAAAATGAAAGAAAAAAAATGTATTAAAGGCAGCTAGACTAAAAAGACAGGTCACCTCTAAAAGAAGGCCATCAGGCAAACAACAAACCTTTCAGTTGAAATGCTACATGTCAAAAGAGATTAGGGACCAATATTCAACATTCTTAAAAAAAGAATTCCAAATCAAAAATTTATATCCAACCAAAGTAAGCTTCAGAAGTGAAAAATAAATGTGATCCTATTCAGATATGCAAATGCTGAGGAAATCTTTTAGCACAGACCTGACTTACAAGAGCTTCTAAAGAAAACATTAAATAAGAAAAAGACTATAACAGTCACTACAAAAACACACTAAAAATCATAAATTGATGACACTATAAAGCAACCACATAAATGTGCAAAATAGCCAGCTGAGATCATAGTGACAGAATCAAATCCATACATATGAATACTAACCTTAAATGAAAATGGGCTAAGTTCCCCAATTACAAAACAGAGTGGCAAGCTGAATAAAATATCAATATCTAATGATGTGCTATAATCAAGACACCCATCTCAAATAAGCTCGAAAAAAGGAAAAAAGAAAAATCTACCAAGCAAATAGAAAACAGAAAAAAAGTAGGGGCTGCAATCCTAGTTTCTGGCAAAACAGACTTTATGTCAACATAGGTTTTAAAAAAGACAAAGAATGGCATTACATAATAGTAAACACTTATATATGTACCCAACAAAAAAGCACTCAGATTATGAAGCAACTTCCTAGAGACTCTCCAAGACCATAAGTTAAATGTTCTTAAACAGTCATTAACTTTATACCGTATTGGTTCAGTATAAAGTCTCTGATGTTGAACCCAAAATGAGGACTTATTGAAGGCTTTTCCACATTTTGAACACTTGTGGAGCTTCTCTCTATATGAGTTATCTTATGTCTAATGAGGTGTGAGAATGAGCTCAATGCTTTGCCACATTCTTCACATTTGTGGGGTTTCTCACCAGTGTGAATTGTCTTATGACTAGTAAGGTCTGAGAAGCACTTAAAGGTTTTGCCACATTCTTTGTATTTGTAAGGTCTCTCTTCCATACGAATTCTCTTGTGGTTAATAAGGGTTGAGGAGCGGGTAAAGGCTTTGCCACATTCTTCATGGATGTGGGGTTTCTCTCCAGTATGAACTATTTTATGTTTACTAAGGACAAAGAACTACATAATAGCTCTTCCATGTGCATTACATTTGTAGAGTATGACTCTCTAGTATGAATTGTCTTATGTTTACTAAGGTCTGAGAACCACCTATAGGGTTTATTACATTCTTCACCTTTGTAGGTTTTCTCTGCGGTATGAATTATCTTATGTTTATGAAGGTCTGAGAACTACCTATAGGCTTTGTTACATTCTTCACATTTGTAGGATTTCTCAGCAGTATGAATTCTCTTATAATTAGTAAGGTCTGAGAAGCACTTAAAGGATTTGCCACATTCTTCACATCTGTAGGGTCTGTCTCCAGTATAATTTCTCTTGTGTTTAATAAGGGTTGAGCATCAGGAAAAAGTTTTGTCTCATTCTTTACATTTGTAGGGTTTCTCTTCATTTTAAACTCAAATTTATGTTCGGCAAGGTTTGAGAAATATTGAAGGCTTTGACACATTCTTCACATTTGTACCATCTCTCTGCCGTAGGAATTCTCTTTTTTATAGTAAAATCTGAGAACAACCTACGGTCTTTGCCACATTCTTCACATTTTCAGCACTTGTCTCCACCAAAACTTTTTTTATGTTCAGTGAAGTTTGAGCACAACTCAAAAGCTTTGCCTTATTTATTAGGTTGACAGGTTTTGCTAAGGGTAATTAACAAACATTGATAAAGCCCATCATAACTGCTTTCTGCACATGGGAATTACCCACACTTTGGTAGTCTTTCCTTAAATATAAACCATTAAGGTCACAGCTACCATATTTTCTCAGGATCACTTTTTGAAATGATTCTTTTATGTCATACTCCAGCAATAGCTCTACAGTAAAATAAAAAGAGAAAGCTAAGAAAATAAAAGGACTATAAATCTCTCCCTCATTAGACTCAGGTGAATACAACTTACAAATATATAATTAAACAAAGCACATTAACAAGGTGACAATAAAATATCACAGGCTCTAATTCCTTAATACAAATTTAAACTTAACAGAAATACACCGATCAAAATGCCTTTGTGAGAAGTCTAATAACCAGGTAAAAATTTGCAGCACCCGAAGGGAGCAAAATGCAAAAAACCACATAGTGGTTTAATAAAAGTATTTTGCGTTTACCCACGAAAGCCATTCTTCATCCTATGATGACTTTAAATATCGACTCCCAACTCCTGTCTCCACCGTCCAATAATAAATAAAATAGTGACACCTGTGTCCATGCTTCTGGGTTTTTGAGACCTTACAATAAACTAATTTCTATATTCCATGGCAGTGTTGAAAGGAAAGTTGGTAACTGACAGTTTTGGATAGCTGAGACCAAAGTTAAATGACTGTTACAAGTGAAGGCAGAAAAGGGGTATAGCAACTGACTATAGGATCTCAATAAGAAACATGGAGAATGCCGGGAGCGGTTGCTCGCACCTGTAATATCAGCAATTTGGGAGCCTGAAACAGGCATATCACCAGAGGTGAGAAGTTCAAGACAAGCCAGGTCAACATGGTGAAACCTTGTCTCTACTAAAAATACAAAAGTTAGCTGGGTGTGGTGGCAGGCTCCTGTAATTCCTGCTATTCAGGAGGCTGAGGATGGCGAATTGCTTGAACCCAGGAGCTGGAGGTTGCAGTGAGCCAAGATTGTGCCATTGTACTCCAGCCTGGGTAACAACAGTGAAGCTCCCACTCAAAACAGAAAGAAATACCATTTGACCTAGCCATCCCATTACTGGGTATATACCCAAAGGATTATAAATCATGCTGCTATAAAGACACATGCACATGTATGTTTATAGCGGCACTATTCACAATAGCAAAGACTTGGAACCAACCTAAATGTCCAACAACGATAGACTGGATTAAGAAAATGTGGCACATATACACCATGGAATACTATGCAGCCATAAAAAATGATAAGTTCATGTCCTTTGTAGGGACATGGATGAAACTGGAAACCATCGTTCTCAGCAAACTATCGCAAGGACAAAAAACCAAACACCCCACGTTCTCAATCACTGGTGGGAATTGAACAACGAGAACACTTGGACACAGGAAGGGGATCATCACACACTGGGGACGGTTGTGGGGTGGGGGGAGGGGGAGGGGGAGGGATAGCATTAGGAGATATACCTAATGCTAAATGACGAGTTAATGGGTGCAGCACACAAACATGGCACATGTATACATATGTAACAAACCTGCACGTTGTGCACAGGTACCCTAAAACTTAAAGTATAATAATAATAATAATTAATAATAATAATATTAAGAAGAAGAAGAAGAAGAATAAAAGAAAGAAAGAAAGAAAGAAGGCAGGAAGGAAGGAAAAGGAAAGAAGATAGGTAGGAAGGAAGGAAGGAAGGAAAGAAAGAAACAGAGAGAAAGAAAGAAAGAGAGAAGAAGGAAGGAAGGAAAAGAAGAAAAGAAAAGAAAAAAGAAAAATATGGGAAAACCTTTTAAACTAAAAAACACACAAGCCCAGAGAAAACATTTACAGAATAAGCTTTAGAGACCGAAGAATATCTAGCCTAAAAAATGTGTATTTTATTCCCCCAGACAAAAGAAACTTAATACAGATTTTGACATGTCACATTTTATTATACAAATTGCAACCTAAGATTACAACATATATGAAACATCAAGATAATATGGCTCAATCAAAGATAAAAATAAATATCCAGAAATCAATTATTAAAAAACGGGGAGGTAAAAATTAACAGAGACAATATGAGTTATAGTCTAGATATATTCTTAAAAAAATTAATTACCCTTAAAAATTAACATTGCCGATTTAGTGATGCTCCGTGAGTAAAATGGAAATAAATAAATTAAGAAAAAGGAAATAAATGAAATAACAAAAATTAAACCAACAAAAAATAAAAAGCACAAAAAGAAATAAAAATTGTGGAGTGGAAATACAGAAAAAGACTAATATGTACTTCACCATTAGTAAAAAAAAAATGAGAAGATCAATAAGCTCAGCAAATTTCAAATAAAATTAACATTAAGAGATTTACAACAAGACACAAGTTAAGCAACGTTTTGGAAGTCACATAAAAGAGAATGAAGAATGCAGAAAGAAAAAAAAACAAATGTATTATTTATATTCACACTTCTGCAAAATTACCAGTAAATTTATGAACATAAATCTTTCAAGCAAGAAGCGGGTAGGATGACATTGGTAAAACGCTGAAAAAAAAAAGTTCTAAACAAGAATACTATATTTTGCAAAAGTATCCTTCAAAATGAAAAAAAAAAAGACCTCTATCACTATCTATAAGAACATCTAACTATGTCATGTCTTCAAAAGACTCATTTCATATCTAATTTTAAAAGACTGAAAATCACAGGATAAAAATACATTTCATGCAAGTGTTAACCAAATGAGAGGAGAAGAGGCAACAATTCCTTAAGATGAAAACTACCATATTTCATATAATTTACTTTATGTGAAAATTAACAAGAGACAAAGTAGGACATTCAATTATAGTAAGAGGGTTTATTCACTAATAACTTATAAATATATGACAATTTTCCCAAACACATAAAGCAAACATTGACAGAATTGAAGAAAAAATAGACAACCATATAATAATGGAAATACATCAATATTTCACTTTCAGTAGTAAATAAATAATGAGAGACTATCAACGAGGGAACAAAAAACCTGAATGCATTACACAATAGTTACACCTAACAAATGTATGCAGACAACAGAATCACATTCTTTTCAATACCTCAGAAAACATTTTTCTAGATGGACCACATGTGACACCACAACAGAAGCCTTAATAATTTTTTAACTAAAATTTTACAATTATTTACAGCCCAAATGGAATGAAACTAGGAATCAGTAACAGAAGAAAAGCTGAAAAATTCAAAACTTATAAAGATTAAGCAACACAATTTCCTGTTTTGTTTTGTTTTGAGATGGAGTATCTCTTTCACTAGGCTGAAGCGCAGTCGTGCAATATCAGCTCACTGCAACCTCCACCTCCGGGTTCAAGCGATTCTTCTGCCTCAGTCTCTGAGTAGCTGGGATTACAGGCATGCACCACCTCACCCAGCTAATTTTATGTATTTTAGCAGAGACGGGGCTTCACCATGTTGGCTAGGATGATCTCGATCTCCTGAACTAGCCATGCATCCTCCTGGCCTCTCAAAGTTCTGGGTTAGAGGCATGAGCCACTACCCCCAGCTACAACACACTTTTTATTACGCTCTTTTTCAATGGTTGGAAGACCTAATATTGTGAAGATACCCATGCTGTTTAAAGTGACCAACACATTCAACACAGCCTGTTTCAATTTTCAATTATACTTTTGCAAAAATAGAAAAAAACCCCACAAAGTTATGTAAGATCTCAAGGCACCATGAAAAGCCTGGCAATCTTTAAAAAGAATTAAAATATTGGAAGCATTATACTTAACAATTTCCAAACACAAAACAAACCTGTCGTAATCAAAGCACTCTGGTACTGGTATAAAAATAGAGCACCAAAGTAATAAAACAGAATGCAGCACAGATATAAACTGTTGAAGAGAGAGTACAGGCATACCACCTAGGTTTTACATTCAGCCATATGTCACAATTCCTTTGGTAAGCAGGACCCAGGCAGGAGAGAAGAGTTACATTACATAGACGCTAGTTTCAGTGATATTTAAAACTGTCCTCTGGGAGCAAAGCACAGACTGGAGAGACACATCACCTAGCTGATAGACCCAGAGATATGTGATAATATTCCCTGTTTACAGGGCCCAGGCAGAGGAGTCAAATTATTATGATTCTAACCCATCGATATGTAACAATGCACCCACAGAAAGGGATTTGAGACAAAAAGTCTCAACACCAGGGTACTAGGCCCAGTGATATGACACAATCCCATCATCTTTGAGGATGACATTGTTAACATTTAGCTGAGCATGTATATTAGAGTCACAATCTCACATGTATGCTCAGACAATATATAACTTTCTCTACAATATTCGAGGGCTTTATGAAACCTGTATGAGAGTTGCAAACCTCTCTGTGGCCTGCCTGCTCCTATGGACTCACAATCTTGCATATTGCTCTAAACCACGTTTGATAGTCGACATCTATAGGCAGGGTTAAGGGAGAAGACTCATTATTATGCCTGTGGGCTGGGTCCAGAAATGAATCACCATCTCCCCTGTGGCCAAAGCCACATATAAATGTCACAATTTTAACTGTGTACTGTATTCTTTTGTTAGACTCAGGACCTCAATAGTGGGAATTATAAATATGGAATGGTGACAACTCTTAATTGCACCTGGGTGTGTAACCAAGAGTCCCATTCTGAACCTTTTGCTGGTCCCTGTTATGAAACTCTTTACCACCAAAGAGTTTAAACAATATAAGTTAGTGTTGTAAGCTTATGTGTGTTAGTACAAATATGCAACCCAGGACCTTAAATATTGCCTTAAGCCAAACAATGAGAGGAAAAATATCTCCTATTGGCTGTATCCCAATATAAGTTTGATCTTTGTGCCTGTGAACTAAAGCAAGGTATATGTCATAATTCCACATGTGGGCAAAAAACAAGACAGGAGGGTAACATTACATAGATCATGTACCAAGCAATATGTCGCAATGCCTTCTCTAGGCAGGGTATAAAAATTTGGGTCACATTAACCTGGTGCTGGACCAAGCATTGGACAACATTTCACATGTGGAAAATACCAAACCAAGTTATGAGAGCCAAAACCCCTACATAATGGGCCCAAGACATGTCAAGGTATATTCGGTGGCTCCAGCATGGGCAGGAGAGTCACAGTCATAAGGGTGCTGGGCCTAGCAATATGCAATATGCCATAATTTCCTCTTTATGCATAATCCAGGAAGAAGCGAAAAATCACCTTGGTGTTGAGCCATTCAGTAGGTCAAAATTTCTTCTTTGTGGGTATAATTCAGGAAAAATAGGAGAGTTACATGTTTTGAGTGCTGGGCTTAGCAATATGCCAAAATCCACCTATCGTGAAGGCCCAGGCAACAAAAGAGCCACATCACTTAGGTCAAGGGCTCAGAGATATTGCAAGGTGTCCCAAGTAGTCAGGGCTCAGGCAGATGTGGAGAGTCATATCACCTAGATGCTGCCCTAGGAATATGTCACAGTGGAACATGAGAGCAGCATGCAGGCAGAAGGTCCACATCACTTGAGTGCTGGGTTCTGAGGTATTTCATAAGGATCTCTTCACATAGCACCCAGCAAAGAGAGTTTCATCAACTAATTGAAGGTCCTCTGCTCATGTCACAATGCTCCATGTGGGTAGGGTCCAAGGAGGGACTCACATCTCCTAGGTGATAGGCCCAGAGATGTGTCACAATATCCTCTATGGAACATAGCCCTGGCAAAAGAGTACCATCACCTGTGTGCCTTGCCTAGAAATATGTCACACTCCAGGTTGACAGGACCCCAACAAGAGCCCCACATAGCCTAGGTAGCAGGCCCAGAGATATGTCATGATTCCCTTCTTTGGGCATGGCTGTGGCAAAATAGTTCTCTTGCCTGTGTGCCTGGCCTTGCAATATGTCTCTATATTTCCTTTGTGCAGGGCCCATTCCAGACAGGAGAGTTATATAACCTATGAGGCGAATACAGGGATATGTCCTAATAATTTTGGTGGGCATGGCACAGGCAAAAATGTAACATCACCTGGGTGCTAGATCCAGTGATAAGACAATCCTTACGGAGAGAAGGGCCCTGGCAGGAGAGTCACACCACCTTGAGGCTGGCGTAAGTAGATATCACAATCCCATATATGAGCTGAAACAAGTCTAGAGAGTCAGATTACACAAGTGCTTGGCAATAATTTATATCACAATCACACTGTCAGAAAATTCCAAAGGTGAGATTTTAAATACCAATCATTTCTTATTTTCATCTTTGACAATTGACTTCATCCATGTGAGGTAATGATAATTCTTACTGTCAGCTGGGTGTGAGTACAAGACTCACAATTTTACCTGTGTGCTGAGCCCGGCTTTGACTCCCTCTGTATAACCCAAAGACTTGGTAAAATATGTGTGAGTGTTGTAATCTTTTGCAACCTTTGTATAAAAGATGGTCCACGGTATCAGTCATGTCCCTAAAACTAGTTATCTAGTTATAAAAGTCAAAATAGCCTCTATTGCCTGAGTCCACATACGACAGTCATTATCATTCCTGTTAGCCATGCCTAGATATAGGATTTAATTCCCTCTGCGGTTATGAAACAGGCAGAACAGGCACATCACCTAAATGCTGGGCCAGAAATATTCCAGTATTCTTTTTGTAGGCAGGGTTCTGTCACAAATATCATATATTTGTGTGCTCAGTTCAGCTCTGTGTCACAATGTTTCTTGTGGGCAGTCTCCAGGCAGGAGAGGAGAGTCATATCACCAAAATGATGGGCCCAAAAATATGTCACAGTGCTTCCTGTGACAGAGCCCAGGCAAGAGATTTATATCATTTGGATGCAGTGTTTGGAAATGCTACAATTACTAAAGGAAGCCAGGTACAGGCAGGAGAGGAGAGTTATGCAACCTAGATGATGGGTCCAGAAATATGTTACAAATCCCCTTGAGGACATTGTTAAGATAGCACAGTCAAATCACCAAGTTACTTGGCTCAGGTACTTATGAGACTATTGTTTTTGGGCTATACCTATGCAGAATTATTAAATCACTTAGGAGCTGGACAAAGGTATAAGACACAATTACACTTGTGGAAAGGCTTAAGAATAAGGGTCACCATCCTGCATATGTCCTGGCTCCACTCATATGAGTTGTTATTAGACTTTTGCTATGGTTTGTGGTATATGGCACAATATTACCTGGCCAGAAGGAAAGCAAGAAATTCACATAACCTATGAGGGTTTGGCTCCAGTGTGATATCACAACTTACTTTGTGGACAGGACACTGGCTGAAGGGTCACATCACCTGAATGCTGATTTCAGTGACATATGAAAACTTTGTGTGTAGGCAAGACTTTGACAAGAAAGAGACTTACTTCACCTAGGCAATTGGCCTAGATTTATGTCACAATGTCTGTTCTGTGCAGTACAAAAGCTGGAGAGTGACCTCACATTGGTGCTGGGACCAGCAATATGTCACAATCTCCATGTGGTTAGGGTACAGGAAAAGTGAACCAACGTCACCTAGGTGCTCAGCCAAGCGTTATGTTTCAATGCTTTCTGTTGGCAGAATCCCCCAAAAAGAATCACATCACCTGGATGCAGTTATGTGTCACAATGCATTGTAAGTGCAGGGCTAAAGGAGTAGAAGGGAGTCACATCACTTATGTGATGGACCTAGTTATAAAACACAATTCCCTTTGTAGCCATGTTTTAGGCAGATAATTCACATCACCAGGGTGACGATACGAGTGATAAATAAAAGTGCCCTTTGTAGGAGAAACATGGTAGATGTTATATATTGCAAAGGTGTTTGTTATACTTATGGCGCAATTTTATCTGTGGTCTGGGCCTAGAAAAAGAGTCAAATCATTCATGTGCTGGGAAAAGTTACCTGACCCAATCACACGCTCAGAAAAGTTTGCAAATAAGTTTCGCATTCCACATAAGTTCTCGTTTCCTGTATGTAAGTCGTCAACTCTTTCTATGAGTTTGGTGGAAGTAGAGGAGTCAAAATCTCAACAATGGTCAAGATCCATGTATAGGAGCTCCAGTCCCATTGGAAGATTGTGTTCCAGTAGGGGAGTCACAGCACCGCAGGCATGCTGAATCATGGTTCAAATGTTGCCAAAACACCTGTGAATCTAATCCCCGTATGAGAGTAATGATTTCAATCTTTGATGACTTTTATGTGTGAGATTTAGTACCTCATTACTAGGCCCTGTTTATGCGTGAGAATCACAATTGTATCAACTAGGTGTGCATAGAGAGTCACATTCTTGTCTGGTTGCTGGGGATAGTGACTTGTGGCTCAACCATATGTCACTATCCCCAACTGTGTTCAGGGCCCGTTCTGAGGAGAGTTATATCGCCTAAGTGGTTGACACAGTGATGTGTCACAATAATTTATGTGGGCATGGCTCAGCTGATTCTTACTGAGAGTGGGGCCCAGGCAGAAGGGTCAAACCACCTAGAGATTGGCCCTCATAGATTTCAAAATAACATCACTGGGCTGGAACCGGTCTGGAGAGTCAAATCACACAGATGCTCGGAAAAGATTTATATCACAGTCAGACTGGCAGAAAATTCCCAGGATGAGACTAACAATACCACATATGTCCCATTTTTATCAGTGACAGTTGGCTTTATATATATGAGATGGTTACAGTCTTTAACTGTCAGCTGGGTGTTCATATGAGACTCACAATTTCACCTTAGTGATAGGTCCTGTTATGACACCCTCTGTACAAGATGAAGGCTTTTTAAAATCACTTATGCTGTTACAATCTTCTGCAATCTTTTTACCATAAAGAAACTTAATCACTTAAATAACTCTAAAGCAAGTTATGAGATTAAAAATTACTCCTATTTGAGGGTTCTACATATGGGAGTCCTTATCATGCCTGTGAGCTGTGCTTAGATATATGTCACAATTTACACCGTGGTAATGAAACAGGCATGAGAGCCATATAATCTAAATGCTGAGGCAGAAATCTTCCAATATTATTCTTTTTGGCAAATTCCTAGAAGAAAAATCACATAACTTTGGGCCTATGCCCAACTGTATGGCACAACACCCCTTGTGGGCAGTGGTCCAGAAAAGAGGAGAGTCATATCATGTAAATGATAGGTCCAGAGGTAAGTCATAATGTCTCTTGTTGAAAGGATCAGGCAAGAAATTCATATAATTTGAATGCAGTGTTTAAAAATGCTACAATACCCAGTGGAAGCAGAATTCAGGCAGGAGAGGGGACTGAGGTAACCTAGATGATGGATCCAGAGACATGCTACAAACGTGCCTGAGGATAACGTTAAGACAGGAGAATCAAATCACCAAAGTGCTCAGCTGAGATATATGTCCAAATCTCAATTGTGCGCTATACCTAGGCAAGATTACTAAATTACTCAGGAACTGGGCAGAAGTGTATGTCACAATAACACTGGTGGAAAGTTCCAGGAGTGGGAGCCACCATCATGCATATAACCTGGCTCCAGGTTTAAGAGTCATGATTAGTCCTCTTATCTGGTCTCAGTTGTATGGCACAATATCCCCATGGGCAGACAGCAAGCAAAAAGGTCACATCACCTGGGTGGGTGCTGGTCCAGTGAGCTGTCACAATCTTTATTGTGGGCAGACTTCTGGAAGAAGCATCACATCACCTGAATGCTGGTTTAAACGATGTATCAAAATTTCCCTTTTGGGCTTGGCTTAGAAAGGAGAGGAGACTCACTTCACCTAGGCAATTGGTATAGATAAATGTCACAATGGCCACTATGTGCAGGACCAAAGTTTGAAAGTGACCTTAACTTGGCGCTGGATTTAGCAATGTGTCACAATCTCCCCTGTGGTCAGGGCAGGTCAAGAGAGGAGAAACATCATCTAGGTGCTGAGCCAAGTTACATGTTACAAAGCTTTCTGATGGCAGAAACCAAAATGGAGAGTCCCATCAGTTGGGAGCAGTACCCAGTTATGTGTCACAATGCACCGTTAGTGCAGGGCCAAGGCAGTAGAATTGAGTAACATCACTACATGATGAACCCAGACATAAGCCACAGTGCTTTTCATAGGCAGGCATTAGGCAAATAATCCACGTTACCTGGGAGCTGTTCCCAGTGACATGTAAAAGTGCCCTTTGTCTACAGGCCCAGGCACCTATGCTTAGGTGTATGGTCCATGTATATCACAATTTCATCTGTGGTCATGGGCCTAAAGAAGAGAGTCAAATTATTCAGGAGCTGGGCTAACTTTTATGTCCTAATCACACAGTAGGAAATATTCAGAAATGTTTCACAGTCACAGAAGTCCTGGCTTCACGTACGTACAGGAGGAGTCAACACCTCCTGTGAGTTGTGTCAAAGCAGAGGAGTCCCAATCTCAACAATGGGCAAGATCCATGTATAAGATGCCCAGTCCCACTTGAAGATTGTGTTCCAGTAGGGGAGTCACGGCCTCACAGTTGTGCTGAATCATGTATCACCAAACCACCTGTGGGTCAGATTTGTGTATGAGAGAAACAATTTCAACCTTCAACTGATCTTTTTTGTAACAATTTAGTACCTTATTTGTAGATCATATTTTTGTGAGGGAATGACAATCGTGTCAGCTAGGCATGCATCCAAGAGTCACAATCGCACCTGGTTACTGTTCCCTGTTATGACAGTTTGTGTACCACTCAGACTTTATATGATATGCTTGAGTGTCATAATCCTTTGTGAACTTTATGCAATTAGGAGACTCATTTCTTTACTTATGGCCATGAGACTGACCATGAGAGTAAAAATATGTCTCCCTTCTGGGTAAAGATATGATAGTTATATTTGTGTATGTAAGCTGAACTCAGGTATATGTTAAAATTTCACCTGTGGGCAGAAACAAGGCAGCATAATTGCCTTACTTGGATTCCGAGCACAGAATTCATTATAATCTCCTTCATAGGCAGGCCAAGTCAGAAGATTCATGTCAACGGAGAACAGCCTCAATGAATATGACACCATGTCGACTGTAGACAAGGTTGAAGAAAAAGAGGAGAGTCACACCTCCTAGGTGCTTAGCTCAGCAATACGTAATAATTTCCCCTATTGGCTGCCTCCAGAATAAAGGGGATGGTTACATTACCTAGGTTTTGCGCTCAGTAGTATGTCACAATTCCTTTTGTGGGCAGAACCTAGGCAAGAGACGAGAGTCACATTTCCTAGATGCTATGACCACTGATGTCACAATGTGCCTTGGGGCAAAAGTACAGGAAAAATAGGCAAATCACCTAGCTGATCGGCTCAGAGAAATGTGATAATATCCCTTGCTGTCAGGGTCCAGGCAAAAGAGTCACACTGTTATGATTCTTATGCAATGATATGTCAAAATACACACATGGGAAACAATTAAAGCACAAGTTTTAACACCTGGGTACTCGGCACAGTGATATGACACAATCTCCTCATGTTTGAGGGTGACACCTTTAACTGTCAGCTTGGCGTCTGTAACAAAGTCACATTGTCACGTGTGTGTTGGACCACCGAATGACACCCTCTACAACATCCAAGGGCTTCAAACGGCATCCATTATATTTGCAAACTTCTCTGAGGCCCATAGGCTCATATGGACTCACAATCTTATATATTGTCTTAAATCCAGGTATGATAGTCAATATCTCTAATTTAGGCCACATTCAGGAATGAGAAGCATTTTTATGCCTGTGAGCTGGGCCCAAAAATGAGTCACGATTACACCTGTGGCCAGATCCACATGTGAGAGTCACAACTCCATTTTTGTACTGTGTTGTCATGTTAGACTCAGTAACTCCATAGTGTACTTTGTAAATGTGGGATGGTGACAACTTTTACTTTCACCTGGGTGTGAAACTGAGAGTCACAATTTTAACTTTTTGCTGGGCCTTGTTATAAAATGCTCTGTACCACCCATAAAGTTTATACCACAGGAATTCGTGTCGTAAACTTCTGTGAGCTTTGTAGAAATATTCAACCAAGAATTTTTTCTATTGCCATAAGCCTAGTGATGAATGGCAAAATATCTTCCATTGACTGAATCCCAGTATAAGTTTGCTCATCATGCCTGTGAACTGAAGCAAGATATAAACCATAATCCCATTTGTGGGCAAAAAATTAGAAAAAAAAAGTGTAACATTACTTAGGTGATGTGGCAATTAACATGTCACAATATTCTCTCTACACAGAGTCTAGGAAAGAGGGCCACATTAACTGGATACTGGACCCAGCAATATGACACAATTCCACATGTGGAAAAACATAATGAAGAGATGAGAGCCAAAACACTTACAGAATAAGCCAAAGATGTGTCAAAACACCCTCTGTGGCTCTGGCACAGGCAGGACAGTAGCATCATCAGGGTGCTGGACTTATCACTATGCAATAATTATCTCTTTATTCAGGATTCTGGCAGAAGAGTAACATCATCTGGGTGCAATAGGTCAAAATTTCCCTTTGTGGGCATGGTTCAAAAAAAAGAGTAGAGTCACACAACCTAAATGCTGGGCTCAGCAATATGTCATAATCCCACTATTTTAAAAGCCCAGGCAGGGGGCGAGAGTCATATCACTTAGGTCATGGGCTCAGAGATATGTCCCAGTGTCCCCAGTAGGCAGGACTCAGGCAGAAAATGTGGGTCATATCACGTAGGTGCTTCTTTATGTGTACATCACAATATAACACATGGGGAGAACCCAGGCAGAAGAGCCACATCACCTGGGTGCTGGGTGCTGAGATATGTCACAAGTTTCCCTAGGACAGCACTAGATTGAAAGAGTTACATCATCTTGATGCAGGTCTAACTTTTACGTTGCAACGATCTATGTAGGTGAGGCCCAAGCGTTCGGTCACATCACTTAGGTGACAGGCCCAGAGATATGTCACAATGACCTCCTTGAAATATATCCCTGGCAAAAGAGTATCATCACCTGTATGCCCTGGCCTGCCAATATGGCACTACCATTCTCTGTGTTCAGGGTCCATTCCAGAGAGGGGAGTTACATCACCTAAGTGGTGGACACAGTAATATGTCACAATGAT
Organism: Homo sapiens; assembly: GCF_000001405.40. Taxonomy (NCBI): domain Eukaryota; kingdom Metazoa; phylum Chordata; class Mammalia; order Primates; family Hominidae; genus Homo; species Homo sapiens. The sequence continues at coordinate 24,999,269 of NC_000024.10, forward strand.
GCCTGTGAATATGGTCCAGGCAACAATGTAACATCACCTGAATGTTAGATCCAGTGGTATGTCTCAATCCTTACTGAGAAAAGGGTCCAGGCAGGAGAATCACATCACCTAGACGCTGGCTCAGGTAGAGATCACAATCTCATATACATGCTGGAACCTGTCTGGAGAGTCAAATCACACAGATGCTTGGCAAAGATGTGTATGACATTCACACTGGGAGATTATTGCAGAGATGAGATTTACAATAACATACATGTCCTGTTTTCATGTTTCACAGTAGGCTTCATATACATGAGATGCTGACAGTACTTCCTGTCAGCTGGGTGTGCATATGAGACTCACAACTTCATCTTTCATTTGGGTTTTGTTATGGCATTATCTGTACAAGCCAAGGGCTGTAAAATATTTGAGGGTGTTATAATCTTCGGTGACCCTTTTACCAGAAAGAGATCTAAGACATCACTTGCATTGCTAAAGCGAGTTACAAGAGTCAAACTTACTCCTATTTGGGAGGTCCACATATGAGTCATTATCATGCCTAGTGATTTGTCAGAATATTGAGCTGTGCCTAATTATTTGTCAAAATTTACTCTGCAGTAATGAAACAGGCATGACAGCCACATAACCTAAACGCTGAGGCAGAAATGTTCCCATATTCTCCTTGTAGGCAGGCTCCTGGCAGAAAAATCATATAACTTTGGGGCTGTGCCCAACTGTATGGCACAATGCCCCCTATGGGTAGTGTCCAGGCAGAAGAGGAGAGTATATCACTTAAATGATAGACTTAAATGACCAGAGATATGTCACAATGCCTCCTGTTGAAACGGCCAGGCACGTATTATTTATAATTGTAGCCGTTTTAACTGGAGTCATTTGGTATCTTGTGGTAGCTTTAATTTGCATTTTTCTAATGATAATGTTGAGCATCTTCACATGTACTTGGCCATTTGCATGTCTTCTTTGGAGAAGTGTCACATAGTGTATCTTGCCTATTGCTAAATTGTGAGTTAGTTTTGCTGTTACGTTTCTTATATATCTTTATGTTTTTCCATTGTGATATGTATATTTTGCAAATATATTCTCCCACACTGTAAGTTGTCTTTTCACTCTGTTAATTTATTTTTGCTATGTAAATTTTTTTTTTAGATTCTGTTAATTTTATTTGTCTGCTTTTGCTTTTCTTGCCTGTGGTTTTGAGATCTTATTTAAAATGTTTTTCCTGTCCTGTTTAGTAAAGAATTTCTCTATGTCTTATTCAAATAGTTTTATAAGTTTGAGTTTACATTTCAATCTTCTATTTATTTTTATTTAAATTGTTTTAATATGGTAACAGGTAGGCAACTAGTTGTATTCCTCTGTATTTAAATAATCCATTTTCTTAGCACCATTCGTTGAAAAGATTGTCTTTTCTTCAATGTATGTTCTAAGCAACTTAAAAATTACTTGGCTCTAGGTTTATGAATTTTGTTACTGGGATCGTTGGATACTTTGGTCTATGTGTCTGTTTTCTATGCCAGTATCATGCTGTTTTGCTTGTTATAGCTTTGCAGTATGTTTTGGAGTCAGGTAGTTTGATATTTTCAGATTTGTTCTTTTTTCACAGCTATTTGGGGAGTGTTTTTTTGGTTCCCCATAAATTTTATGCCTCTTAATTTCATTTTTGTTCAAAAATGTTCTTGGCATTTTATAGAGTTTGCAGTGAATTTGTAGATTTCCTTGTGTAGCATAGCCATTTTAGCAATATTTTTTATAACTCATGAGCAAAAATATCTTTTTTTTTACTTTTTTCATCAATATTTTATAATTTATAGTGTAGAGAGTGTTTCTCTTTTTAATTAAGTTTACTGCTACACATCTTTATTTTTTATTCTAGATAAACAAAAAGTATTTGGAAAATTTTACGTGACTTTGTAATTAAAAACAACTGAACAAATTAGGTATAAATGATATGTACTTCAACACAGCTAAGGCAAAATATGACAAATCAATAAACAAATTAAATATTGTCACCGGCAGGTCTTCATGATTTTTTTTTTTTAAATTAGAGGACTGGATAGAGAAAGATCATGTATCAAAACTTATACATTTGTCATTAAATTTTAAAACCATGAAGTTTGAATTTTTGCCTACATTTTAGACCAACCATGCTTATTCCTATGAAAAAGCTTGCAGTCTTCAACCGCAGCTCAGAAGAAACAAAAAGGGATGAGCGATGAAAAATCTGGTTTAATATTCTAGTTCTAGGCAATTACCCTGCAAATTTTTCAGTGATGAAAATAAACAGGGTGCCCCCCCAAATCTTGGCAAAGTTAACTATTGCCACTAGTTATCTGGGTTTGTCACAAGCATTTTTTTCTCTTCCTTGTGGAAAGAGGACTCAATTCCACAGCTTTATCTTAGCATTTAGCTGCTAATGAGGAGTCCATGCAATCCCCTGAGGAACATTTTTGTCCCAACCTCAATTCCAAGCCTCAGGTTGAAGCCCTAAGAAAGAATACTGGATCTGAGAAATCCAGAGGCAGATGATTATGGTGGTTAAAATTCACCGTGGAAGTGAGCATGACTAATTCCAGTGGATTAAGCCAAGCCTCACATTTCACGGATAAAGGCCATGATAGTATCTGTTGCATAAATGAAGTCTAATGAACTCCAGAACTACTGAGAGCAGGGAAGATAGGACATATGTAGGTAAGAGCAGATATTTCCACCCCCAACAGGCCTTCCTGTTAACATGAGTGAAAGCTGCTTTGACATCCATGGGTTGCAACCTATCACAATCCCTGGAACTCGGGGATACAAGGATGCAAGGGGGAAAGACAACATTCTTTCTTCTATCCCTCAACATACACTGGATATTTCCTAGAAAGATAAAGGAATCAGGGATACATGGTCTTCACTCTCCTTCTAGATGAGTAGCCATTCATTATCAGTCTATATTCCTTTTAAATGCATCCTGAAATTTTGGGCCTCCTTTGAAAAAATGCTTACTTTTTACCTTGTTTTCTCCTCTGTCTTCTTTTTACAGACAGGTAATCATGTATTCATACTATGGGACAGTCACCTCAGATGCATTCTCCAACCTTAGACTGGTTGGCTTAACTTAGGATTGGACTCAGGGCAAAAGAACACAGAAGCCAGACATGCTGGCAAAAGGGTGAAAGAAAATTTTCAAGTTGTGCTTTTGTCCTTCTCCTTCCTATGTAAACTGGAAAAATACCTTGGAATTTTTGAGCTGTCCTTGCCACCTTCCCCTTGTTTTATTTTACTTTATTTTAATACATGATTTTTAATAACCCAGTTTGATTCTTCTCCCATTTAGGTTACCAAATTCATGCCACCAGAGCCTCAGACAAGGCCCCTTTCACTGGAGACACTTAGGTAGGCCTCTTAGGAAAATCTGACTGCCGGTTTTCCAAAACAGTGCCCCCTGTCAACAGGAAGCTCTTAAAAGTGGTGTTGGTCCTGATCCTTCTCCTCATTCTAATGGCAGTTAGATGTACTTCTTTATATGGGGAAATAACAGAGTTAGAAAACAGCCAATGGTCCTGGGTGAAACCCCATCTTCAAGCCTAAAACAGCATAAAGACTGAAAAATCAGACTGCTTCTCCCAGATGAAGCCTGCCTTTTTTCAACTGATTCTCTCTGAATAGTATCCATGTCCACACTGGGGGAAGTGATTGGAGCCAGGGAAACTTCACTCCTTGTGCAGGGAGAAGGAGACTGGCCTCTGCAGTTCTTGTGTGATGGTTTAGTGTTAATCTACCCAGGAGGTGGGACTTGTAAACAGGACTCCCACTCACTCTGTTGACAGTTTTTCTTTCCTTCTTTTTACCCAATCAACTCTACCCTTCATCCTTCAGAGTATCCCTGGGCCTAATCTTTCCTAGTCACGTGAGAAGAACTCAATTTTGCTGAAGTAAGGAGAAAGTTCTGCAACATGAGGATTGGGAACCCTCATTTATGATAAGCTGAGTATATGCATGTGGATTTATTTTTGCCTTCTCTTATCGGTTTCAACATTTATTTTTCTGTCTTTATGCCAGCACCACACTGTTTTGATTAATGTAACTTTGCAATATGTTTTGAAATACAAAACTATTATTCCTCTGAGTTTATTTATTTTTTTACAGGTTGTTTGGTTACTTGTGGTTTTTTGAGTATTTATAGAAATCATAGGGCAATATGTGTTGGCTCACTCCTGTAATCCTAGAACTTTGGGGAGCCAAGCCAAGGTAGGTGGGTTGCTTGAGCCTAGGAGTTTGAGACCAGCCTGGGAAATATGGTGAAACCCTGTCTCTAAAAAAAAAAAAAAAATACAAAAACTTTCTGAGCATGCCAACATGCACCTGCAGTTTCAGCACTTGTGAGGCTGAGGTAGGAGGATCAACTGAGCTTTGGAGGTCAAAGATACAGTAAGTCATGATTATGATATTATACTGCAGCCTGAGTTACACAGGTAAATATTGACTCAAACATTTTAGAATAATTTAGTACTTCTGCAAAAACTATCACCATTTTTAAACATCTCATTGATCCATAGATCACCTGGTATACCATTAACATCTAAAAAACTTGCACGTTCTAACACTTGAAAAATAGTATGCTCAAGAATATGTCCAGTTTTCAAATATATGCAAACATGATGGTTTTGTTTTAACTTCCAGCTGTATTTTATTGTAGTCAGAAAAAATACTTTTTGTGATTACCATCAGTTTAAATATGCTAAAACTAGCATGCTACCTCACAAGTTTGCCTATCTTAGAAAATGTGTCATATACAATTAGAAGTATTATGTATTATGCTGTTGTTGGGTGAAATGTTTTGTAGATTAACCTGACGTCTTATTTCTCTATTTAACTTTTTATTTTTGTGCATTCTCTTTATCTTTATTTTGTTTCTCTTTATTTTTCATTTTATCTATTAATTTAATTTAATTTTATTTCTATTTTTCTTTTTTCTCATTACATTCTCTTCATTTCAAATATACTTCAACTTGTATCTTGTTTTTAGCAGTTTATTTAATTTTATATTTTTTCTGTTATTTGTTTCTAGTCATATTCCTTCATATTATCTTATTTTTTATCCATATTTCTTTTTTATTTTTTCTCCTTATTCTGAAACTTTTTATTGGAAATTATTTCATTTCTGTTTATTTCTTTTATTTTTTGTATTTATTGTTTATCTTCATTTTATTTTCACTTATCTTAATTACATTTCTCTATTTTTCTCTATTTCGGTTTATTTTATTTGTCCTTACTATTTTTCACTTGCTTTAAATTTATTTTTACATTTTATTTCTCTTGATTTTTTTTTTTTAATTTACCTTTCTATGTTCTGCTTCATAAAACAGAAGAGATAAGATATTTTAGATTGCCCCAGCCATAGTCATCAAGGCTCGTGTTTGCTGAGGTTCTCTCTCAGCTACTCTGCCCCGGAGTCTTCAATCCAAATCATAGTCATGGCATCCTAGTAAGATTGCTAAGATCTCTGGGCAGATCTTTCATTGTTACAGGCCCATCTAGCATTCAGTGTCACGGGCCGGTTTTGCTGCTTTCAGAAGCCCCCTGCAAGCCTCAGTGTTGCTAGGCCAAGACCTGACTGCCTCTTCATTAGTGTCCCAATGGATCCCACAAACATAATCCAAGGTCCTGACTGTTCTTCTCCTTTCCCAGAACAGGATCATACACACTTTACTCCACCAGGACATGTCTAGATCATATGTGTGTCTCTACATTTTATTTTATTTTTTTTTGAGACAGAAGCTTGCTCTGTCACTCATGCTGGAGTGCAGGGACGTGATCTCTGCTCAGTGCAACCTCTGCCTCATGGATTCAAGTGATTCTCCTGCCTCAGCCTCCCAAGTAGCTGAGATTACAAGTGCCCATCATTTTTTTTTTTTTTTTTTTTTTTTTGTATTTTTAGTAGAGATGGTGTTTCACCATATTTGCCAGGCTGGTTTCGAACTCTTGACCTGAAGAGATCCAACCTCCTCGGCCTCCAAAACTGCTGGGATTACAGGTGTGAGCCACCACGCCTGGTTGAAATTTTTTTTTATATTAACTTGACATATAACTGATTTATTGGCGCGGTGGCTTATGCCTACAATCCCAGCACTTTGGGAAGCGGAGGTGGGTGGATCACGCGGTCAGGAGATCGAGACCATCCTGGCTAACACGGTGAAACCCCGTCTCTACTAAAAATACAAAAAATTAGCCGGTCGCGGTGGCGGGTGCCTGTAGTCCCAGCTACTCGGGAGGCTGAGGCAGGAGAATGGCCTGAACCCGGGAGGCGGAGCTTGTAGTGAGCTGAGATCGCACCACTGCGCTCCAGCCTGGGCGACAGAGCGAGACTCCAACTCAAAAAAAAAAAAAAAAAAAAAAAAAAAAAAGAAAATATCAGCTTTATGGGTAGCTATACATGCAAATATGTGCAAAAAATGCTAATGATACGAGGAGATGAACATTTCTACATTTTATCTAAGGATTTCATGGAGTTGCTATTTTACCTTTTCCAGTCTTTATCTCTATATATTCAATGGGAAAATCCTCAATGAAGACTCCTCACTGTGATAGACAAAATGTTCAATTAGTCATTGACAGATGCAGTGAGTTAACTTCTGGTTTTTATTTGGAGCCCTCACAGCTAGGATTAAAAACTGTTGGCTCTAAACTCACATGATGAGGAATTATACTATGCTGTCCTCTTCTATACACTTGTCTACCATCACAATTTTTTGAACTTGCCAAAGGAAATTGTGGGAAATTGTTTCCCTCAGACCTACTCATCTCCGTTTCATAAGTTTTAAGATTGGGCATTGTTTAGATTTCTTATAAGCTCATAATCACAGAGGTCATGTTTGTCAGGAGAAAGCTTTCTTGCAGCAGGATTAAGTAAAGACATTTGCCAACCATGGCTTATGGTTCCTCCAGAGGCAGAATGGAGCTTAAAAACCATTGCTGAAGCCAAAAAGTGGTGAAAGAAGTTGAGGGCTGCCCAGAGGATAAAGAAAAAATGCTACTTTTTACTACCAAAGCAGTCACAGCTCATTTTGGCATTAATCTTGCTTCTGACCACGATATGTTTCTTACTGGTCTTTCTTTGTATTCCACTGATTGTACATTTAAAAAAAGAGGCCTGGATGAGAGTGGTAAAAAAAATAAATTCATCCTTCTATAGCTGATGCCTTGGTGAGCTTTGAAGCACACTGAGCAGAGTCTGAAATCCTTCCTCACTATGGGGTAAGTTGTGTCAAACTCGACACCCATTGAAATGGCACAAGGATCAAGATGTCAAAGAAGAGACTCAGAACCAGTAAATGAGATATGGACTTTTAGTGGAAACTTCCACAGAGAGCAGAAAGTACAGTGTCAGTGGGCCTAGCTGAATAACCAGGCCCACTTGCAAAAAACATGCAGTTTGTATGGCCTTTTTATTTAGCACTTTTTTTTCTGAACAAGCTTTCACCTGTCAGCCCTCATTTAACAAAAATGGAATAGCCTCACTTCCTTGTGTGACCTGTATTCCTATGCCACATGATGGGACAGAACAGGGGCTCAGACATTATTGGCGCGGTGGCTTATGCCTGTAATCTCAGCACTCTGGGAGGCCGAGGCGGGCGGATCACGAGGTCAGGAGGTCGAGACCATCCTGGCTAAGACGGGGTTTCACCGTCTTAGATAGATCTCTCTGAGATACTGTTCTCAGATAGAACTCAGGACAGTATCTCAGATTACTCATAGATAAAGAGTAAGCTCCAGGTTGACCATGACAAGGTTTTTTAGATTTGGAACTCTGAACACTCAGAAGCATCTATTTATAGAGGGTCAGTAACCAGGTATGCCCAAGTCAAGATAACACCGTCAGTTTCATCCATCATACAGGCTGGTTTAGGCAGTGGAGTTTCTTCTTCCTGAGATTTTAGATTCAAAATAGTTATTGCTTTACTTGAATTGTTGTGTTGGCAGGAGTTTATCTGAAAGTCCTGATGTGTGTGCACATTGCAGGTACAGTTGTATAAGTTAATGTGATGGCTTCTTAGTTGGTAGAGTCTGTTTTTGTTACGGGTGTGACTGGGTATATACAGGCTGCTGAGGTGACCGTCTCCATATTCACCGGACCACGACAATATGGGGCCCCAGTTCCACTATTTTCCAAAGTATGACATGCTGAACAAGACCCTGAAATTGTGGTTCACTGTGACCAGGCTGAGGCTGCGCTTTAAAAGGCAGAACTGCCAGCTTGGTGCCTTATTTTCCTTGTCATTCTAATGCATCTTTTGATAAGGAGACCAGAAAAGAGTATTTTAGTACGGAGACCAGAAAAGGGTCTGAATATGTGACAGCCCTCCTCATAGAGTTGGTACTATTTATTCATGACTCTCTTAAGTGTCAAGAAAGGTTGAGAGATCTGCTTCCTGGCACAGCCTGAGTAGGCTAGAGCACTGTGACCCGTAATGCTTAGCTCATGCGGTCTTCACAGAAATTTCAAAAAATCATAGGATACGCGGGGTAGAGAAAGAGCTGGTACAAATAACAACTTGCAGGTGAAATAATTGGAAGCAGGAAGAGAATGGGATCTGCTTGGAAGAGTATACACACTGCCTAGGTGCAGCTGAACAGTCAAGTCTGTTCTCTGATTTGAGCCTTGTGTCTTGGAATTAACAGGTCCAGTTTGGCTCTGGCCTGAGTACTAAAATTTTGGTTCTAGAACCAAATGTGAACTCTGGACTCTGGAATTCCAGTTGGGTTTCACAGGCCGGTGGATTAAGGAGGCCCACATGAGCCCATAAAATGGGCTGTGGGTGGCTTTGCCACACATGACTGGCTGCTTTTGTGCCTAGACTCTCAAGGAAGAGGCATCTTCTTCCTCAAGGCAAGCCCAGGGAGGTCTGAAACTTATGGCTGCCAGTGAAGAAAAATGGTAATGCCTCTGGCCAGTGCTTTTGCCCCTCCTGCCTTGTGGCTTTGGGGATTCAATTTGCTCATCAAAAAATGGGCAATGAAATCCCCTCAGTGACTGGCTGCTCACCCCACATTTGCCTGGCCACTGCACAGAGCCCACTCACCACCTCCAGTTACATCCTGTGCTTCCACTGATTGGCTAGGGGAACATGCTCACTGAAGCCCAGGTGACCTATCCTTTCTCCAATGCACAGCCTCATGCAGATGCCACCCAGCTTTCCTTTTAGATTGTAATCTTAGGGAGTTAGAGAGCACTAACTCATTGACGAATTAATCTGCTCTAACTTACTGACTAATAAATCAATAAGTCACTTAATGTTACAAGATGGGTGTGGGACTTGATACTCTTGATTTCTTTCCTCAGGTGGGACTGCACTGGGCATTGCCATCCTGATTTCGTTGTGAAAAAAGCTAGCAGGTGAGGCAGGATTCAAGGTCCAGGAACAGAACACAGCACCCAGGCTGGCCTGCACAGGGGCCTCTGAGGCCCTTGCAGGCAGGAGGGCTCACTGGAAGTCCAGGCCCCTTTTCTAGGATGGTGACCATAGCCCCTCCCTGGACCTCTGAGGACAGCCTACTTGTTCTGCAACTTGCAACCACTGGATTCTAAGGGGTGAGCATCCAATTGTGTGTGCGTGAGTGTGTGTGTGTATGTGTGCGTGTGTGTGTGTGTGTGTGTGTGTGTGTGTGTGTACATGGCCTTCTGCTTCATTTCCATGGGATGTTCTCCTAGAAGAAATTCCTAGGGAATCCTGGGACTGTGCTGGAGATTCTCAAACTGCCAAATTCAGTAAGAGTTGTCTCAAGAATATAATTAGTAGTATTTTCTGCAGATTACTATGTCAGGGTTTCCTTTGCCAAAAAAAAATGTGTAAAAAACAAAGTTGTTAGTCCTTTACATTATTTTAATTAGGTCATCAAATAAACCTTTTATTTTCTTCAAACTTATTTTTATGACAATCATTGAATTTTTGTTTTCTTCTTTGTTCCAACTGTTACCTGTTTTAGAGAAAAATATTTAAAAAATGTGATACACAATTACTAACAAGTGACAGCAATTTATTTAAAATGCAATTAGATTTCTTAAATGAGTAAACAATTTCAGTAAACTTAGTTTGTGTTACTTGTATAAATTATTTTTCATCTTATCCTCAATCTTAAAAAAATTTAGCTAGGTATGCAATTCAAAATTGATAGATGTTTTATATAGACAACTTAAAAACATTTTATTGGTCATGTTGGGTAGTATAATTCTCACATATTTTATCTTAGAAATCAACACATTTGACAATTGATATTTATAGTATCTATAAAAGTGACTTTATAAACATGCTTTTATAGTTGCTAAAATTTTTGGAGAAAAAAATCTATTCTGGCCTTCATTAGTAAAACTTAAAGATGATAGAAATGAGACTATATTTACTGGCTAAATTAACGACAAAAACTGAAAGAGATTCATTTACTTATTCTTTATCTTTCAGTATCTGATAATGAACAGAATTAAAGATGCTCAGAATCTGCATCAGTATAGAAATAAAGCAAACAGCTCTTGTGAAAGAATTATTGAAAATATACAGAACAAACCTATCAATTATATTTAAAAATTTACCCAATTCATAGTCCAAAAAATACCACTCTTACAGAGGTTTACTACTGGCAGAATCCAGCGTTTCTTATGACCTGATACAACATAACCACTCTTTATATATCATCTGATTGCCCAAAATCTACCCAGAACTGAAGGCTAATCCTGCCAGTTCCTAAAAAGACAGTCTTCACACACAACCCATTTTCATTTAAGCTTGTTTCCCACATCAACCTTTCAGTAATGTCTGCCAGAACTACACTTCTGAAAGTCCAGGACAGCAGGGCAGAAGGGAAGACTACTTAGGTTATAATAAATGTTTTGTTTTGTTTTTCCATATCACACAGTATTTCTGTCCTCAGAGACATTAAGTTGAGGATGAGCTGTTTCAAAACCTAGAAATAAGGCTGGGTGTGGTGGCTCATGCCTGTAATCCTAGCATTTTGGCATGCCCAGGTGGGTGGATCACAAGGTCAGGAGATCAAGACCATCCAGCCTAACATGGTGAATCACTGTCTCTGCTAAAAATACAACAAATTAGCCAGGCTTGGTGGAGGGCACCTGTATTCTCAGCTACTTGGTATACTGAGGCAAAAGAATAGATTTAACCCAGGAGACAGAGGTAGCAGTGAGCCGAGATTGTGCAACTACACTACAGCCTGGGCAACAGAGTGAGATTCCATCTCAAAGAAAGAAAAAATACCTAAAATCAAATGTAAAAAAGTGGCATGATAATTCTGTCTATGCCAGAATATAGAGGAGGAAGACTAAAACCATATTTTGTTAATCTAAATGAAAAGAGTTCAGGGCATTTTAGGTTTCAATACCTGTGGTGAATACCCTTAACATGTGTCAGCCATTCCAGGTTTGACTGCATAGGCTAGCGCTCTGCCTTCCTCCATAGATGTTTAAATGTAGCACCATAATCCAATAATTTTACAAGGTTTTCATACAATTATGATCTCTTTTTGAGAACAATTAATGTCATTTATTATAGATGTTTTCAATTTTTCACTAGAGACAGTAGGCTAATTTTAAAAAGACTATTTTTTAATCATGTAGCTTCTATTACATAGCTAGTTTTGTCTTTTTTACTTCGTGTATATGCCAAAAAGACCTCATGACTTATTAAACATTCAACTATTTACTTGAATAAATTGGCCCTATGCATTTAATCAGCTCAATTATATCAATTTTATGAAGTAAAATGAACAATAACTAAACAAAAATTGGATTAATCGCATTTTCTAATTGAAACAAAATATAAAATATACTAAATAAATAACATTCAATAATGCACACACTGTGAAATTACTCACATGTGAAAGTTATTTTGGGAACACCATTATATTTTACCAAAGCCACTTTCATAATCTGTGAGGAAATTATACAAATAATGTTTTACAAAATTGGACAAAAACAAAATTGTGTATTATGTTTACAGTTAGCCACAAATGAACAGATATAAAAAAAGTAATTTGCATAAGATATTTCAAAGCCAGGAGCAATGACATATTAGATAAATACGTTTAATACAAAGCAGAGAAAATAAATTTGCTTTCAAATTCTTTGAAGATTCTGGTTTGCTGGTGACTTATCAATGCTTGTATAACTACCTATTTCATTCTAATATTTTTCTTTTCTTCTCAAAGTAGGTACATGACCGTAAACAAATACGATTATTCTCTATAAATCTGTTACACCTAAAGTTTATTTTACAGTGATATATCTGTATATTTAAAACCATGTAAACCAAAACTGAAAGTCTGTATATGTTTAGCAGACCAGAGAAGTCATATTTTTAAAAAAAAGTTGGATAAAATGTTTTAAATAGTTGTTCAGAATTCTGAAACATGTAGTTCCATTATACTCAAAGTCTTCATTGCAACCATCATAATAATCTGTAGTTACAAGAAAAACAAAAATGTAAGTGCTAGAAACCATATTCTCAAAATTATTTTCAGTTAAAGACCACTAACAAAGTAACCACTAGAGATGTTATTTCACTGTCACCAGATAGTATATTGTTACCATCTGTTACCTACAACCTTGAGTAAGATGGGAAAAGTTAACATCAGTGGCAAAATACACATTCAATGTAAAATAGCCATAACACAAAAACAACAATTTTGGCTTATTAAAACAAATTAAGTTCACACATTGCCATTAAAAAGGCATTTTTAAATTCACTGTATTTTAATTACATTAATTTGCAAATGGTAAAGGAATTTTCTTCTAAAATTCATATGGTTTCTCTTACTGTGCAGAATGCTATCCTGATCACTTAAAACACTCCTATCATCCTGTCACATATAATACTGCTGTTAACATGGCCAGATGCAGTGGCTCATGCCTGTAATCCCAGCACTTTGGGAGGCTGAAGCGGGCAGATCACCTGAGGTCGGGAGTTTGAGACCAGCCTGACCAACGTGGAGAAACCCCGTGTCTACTAAAAATACAAAATTAGCCAGGCGTGGTGGTGCATGCCTGTAATCCCAGATACTCGAGAGGCTGAGGCAGGAGAAGTACTTGAACCTGGTTGAACCTGGGAATTGGAGGTTGCAATGAGCAGAGATTGGGCCATTGCACTGCAGCCTGGGCAACAAGAGTGAAACTCCAACTCCAAAAAAACAAAAACAAAAACAAAAACAAGACAAAACAAAACAAAACAAAAATACTGCTGTAAACCAACCATTAAGTAGCCTTTCTACTAAGATTTTCTTCATTTACATTAGATTTCAGTTTTCTTAACCTTCCATGAAAAAGAATATAAATCTGTCTATCTAATTTAGAAGAACCTCTCATAACTCTGGTACAGCAACAATTGACCATGTTCTTTCACATAAACACTAGAAATGAAGAGAGCATCAAATGTAAGAGTTAAATTACGTCAATATTCGCTTTTGAAAACAACACTACATTTTATTTTTTGTTTTTGTTTGGGATGGAGTCTCACTCTGTTGCCAGGCTAGAGTGCAGTGGTGCGATCTCAGCTAACTGCAACCTTCACCTCCCAGGTTCAAGCCGTCTTCCTGTCTCAGCCTCACATGTAGCTGAGAGCACAGGCGCTCACCACTACAGCCAGCTAATTTTTTTGTATTTTTAGTAGAGATGGGGTTTTGCCATGTTGGAGAAGATGGTCTTGATCCCTTGACCTCTTGATCTGATCCCCTCAGTGTCCCAAAGCACTGGGATCACAGGCTTGAGACACTGGCCTGGCCTAATTTCTTTTAAAATAAAAAGGTAGGTTTCTTTTAGAGGAAAGTAGTCAAGATTGCCAGCTAGAATCTGCTGGACTGCGTAGTTCTCACAGAGAGAAATGCAAAATATGCATAAATACAGCACCTTAAACTGAAACATCCAGGTACTAGCATTGGGAACAATCAAAGAAACGACTTATCTAATGGAGAATGGAGTAAAGGAAGGTAGAATAATGGGCCATCCGGGAAAAACAAGAAGCCAAGGGAAACTTTCCACCCAGTAAATCAGTAATTGCATGTGTGACCCTGGCAACCCACAATTCTGTCACTGATTTTGCAACCCTCAGGTAAGGAGATACCCTCGTTAACCCACTTCATTATGGCCTTCCGTTTAACAAACAGAGCTACATGGAGTCACAGCAGAGCAGTCACCCAGGCCAGTGCAGAGATTCAAGAGCCTTAGATAATCTGGCTCTCCAGGCTTCCAAGAAAAATTAGCTGCAACTCCAGCAAAGCAGGAGGTTACATCCTTGTACACTCCCATAGGAAACAGGCAGAATCCAGGGGCCTGAGCAGCGATGGTCTGTAGGACTCATTTCCACAATTCCTCACAGGGTAAGATCTACTGGCTTACAATTCCAGCCAACCATTGATAACAGCATTTCACCTCCACGTGATGGAGCTACCAGAAAGAGGGGTGGCCCACCCTCTTTGCTGCTTTGGCAAGTTAGCCATTCCAGCCTTCAGGCTTTGAAGAGCTCAAGCCGACTGGGGACAGAAAGAATCTCCTAGCACAGTACAGGTGCTGTAAAAAGACATGTCCAGATTGCCTGTTAAAGCAGGTCTGCAATCTCATTCCTCCTCACTGGGAAATACTTTCCAACCAGGGTGTCCATCTACCACCACTGGTGCTATTTGATCGATGGAATTTGGAAATGTCTTTGGGATACAGTTCCTGGAGGGAAGAGTGAGCTGCCCTTTTTGCTGTTTGTGTGACTTAGCTGTTCCAGCCTTCTGGCTTTTGAGAATCCAAATAAACTGAGGGTGGAAGTGGTACCTCTGCCCAGCAGAGCTGTCCTACAGAAATGTGGCTAGATTGCTTTTCAAGTGGGTCCCCAATTATGTCACCCTCACTGGGTAAGATCTTTCAACTGAGATTTTTAGCTACCTCCTATATGTGCTTTTGTGCTGGAAACAGGTCTAACCTCCCTGGGACAGGGCTCCCAGAGAAAAGGGCATGTTGCCATTGTTGTTGTTTTGCAGCATTTACTGGTGATAACTTCAGATACTGGAAAATTGGAGATGACTAGAAACTGCAATGGACACTCAGGATAATCCAACAGCCCTTCAGAAAGTGGCCAGATTGTTACGTAAGGGCCTGTTCTCCTATATTCTCTTTGGGAAGGTTCTCCAGGACTGGCCCACTAGCCAATCATTCCCAGAGTTATTGAGCCAGTAGCAAGTTAGCAATTCCCTGGACAGAGACTCCAGCAGCAATTGAAAATACTTCTGCCACTGCCCCTGCAGTAGAACTGTCCTTGCTTCCCTCAGGCTAATGAACAGTCCAAAAACTTAAGTGCGTTATTCACACCTTAAACAAGCTGCAGTTTACCCAAGGAGAAGAGGCCAGTCCATCCTCCTTGGGTTTCACACACTCCTCACTGCTCCTCACCAGACAGTGAACCTCTACTTGGCCAAAAGCAGAGCTCCTCCATCCTGGGCTGACTGCACTGAGGGATTGCTGACCTACATCTCTCTGAGATGCAGCCCCCCAGAAGAGAAGCAAAGAGGTGGGCCAGCAAGCCAGCTTATGTGGTGTCCAGTGGGTTTGGCACAAAAGCATCTGTAGGAAAGTGTGGCCAGTGATGGCCATTTCTCTAGGCTAAACTTTCTCTCATAAGAGACTTTAGCCCTAGAGAACCTGTTGGACCTAATTTCTGCAGGATAGTCTTGCAAATGAGAAGAAGCGTCTCCAACTGAGCACTCCTTGGTCTGCTGGTCTCTCCCAGGGTCCCAGTCTGGCTGCAGCCACTTACAGGGCAGTCTCAGCTCCTCTGGAAGAGTAGTTTACCATACCATGGCATCTGCATTGGTGGACGATGCCTGAGCCCTAACTGCTCCAGCAAAGCAGCCCCTGTGGCTGCACCAGCACACAGGTATGTTCCCCATACTGCAGCTTCTCCAGAGACCATGGCAACTCCTGATATTACTTTGGTGGCACATGTCTGCAAAGGTGGGTTGGACTTTGCTTGATCCATCAGCAAATAAGAATGCAGTATTCCCCTGCCACCCACAGCAGCTTCTACTGTAGATGAAGCTTTGGTGGGCAGAGAGCCAGAAAGGCACAACTCTGCCTTTGTGTTAACACTGTGCAGAGAACTGTGTATTCTCCCACACTCTGAACAATCACTTCTTTATTGGTGGGGCACAAAGAAGGCATCAAACATTCACTGGCCAGCTTCCTGCACCAAGCTAACACAACCAACCATTATTAGCGCAACAGCACACACAGTGTCCAGCAGTTACGTCCTCAGTCACCTCCCAACTTCTTTGCTCCTGCCACTAAGGTAAATGCCCAGAGGCAGGCAGAAAACCCATATCCACTACCACTTTGCTGCAGCTGCGGCATGCTAGTCCTACAAAGTGATGGACTTGAAATATCAAGGAGCCAGAGAAGATGGTTGGAAACAAATACAACTGCCCCAGAGTATGCAGCCTCTGAGTTGTGAGCTGAGCATTGTCTCCCTGCCACCAAAAAAAAAAAAAAAAAAAAAAAAAAAAAAAATTCCCAGGAACAAAGCCCGTAGGCTCAATCTACTTTATACCACAATTGGATATTACAGGCCATTGAATAGGATTAAAAAAAAAAAAAAAAAACTCCATTCAAATGTCAGCAACCTCAAAGATATGCCCACAAAGATTTGACAAAATCCGTGCAAAAATGTTGAAAACACAAAAAACCACAGTGACTTCTTTCATCCAAATGACCAAATTATGTAATTTGGTCATTTCAGCAAGGCCTAAGATGACAGAAGTAGAATTCAGAATATGGATAGAAATAAACTTCATTGAGCTACAAATGTAAGTTGCAACCCAATGCAATAAAAGGAAAAAAATGCAGGAATTAATGGAAAAAACAGCCAATCAGGAGGAAAATGTGGTCAACCTGATAGAGCTGAAAAACACAATACAAAACTTTATAATGTAATCAAAAGTCTTAACAACAGAATAGGCCAAGCAGAGGAAAGAATCTCAGAACTTCAAGACTGGCTTTCTGAAATAAGACAGACAAGAATAGTGAAAAAAGAATACAGAGAAATGAACCAAAGTCTCTAAGAAATACAGGATTATGTAATGAAACCAAATCTATGATTAAAAAGAACATCTGAAATTGATGGGAAGAATGAAAACAACTTGAAATACCTATTTCCAGATATCATCCATGAGAATTTTTCCAGCCTAGACAGAGAGGTCAACATTCAAATGAAGGAAATGTGGAGAACCCCAGTAAGATACCCTACAAGAAGGTCACCCTCAAGACACGAAATCGTGAGATTCTCCAAGGTCAAAATGAAAGAAAAAAATGTGTTAAAGGCAGTTAGAGTGAAAGGCCAGGCCACCTGTAAAAGAAGACCATCAGACAAACAACAAACCTTTCAGCTGAAATCCTACAACTCAAAAGAGACTAGGGGCCAATATTCTACATTCTTTAAAAAAAAAGAATTCCAAACAAGAATTTTCAGAGGAACCGGCCCCGAATATTTCAACATAGGTTCTTTTCTATTTTCCCTAAGTGTTGGCTGGTCTGAGAAATAAAGGGAAAGAGTAAAAAAAAAAAAAAAAAAAAAAGGGAAATTTTACAGCTGGGCCTCTCGGAGTGACATCACATGTCAGCAGGTTCTGTGATGTCCACCTGAGCCACAAAACCAGGAAGTTTTTATTAGGGATCTCAAAAAGGGAGGGGTGTATGAATAGGGAGTGGGTCACAGGGTTCACATGCTTCATAGGGCAATAAAAGATCACAAGGCAAGGGGGCAGAGCAAGATCACAAGGCAAAGGTGAAATTAGAATTACTGATGAAGGTCCATGTCCCAATGGGCATGCACTATCATTGATAAACATCTTAACAGGAAACAGGGTTTGAGAGCAGACAACGGATCTGACTAGAATTTGCCAGGCTGGAATTTCCTAATCCTAGCAAGCCTGAGGGCACTGCAGGAGACCAGGAAGTATTTCATCCCTTATCTTCAACTGCATAAGACAGACACTCCCAGAGCAGCCATGTTAGAGAACTCCCCCTGGGAATGCCTTTTTTTCCCAGGGCTATTCCTTGCTGAGAAAAGAATTCAAGGATATTTCTCCTATTCACTTCCTGCAAGAAGAGAAGTATGATTCTGTTCTGCCTGGCCCCGTAGGCAGTCAGACCTCATGGCTGTGTCCCTTGTTCCCTGAACATCGCTGTTATCCTGTTCTTTTTCAGGGTGCCCAGATGTCATATTGTTCAAACACACATGCTTTACAAACAATTTGTGCAGATAACGCAATCATCACAGGGTCCTGAGGCGACGTACATCCTCAGCTTATGAAGTTGAAAGGATTAAGAGATTAAAGTAAAGACAGGCATTGGAAATTATGAGAGTATTGATTGAGGAAGTGATAAATGTCCATGAAATCTTCCCAATTTATGTTCAGAGATTGCAGTAAAGACAGGCATAAGAAATTATAAAAGTATTCATTTGGAGAACTGACAAATGTCCATGAAATCTTCACAATTTATGTTCTTCTGCCATGGCTTCAGCAGGTGCCTTCATTCAGAGTCCCTGACTTCTCACAACAAGAATTCTATATCTTACCAAAGCAAGCTACAGAAGTAAAAAATAAATATAATCCTATTCAGATAAGCCAACGCTGAGGAACTCTGTTACCACAAGACCGGCCTTACAAGAGCTTCTGAAGAAAGCAGTAAATAAGAGACTATTACAAGTCACTACAAACAAAATAAAAACAAAACAAAAACAAAACAAAACAAAACAAACCCCCAAAAAACCCACTAAAGTACATAAACAGCTGGCACTATAAAGCAACTACATAAATGTGAAAATTAGCCAGCTAAGATCACAGGGACAGAATCAAATCCACGCATAAAAATGCTAACTTTAAATGTAAATGGGCTAAATATCCCAGTTAAAAAACAGAGTGGCAAATTGCATGCAGAGTTAATATCCAAGGGTATGCTGTAACTGAGACACCCATCTAAAATAAGATAACAATAAATTGAAAAAGAAAAATCTACCAAGCAAATAGAAAACAGGAAAAAAGCAGCCGTTGAGATTATAGTTTCTAGCAAAACAGACTTTTAAGTCAACATAGATTTTTTTAAAAAGACAAAAAAGAACATTACATAAGAGTAAAGTGCTATATATGCACCCAATACAGAAACATACAGATTATAAACCAAGTTCTTAGAGACCCTCCAAGATGTTAAGTAAATGGTCTTCATCAGTCGTTACCCTTATATTGCATTCATTCAGTATTAAATCTCTGATGTGGAACACGACATGAGGATTTGTTAAAGGCTTTTCCACATTTTTATCACTTGTGGACTTTCTCTGTAGTATGAATTTTCTTATGTCTAATGAGGTGTGAGAATGAGCTCAATGTTTGGCCGCATTTTTCACATTTGTAGGGTTTCTCTCCAGTGTGAATTCTCTTATGATTAGTAAGGTCTGAGAAGCACTTAAAGGCTTTGCCACGTTCCACGCGTTTTTAGGATGTGTCTCCAGCATGATTTATCTTGTGTTTAATGAAGGTTTAGGAGCAGGTGAAGGTTTGCCACATTCTTTATATTTGTAAGATTTCTCTCCAGGATAAACTTTCTTATGTTCAGTAAGACTTGATAACTTTTTAAAGGCTTTGCCACATTCTTCACATTTGTGTCATCTCTCTGCAATAGGAATTTCCTTTTTTATAGTAAAATGTGAGAACAATGTACAGTCTTTGCCACGTTCTTCATACTTGTAGCATTTCTCCCACTAATTTTTTTTTTTATGTTCACTGAAGTTTGAGCACAACTCAAAAGGTTTGCCACATTTGTTTTGCTATGAGTAGATGACAGACATTGAGGAAAGCCATTAAAACTGCTTTTCTGCCCTTGCAATAACCCACACTTTGGTAGTGTTTCTTTAAAAGTAAGTTATTAAAGTCACAGCTTTCATATTTTATCAGTCACTTTTTGGAATGAATCTTTTATTTTGTGCTCCATCCATATCTCTGTAGTAAAATGAAAACAGCCCAGCTGAAACAAACAAACAAAAAAAGACAAAATTTCTCCCTCATTCGACTCAGGTGAATACACTTGACAAATGTGTAATTATACAAAGCACATTAACAAGGTGACAATAAAATACCACAGGGCCTAATTCCTTTATAAACATATAAGTTTAACATAATATACTTACCAAAATGCCTTTGTGAGAAGTCCAAGACTCAGTTAAGCATTTGCAGCACCAAGTGAGCAAAATGCCAAGAACCACATAGGAGTGTAATAAAAGTATTTCATATTTACCCACTACACACATATTTTATCCTATGAAAAGTGTAGAGACTGACAACTCCTGTCTTACCCCTTCAAAAATAAATAAAACAGTGACATGTCCATGCTTCTGGCTTTTTGAGTTTTTACCAAAGACAAATTCCTACATTCCAAGACAGTGTTGAAAGGAAAGATGGTATACTTTGACTGAGACTAAAGACAAATAACTGTTACAAAAAAAGAAAGACTTCAGTATCATAGGCAGACTATGGGTATCCAGCTGACTGCAGGATCTCAGTGAGAAATATGGGGAACGGCTGGGAGTATTGGATCACACCTGTAATTCTAGCTATTTGGGAGGCTGAGGTGGGTGGATCAGCTGAGGTAAGAAGTTCAAGACCAGCCAGGTCAACATGGTGAAATATCCAGAAATCAGTTATAAAAAATGGAGATATAAATGGTAATATAAAAATTACCAGAGGCGATTTGGGTTAGTTTAGATCTATTTTTAAAAAGAAAAAAAAAAAGTGCTAAAAAGTGAAAATCACCGTGTCAATGATGCTTAATCAGTAAAATAGAAATAAAGAAAAAAACATAAAAATAAATAAATGAAACCAACAAAAGATAAAAGTCACAAAAAGGAATGAAAATTGTGCAGTAGAAGCACAAAAAAAGACTAATATGCAGTTCAACATCAGTAAAAAATTTTAAGAAACTCAAGAAGCTCAGACAATTTCAACTAAGGTTAACACAAAGAGATTTCTAACAAGACAAAACATAAGCAATGTTTTGAAAGTCAGAGAAAAGAAGAGAATCTGGAATTCAGAAATAAAAAATAGATGTGTTATTCATATGTATGCTTCTGCAAGATTACCAGTAAATTTATGAATGTCAATCTTTTGGGCATGAAGGGAATAAGATGACATAGTTAAAACACTGAAATAAATAGCCTAATAAAGAATACTATAGCCTGCAAAATTATCTTTCCAAATGAAAAAAAAAAATGTGGCTATGTTGTAGTCTATATCAGGATGTAACTATGTCATGCCTTTAAGAGACTCATTTCAGATCTAATAAAAATTAGACTGAAAATGGCAGTATAAAAATACATTCCATGCAAGTGTTAATCAAATGAGAGGAGAAGAGGTAACAATTTATTAAGTTGAAAACTGTTATATTTATATAATTTATTTTATGTTAAAATTCACAAGGGACAAAGTAGGACATTCAAATGCAGTAAGAGGGTTCATTCACTGAGAACCTATAAATGCAGGACAGTTATTCCAAACACATAAATCAAACATTGACAGAATTGAATCAAAAATAGGCAGGCAGCAATGAGATAGTGGAAGTATATATCAATACCCCACTTTCAGTAATAAATAAAGCAAGACAGAATATCAATGAGGGAACAAAAACTTGAATGTACTGTACAACAACTACACCTAAGAAATGTATAGAGACAACAGAATAGACTTTCTTTTCAATAGCACATAAAACATTTTCCTAGATGGACCACATGTGACACCACAAAAGAAGTCTTAATTATTTTTCAGTTGAAATTTTACAGAAAATTATTTATAGCCCAGACGGAATGGAACTAGAATTTAGTAACAAAAGAAAAGCAGAAAAACTCCAAAAATATAAAAATTAAGCAACACAGTTTTTTTTTTTTTTTCTTTTGAGATGGACTCTCACTCTGGCACTCCGGAGCTAGGTTGGAGTCCAGTGGCACAATCTCAGCTCCACTGCAATCTCCACCTCCTTGGTTCAAGCCCTACTTGGCCTCCAAAAGTTCTGGGATTAGAGGTATGAGCTACCATGCCCAGAAAACAACGCACTTTTAAGCATGCTGTTTTTCAAGGGTTGGAAGATAAAATATTATGAAGATGTCCATACTGCTTAAAGTGAAGCACACCGGCAACACACTCCTTTTCAATTTTTAATTTTACTTTTCCAAAAATAGACAAAACTCCACAAAATTACTTGAGATTCCAATAAACCATGAAAAGCCTGACAATCTTAAAAATATATATAGGAAGCATTACACATAACAATTTCCAAACACAAAGCAAACCTACATTAATCAAAGGATTGTGCTGCCGGTATAATGGTAGAACACCAAAGTCATGAAACAAAATTCAGCACAGATATAAACTCTTGAATAGACAGGAGAGACATCACCTAGGTTTTGCATTCAGCCATATGTCGCAATTCCTTCAATAAGCAAGACCCAGGCAAGAGAGCGGAGTTACATTTCAATAAGCAAGACCCAGGCAGGAGAGCAGAGTGATATTTCAAAATGTCCTCTGGGTGCGGGACAGAGGCTGGAGAGACACATCACCTAGCCGAAAAGACCAGAAATATGTAATAATATCCCCTGTTGACAGGGCCCAGGCAGAAGAGTCAAGTTATTATGATTCTGTCCCATTGACATGTAACAATAAACCCATGGAAAGGAATATGAGCCAAAAAGTCTCAACACCTGCATACTATGTCCAGTCGTATGACACAATCTCCTCATCTTTGAGAGTGACAGTTTTAACTTTTACCTGAATATGTATATTAGCGTCACAATTTCACATGTGTGCTGGGCCAATATACAACACTGTCTACAGGAGCTGAGGGTTTTATAAACCTGCATAAGAATTGCAAAGCTCTCTGAGGACTACATGCTCCTATGGACTCACAATCTTACATATGGCCCTAAACTCAGGTTTGATAGTCATCATCTCCCTATAGGCAGGGTTAGGGAGGAAGACCCATTATTATGCCAGTGGGCTGGGTCCAGAAATGAGTCACCATCCCAACTTTTGTCAGATTAACATATAAAAGTCAAACCTCCAACTTTGTGCTGTATTCCCTGTTAGACTCAGGACCTCAACCTTGGACATTGTAAACGTTGGATGATGACAACTTTTGATTTCACCTGGGTGTGTAACCAGGAGTCTCAATCTGAACTTTTTGCTGGGCCCTGTTATGAAACATTCTACCACCAAAGAGTTTGAAAAAATATAACTCAGTGTTAAGCTTCTATGACCTTGGTAGAAATATGTAACCCAGGAACTTACCTATTGCCCTAAGCCTAATGATGAGAGGTAAAATATCTCCTATTGGCTGAATCCCAAAATAAGTTTGATCATCATGCCTGTGAACTAAAAGCAAGATATATGTCATAATCCCATATGTGGCCAAATAAGTATGCAGGAGGGAAACATCACTTATATGGTGTGCCAGGCAATATGTCAAATTGCCTTCTTCAGGCAGGGTATAGGGGATATTAGGTCACAATAACCGGGTGCTGGAGCCAGCAATATGACAACATCTCACATGTAGAAAATACCCAGCCAAGTTAGGAGAGCCAAAACATCTGCATTATGGGCTGAAGATATGTCAAAATACCTTCAGTGGCTCCAACACAGGCCGGAGAGTCACATCATAAGGATGCTGGGCTTATCAATATGCAATATGCCATAGTTTCTTCTTTGTGCAAAACCCAGGCAGGTGAGTAACATCATCGGGATGCTGGGCCCTGCAATAGGTCCAAATTCTTTTTTTGTGGGCATGGCTCGGGAACAAGAGGAGAGTCACATATTCTGCGTGCTGGGATCAGCAATGTGCCAAAATCCTCTTAATGTGAAGCCCCAGGCAGAAAAATAGAGTCACATTTTTAGATCATGGGCTCAGAAATATGTCCAAATGTTTCCAGTAGGCAGGGCTCATTGAGACGAGGAAAGTCATATCACCTGGGTGCTTCCCTTCAAATATGCATAATGTAACATGTAAGCAGAAACAAGGTAGAGGAGCCACGTCCCTTGGGTGCTGGGTCCTGAGATATGTCACAAGGCTGTCTTAGGATATCATCCAGGAAAGGGAGTTACATAAATGAGGTACAAATTCTCTGCTTATTCCACAATGCTCCATGTGAGTAGATCCCAGAGAGGGAGTCACTTCAACCAGGTGATAGCTGAAGAGACGTGTCACAGTGTCCTCTATGAAGCACAGCCCTGGCTAAAGAGTACCCTCACCTGTGTGCCTGGCCTAGAAATATGTCACTCTCCAGGTTGGCAGGGCCCAAGCCGGAGAGCCACATAACTTAGGTGACAGGCCTAGAGATATGTCACAGTGCCCTACTTTCAGCATGGCTCTGGCAAAAGAATACCCTCACCTGTGTGACTGGCATTGCAATATGTCACTATCCTTCCTTCGGGCAGGGCCCATTCCAAAGAAGAGAGTTACATCACCTATGAGGTGGACACAGGAATATGTCACAGTAATTTTTGTGGACATGGCACAGGCAAGAATGTAACATCACCTGGCTGCTAGATCCAGTGATCTGTCACAACACTTACTGAGAGAAGAGCCCAGGCATGGCAGTCATATCCCCTTGAGGCTGACCCAGCTAGATATCACAATTTCATATATAAACTGGGACCATTCTGGAAAGTCCAACTACACAGGTGCTTGGCAAATATGTATATCACAATCACACTGTCAGAAAATGTCAAAGGTGAGTTTTATGATACCACACATGTCCTGTTTTTACGTGTGACAGTTGGCTGCAACCATGTGGGATGATGACAGTTATTTCTGTCAGCTGGGTTTGCATACAGGACTCACAATTTCACCTGTGTGCTGAGTGCTACATTGGTTCTGCTTGTATAACCCAAAGACTCTATAAAAGTATGTGTCAATGTTGTAATCTTTTGTGATGTTTGTACAAGAATGTGATCCATGATATCACACATGTCCCTACACCTAGTTATAAGAGCCTAAATATTCTCTATTTGCTGAGTTCACATCTAAGAGTCGTTATCATTCCTGCGAGCCTTGCGTAGGTATATGTTACAATTCCATGAGTGGTTATGAAGCAGGCAGAACAGCCTCATCACCTAAATTCTGGGCCTGAAATATTTCAATATTATCTTTGTAGACAGGGTCCTGTCAGAAATGCCACATGACTTGTGTGCTGGGTCCAGCTCTGTGGCACAATGTCCCTTGTGGGTAGTGTCCAGGAAGAAGAGGAGAGTAATATCACCTAAATGATAGGCCCCAAAATATGTCAAAATGCCTCCTGTTGACAGGGCCCAGGAAAGAGAGTCGTATCATTTAGATGCAGTGTTTAGAAATGCTACAATTACCAAAGTAAGCAGGGTACAGGCAGGAGAGGAGAATCATGTAACCTAGATGATGTGTTCAGAAATATGATACAATCCCTCCTGAGGCCATTGTTAAAATAGCACGGTAAAATCATCAAGTTACTTGGCCAGGTATTTGTCAAAATCTGATTTGTGGGCTATACCTAGGAAGAATTATTAAATCTCTCTGGAGCTGGACAAAGGTATGTGTCACAATTTCACTTGTGGAAAGATTTAGGAATTACAGTCACCATCCTGCACATGTCCTGGCTCCAAACATATGAGTTGTTATTAGGCTTTTGTTTTGGTCTCAGGTATATGACACAATATCACCTGTGGCCAGAAAGAAGGCAAGAAACTCACATCACCTACATGGGTGCAGGTCCAGTGAGATGTTGCAATCCACCTGGTGGGCAAAACCCTTGCAGAATTGTCAGATCACTTGGATGCTGGTTTCAGTGATATATTTTTAAAAAGCCCTCTGTGGGAAGGACTTTGGCATGAGAGAAGACTCACTTCATCTAGGAAATTGGCCTAGATTATGTCACAATGACCATTAACTGCAGTAAGAAGGCTAAAGAGTGCCCTCACCTTGGTGCTGTACCCAGGAATATGTCCCAAGCTCCCTGTGGTCAGGACACAATGAAAAGTGAAGAAACATCACCCAGGTGCTGAGCCAAGTGGTATGTTACTATGTTGGCAGAACCCCCCAAAAAATCACATCTCCTGGGTGCAGTAGCCTGTTATGTGTCACAGTGCTCTGTAACTGCAGGGCCAAGACAGTAGAAGAGAGTGACATCACTTATGTGATGGACCTAAATGTAAGACACAATTCTCTTTTTAGGCAGTTTTCAGGCAGGTAAATCACATCACCTGGGTGACGGTCCCAGTGATATATAAAAGTGCCCCTTATAGGCAGAGACAAGGATGATGTTATATATTGATTAGGGGCTTGTTCCGCATATGGCAAAATTTCATCTGTGGTCTGGGCCTAGAAATGTGCATCAAATTACTCATATGCTGGGAAGGGTTGCATGACCCAATCATACTTTCAAGAAGGTTCAGAAATAATTTTCAGTTCACTCAAGTCCGAGCTTTGAGTATGCGAATCAACACATTCTACGAGTTGGGTTGTAGTACAGGAGTCACAATCTCAGCAATGGGAAGATCCATGTGTAAGAGCCCCAATCCCACCCGAAGACTGTGTTCTAATAAGAGAGACACAGCACCACAGTTCTACTTAATCATGGTTCCAATGCCATCAAACACCTGTGGATCAGATTCACGTACAAGTGTAACAGTTTCAAGTCTTATGTGTGTGAGATTTAGCACTGCATTGGTAGGCTCTGTTCATGTGTGAGAATAACAATTGTGTCAGCTTGGTGTGCATTCAAGAGTCACAATACCACCTGGTTTTGGGTGCCTGTTATGACACTCTTTGTACCACTCAGGCTTTATACGATATGCCTGAGTGGGATACTTTTCTGTGTATTCTTAGAGGTGGGTAATATAGAACTCTACCCATGGCCATAGAGTTATTATTGTGCATGTGAGCTGAATCCAGGTATATGTCCCAAATTCACCTTTGGACAGAGACAAGACAGAAGAGTCTCATCATCTGGATTCTGATCCAGGGATACATTTTATTCTGCACTGTAGGCAGGACTCAGTCAGAAGAATCATATCACCTGGGTACACTCTCAAATAATATGTCATCATGCCTACTGAATACAGGGATTAAAAAAAGTGGATAGTCAAATTCTCTAAGGACTGGGCTCAGCACATCTTCTCGGACTCTCTTGGCAGAGCCCAGGACAAAGGGGAGAGTCACATCACCTAGGTTTTTCACTCAGTGGTATGTCACAATTTCTTCAGTGGGCAGGATTCAGCAGGAGAGGAGATTCACATTACCTAGATGCTTTATCTAGTGATATGTCACAGTGTCCTTTGTGGGCAGGGCACTGGCAGGAGAGACACACCACTTAGCTGATAGGCCTAAAGACATGTGATCATATCCCCTGTTGTCAGGGTCCAAGCAGAGGGTTAAACTATTATGATTCTAAGCAAGGGATGTTTTACAATGCAACCATGGAAAAGAATTTAAGCCTAAAATTCTCAACACCTAGAGGTACTAGGCCTCGTGATATGGCACAATCTCTTCATCTATTAGGGTGACAACTTTGACTGTTTGGTGAGTATATAGGAGTCACAATCTCATGTGTATTCTGGGTGATCCTATGACACAATCTACAACATACAAAGGCTTTAAGCAACATGCATGAGAGTTGCAATCCATTCTGAGGCCTACATGCTCCTATTGACTCACAATCTTACATACTGCTTTAAACTCAGTTATGATAGGCAACATTCCTCTTATAGGCTAGATTCAGACAGAAGACACATTATTATGCCCCTGATGTGGGTCCAGAAGTGAGTTACCATCTCACCTGTAGCAAGATCCATATATGAAAGTCACAATTCCATCTTTGTACTTTATTTACTTGTTAGACTCAGGACTTCAACAGTGGGCTTTGTAAATGTGGGATTTTGACAACTTTTTCTCTCACCTGCATGTGTAATCAAGAGTCAAAACCTTAACTTTTACTGGGCCCTGTTATAAAACTCTGTGTACCAACCAAGGAGTTTATAGATTATGTGTTACTGTTGTAACCTTCTGTGAACTTTGTACAAATTTGCAACTCATAACCTTACCTATTGTTCTAAGTGTAGCCATGAAAGGCAAAACATCTACTATTGGTGAAATTTCAATTTCAGCTTGATCATAATGCGTCTGAATTGAAGGAATGTAAATTTCATACCATTTGTAGAAAAAAAAAAAAACTTTTCAGAAAGGTAGCATACTTAGGTGCTGTGCCAAGCAATATATCACAAGGCCCTCTCAATGCAGGTCTAGAAATTGGGGTTATGATAACTGGGTGCTGGACTCAGCAATAAGACATAAACCCAAATGTAGAATATGTAGGAAAAAGAAATGCATACTAATGATGAGAACAAGATTACCTACAGAATAGGCCCATGGTATGTAAAAATACTTTGTTATTCTAGCACAGGCAAAAGAGTTACATCATCAGGGTGGGGGCCCCAGCAATATGCCATAATTCTCTCTTTATGCTGGACCTAGTAACAAGAGAACTGTCATCTTCATGCTGGGATCAGTGATACATCAAAGTTCCTTTTCATGGGCATAGTTCAGGAAAAAAGGAGTCAATTTACCTAAGTATTGGGCCTAGCAGTATATCACATCACCCCATTCTAAAGGCTCTTGCAGAAAAAAAGATTCACATCACTTAAGACACAGGCTCAGATATATGGCCCAATGTCCCAAGTAGGCAGGACTCATGCAGAAGAGAAGAGTCATATCACCTAGGTGCTTCCTAGGTATATGACACAATCTAACATGTGAGGTGAAGCCAGGCAGAAGAGTCACATCACCTTGATGCTGGGTCCTAAGATATGTCACAAGACTTCCTTAAGACAGGACACAGAAAAGAGAGTTACAAAAAATAAGTACAAAAAAATATCACAATGCTCCATGTGGGCAAGACAGAAGCAGGGAGTCACATCACCTAGGGGACTGGCCGAGAGATATGTCACAATGTCCTCCTTGAGTCATGGCCCTGGTGAAAGAGTACCATCACCCATGTGCGTAGCCTAGCAATATGTCCACTATCCAGGTAAGCAGGACCCAAGCAGGAGAGCAACATCATCTAGCTGATAGGCCCAGAGATTTGTCACAGTGACCTCTTTAGGACATGGCCCTAGCAAGAAAGTACCATCACCTCTGTGCATTATGTTGTTATCCAGGTAAGCAGTACCCAAGCAGGAGTGCAGTATCACCTAGGATAGGCCAAGAGATTTGTCACAATGCCCTCTTTAGGACATGGTACTAGCAAAATAGTCCTGTCACCTCTGTGCCTGGCCCAGCCACATGTCACTATCACCCACTGAGTGCTGTGCCCATTCTAATAAGGAGAGTTGTGTTGCCTAAGTTGTTGACACAGTGGTATGGCCCAGTGATTTCTCTATGCATGGCTTAGGCAAAAATGTAACATGACCTGGGTGCTGGATCTAGTGATATGTCATGATTCTTAATGACAGCAGGGCCGAGGCAGGAGCATCACATCACCTAAAGTTTGGCCCAGGTAGGTATCACAATAACATATGTGGACTGGAACAAGTCTGGAGAACAAAATCACACAGGTGCTTGGCGAAGATTTATATCACTCACACTGGCAGAAAATTCTGAGGATGAGATTTATAATACCACACATGTCCTGTTTTCATGATTGACAGTTGGCATCATATATGTGAGACGGTGACAGTACTTGCTGTCAGCTGAGTGCACATATAAGACTCACAGTTTCACCTTTCTCTTGGGTTCTGTTATAAAACTCTCTGTATGGGCCAAGGTGTTTATAAAACATCTGAGGCTCTTATAACCTTCCTTGTCTTCTTTTTTACCAGAAAGTGATTTAATCTCTCATGTTTCTGAAGCAAGTTATGAGACTCAGAATTAACCGTATTTACGGGGTCCACATATGAGGGTCATTATCATGTCTCTAAGTTGTACCTAGGTATATGTAACAATTTATATTGTGGCTTATGAAATAGGCACGACAGCCAAGTACACTAAATGCTGAGCCAGAAATGTTCTAATATTCTCCTTGTAGGCATACTCCTGGCAGTAAAGTTGCATAAACTGGGGGTTACACCCAGATATATGGCACAATGCTCCTGTGGGCAGTTTCCAGACAGAAGAAGAGACTCATATCACCTAAATGCTAGGACCAGAGATATGCCGCAATGTCTCGTGTTGAAGGGACCAGGAAATGGAGTCATATCATTTGGATGGCATGATTAGAGATGCTGGAATCCCCAGTGGAAGGAGGGTTCAGACAGCAGAGGAGAGTAAGACAACTAGACGAGGGGTCCAAAGCCATGTTACAATCCTTCCTGAGGATATTCTTAAGACAGGAGAGTCAAATTGCCAAGGTGCTCAGCTGAGTAATATGTCCAAATCTCATTTGTGGGCAACATTTAGGCAAGATGATTAAGTCACTCAAGAGATGGGAAATAGACTATGTCACAATAACACTGGTGGAAAGTTTCAGCAATGGGAGTCACCATCTTTGATGTGACCTGGCTTCAGGTCTAACAGTCATGATTAGTCCTCTTGTTTGCTCTCAAGTATATGGCATGATATCGTCTATGGACAGAGAGCAAGCAGAAATGTCACATCACTTGTGAGGGTGCTGGTCCAGTGAGATGTCACAATCTTTCTTGTGGCCAGGACCCTGGAAGAAGAGGCATATCACCTGGAAGCTGGTTTCAGTGATATGTCAAAATTTCTTCTGTTGGGCAGGGCTTAAGAAGGTGAGGAGAATCACTTTACCTACATCTAGGCAATTGGCCTAGATATATGTCACAATGGCCACTAGGTGCAAAACCAAAGTATGAAAATGACCTCACCTTGGAGGTGGGTTTATCAATATGTCACAATCTCCCCTGTGGTCAGGGTGAGGTAGGAGAGTAGAAACATCACCTAAGTGCTAAGCCAAGTGATATGTTACAAAGCTTTCTGTTTGTAGAACCCAGAATGGAGTGTCACATTTTCTGAGTGTACTATCCAGTTATGTGTCACAATGCACCATAATTACAGGGCAAAGGCAGTGGAAGTGAGTCACGTCACTTACATGATGGACCTAGATAAAAGCCACAATGCTTTATATAGGCAGGAATCAAGCAAATAATACACATCTCCTGGCTGCTCATCCCAGTGATATGTAAAAGTGACATTTGTAGGCAGGCCCAGGCACCTTTGCTTAGGTTTTTGGTCCACATATGTCACAATTTCATCTCGGGTTATGGCCTAAAAAGGAGAGTCAAATTACTCAGGACCTGGGCTAACTTTTAAGTCCTAATCATACACCAGGAAATATTCTGAAGTAAGTTTCACAGCCCCACACAAGTCCTGGCTTTATGTATGAAAGTCAACACCTTCTGTGAGTTGGGTCGAAACAGAGGAGACACAATCTAAACAATGGGCATAATCCATGTAGAAGATGGCAATCCCACTTGATAACTGCATTCCAGGGGGAGAGTCCCAGCCTCACAGATGTGCTGAACCATGCAACCCCAAACCACCTGTGAGTCAGATCCACATATGAGAGGAACAATTTCAATCTTTTACTGCTCTTTTGGTGAGATTTAGTACTTTATTTGCAGGTTCTGTTCTTGTGAGAGAATGATAGTCGCGTCAGCTGGGTGTGAATCCAATAATCACAATAGCATTGGTTTGCTGTTCCCTGTTATAACACTCATTGTACTACTCACATTTTCTATGATACGCTGGGAGTGTCATAATACTGTGTGAACTTTATACCACTATGAGAACCATTACTTTGCTTGTGGCCATAAGAATGGCAATGAGAATCAAAATATCTCTCCTCTTTGGGTCCAGGTATGATAGTTGTATTATTGCATGGTATCTGAAGCTGGGTATATGACAAAATTTTACCTGCGGGCAGAAACAGAGCAGGAGAGTCTCATCACCTGGATGGTGAGCTCAGGATACATTATAATCTTAGAGAAACAGAGAAGACTCACATCACCTGGGTGCTGGACTCCGCAATATGTGATAATCCCTTGTTTTGGCAGACTCCAGAATAAAGAGGAGAGTTGCATTACCCAGTTTTTGCAGTCAGCGTTATGTCACAATTCTTTTAGTGGGCAGGACCTAGGCAGGAGAGAAGAATCACATTTCCTAGATGTTATCACCGATGATGTCACAATGTTCTTTGGTGAAAAAGCAGAAGCAAAATAGACAAATCACCCAAGAAATAGGCTCAGATATATGTGACAATATCCCTACTTGGCAGGATCAAGTAGTAAAAAGTCACATTATTGTGATTCTGACCCAACGATATGTCACAATGCACACATGGGAAACAAAGCAGTTTTTACACCTGGGTACTAGGCCCAATGATATGACAATATCTCCTCATCTTTTAGGGTGACACCTTTAACTGTTAACTCATATGTATGTAAGTCACATTGTCACGTGTGTGCTGGGCCATTGTATGACATCCTCTAGAACATCTGAGAGTTTTATACAACATGCGTGAGATTCACAAACTACTCTGAGGTCCACATGCTCATTTTGACTCTGAATATTATATATTGCCTTAAACCCAGATATGAGAGTCAGTATCTCTCATTTATGCTTAGTTCAGGAATGAGGCTTATTTTTATGCCTGTGAGCTGGGTCTAAAAATGAGTGATGGTTGCACCTGTGGCAAAATCCACAAATGAGAGTCACAATTCCATCTTTGTACTGTTTTACTTGTTAGACTCAGTATCTCAGCAATGGGCTTTCTTAATGAGGGGTGGTGACAAGTTTTACTTTCAATTGTGTGTGTAATTCAGAATCACAATCTTAACTTTTTGCTGGGCTTTGTTAGGAAACGCTGTACCACCCAAGGAGTTTATACAATATTAATTATTGTTCTGTGAGCTTTCCTCAAATACGCAACCCAGGATTTTACCTATTGCCCTAAGCCTTGCGATGAGAGGCAAAATATCTTCTATTTGCTGAATCACAATGTAAGTTTGACCATCATACCTGTAAACTGAAGCAAGGTATATTTTATAATCCCATTTGTGGGCAAAAAATTACCAAAAAGAGTAATGTCACTTAGGTGCTGTGGCACGCAGCATGTCACAGTGCTGTCTCTAGGCAGAATACAGAAAGCAGGGTCATGTTATCTGGATGCTGGACCTAGCAATATGACACAATTTTACTTGTTAAAAAAAGAAACTCAACCAAGGGATGAAAGCCAAAACACTTACAGATTTGGCTGAAGATATGTCAAAATGCCCTCTGTGGCTCTGGCACTGGTGGGACTGAAGCATCATTAGAGTGTTGGGCCTACCATTATGCAATCACTCCCTCATTATTCAGGACTGCAGCAGAAGAGTAACATCATCTGAGTGCAATAGGTGAAATTTTCCCTTTGTGGGCATGGTTCAGAAAAAAGGAAATAGTCACATAACCTAAATCCTGGTCTCAGAAATACATCACAATTTCAGCATTTTAAAGGCTGAGGCAAGGGAAGAGAGTCATATCACTTAGGTCATGGGCTTAGAAACATGTCCCAATGTCCCCAGTAGGCAGAAGTCAGGCAGAATTCAGGCAGAAGAGGAGAGTGGTGTCTCATTGGTGCTTCTTTAGGTGTATGTCTCAATCTAACACATGGGCAGAACCAGACAGAAGAGCCATATAACCTGGGTACTGGGTCCTAAGGTATGTTGCAAATCCCGATTAGTTCAGAACCAAGGTGAAAGAGTTACATCACCTTGGTTCAGGTTTCACTTTCATGTCACAATGCTCTATGTGTGTGAGGCCAAAGCATTTAGTCCCATAAACTAGTTTATTGGCCCAAGAGATAGGTCACAAAGTCCCCTGTGAAGCATAGTCTTGGCAAAAGAGTATCATCACCTGTGTGCCTGGCCTAGAAATATGTCATTCTCCAGGTTGTCAGGGCCCAAGCAGGAGAGCCGCTTAACCTAGGTAATAGGTGCAGAGATATGTCACAATGCCCTACTTTGGGCATGGCTGTGGCAAAAAGTACCCACAGCTGTATGCCTGGCTTCACAATATGTCACCATCCTTCCTTTGTGCAAGGCCCATTCCAGAGATCAGAGTTTCATCCCTATGAGGTGCACACACAAATATGTTCACAATAATTTTGGTTGGCGTGGCACAGGCAAGAATGTGAACATCACCTGGATGCTAGATCCAGTGATATGTACAATCCTTACTGAGAGAAGGGCCCAGGCAGGAGAGTCACATCTCCTTGAGGTTGGCCTAGGTAGATATCACAATCCCACATATGGGCTGGAACAAGTCTGGAGAGTCAAATTACACTGGTGCTTAGCAAAGATTTATATCACAATCACACTGTCAGAAAATTCCAAAGATGTGATTTACAATACCACACATGTCCTGTTTTCATGTGTGACAGTTGACTTCATCCATGAGAGATGATGACAGTCCTTACTGTCAGGCGGGTGTGCATACAAGACTCACAATTTCACCTGAGTTGAACCCTGCTTTGACTCTTTCTGTATAAACCAAAGACTCTGTAAAATGTGTGTGTTGTAATCTTTTGTGATGTTTGTACAAGAAAGTGATTCAGGACATCACGCATGTCCCTAAACTGAATTATAAGAGTAAAAATATTCTCTGTTGGATGAGTCCACATATAAGAGTCATTATTATTCCTGCAAGCCCTGCCTAGGTATTTGTTATAATTTGTTCTGTTGTTATGAATCAGGCCTAACAGCCACATCACCTAAATGCTGGGCCAGAAATATTCCAGTATTCTTTTTGCAGGAGGGGTCTTGTCCAAAATATCACATAACTTGTGTGCTAAATCCAACTCTGTTGCACAATGTTCATTTTGGGCTGTGTCTAGGCAGGAGAGGAGAGTCACAGGACCTAAAAGCTGGGCTCAAGCATGTGTCAAAATGCCTCTCAACAGGAGAGTTTCTCCAAAAAAAGAGAGCCATGTCATTTGAATGCAGTGTTTAGAAAAGGTACAATTACTATAGGAAGCAGGGTACAGGTCAAAGAGGAGAGTCATATACCCTAAATAATGGGTCCAGAAACATGTGACTATTTTGCCTGAGGACACTTTTTAGATAGCACAGTCAAATCACCAAGGTGCTTGATGAAGATATTTGTCAAAATCGCTTTTGTAGGCTATATCTAGGCAGAATTATTAAATCACTCAGGAACTGAAATACAATATATGTCACAATTACACTTGCGGAAAGGTTTAGGTATAAGACTCAACTGTGGGCTTTGTAAATGTGGGATGGTGGCAACTTTTAATTCCACCTGGGTGTGTAATCGAGAGTCCCAATTTGAACTTTTTGCTGGCCCCTGCTATAAAAATTTCTACCACAAAGGAGTTTATAAAATGTAAGTTAGTTGTGTAAGTTTCTGTGAGCTTGGTACAAATATGCAGCCCAGGACCTTATCTATTGCCCCAAGCCTAACAATGAAAGGCAAATATTTTCTATTGGCTGAATCCCAGTATAAGTTTGATCATCATGGCTGTGAGCTTAAACTGGGTATATGTTATAATGACATATGTGGGCAAAACACTACGCAGAAGGGTAACATCACTCAGATGCTGTGCCCAGCAATATGTCACAATGCCTTCTGTATGCAGGGTGTAGGAAATTGGGTCACGTTAACTGGGTGCTGGACCCAGAAATACGACACAATTTCACATGTGTAAGAAACCCAGCCCAGTTATGAGAGCCAAAACACCTACATAATGGGCATAATATATGTCAAAATACTTTCGGTATCAGCAGCACAGGCAGGAGCATCACATCTTAAGGGTGCTGGGCCCAGCAATATACAATATGCCATAATTATCTCTTTATGCAGATCCCATGCAGAAGAGTAACATGATCTGCATGCTGGGCAATAATATGTGTCAAATTTCTTTTTTGTAGGCATGGTTCAGGAGAAAGAGAAGAGAAACAGATCCTGAGTCCTGGGCTCAGCAATGTAACAAAATCCTCCTTTTATGAAGGCCCAGGAAGAAAAACAGAGTCACATCACTTAGGTCATGGGCTCAGAGACATGTCCTAATATTCCAACTAGGCAGAGCTCAGGCAGGTGAGGACAGCCGAGAGTCACATATCCTGAGTCCTGGGCTCAGCAATGTGACAAAATCCTCCTTTTATGAAGGCCCAGGAAGAAAAAGAGTCACATCACTTAGGTCATGGGCTCAGAGACATGTCCTAATACTCCAACTAGGCAGAGCTCAGGCAGGTGAGGACAGCCGAGAGTCACATATCCTGAGTCCTGGGCTCAGCAATGTGACAAAATCCTCCTTTTATGAAGGCCCAGGAAGGAAAAGAGAGTCACATCACTTAGGTCATGGGCTCAGAGATATGTCCTAATACTCCAACGAGGCAGAGCTCAGGCAGATGAGGACAGCCATATCACCTATGTGCTTCCATCAAAATATGTCACAATTTAACATGGGGGCAGAAACTATGCAGAAGAGCCACATCACTTGGGTGCTGGGTCCTGTGATATGTCACAAAGTGCTCTTAACACAGCACCTAGCCAAGAGAAATACATCATACTAGGTGAAGGGTCTCTGCTTATGACACAATGCTTCATCTGGTTAGGACCCAGGGAGAGAGTCACTTCATTTAGGTGATAGGCCCAGAGATATGTCACAATGTACTGTGTGAAGCATAGCCCTGGAAAAGGGTACCATCACCTGTGTGCCTGGCCTAGAAGCGTGTCACTTTCGAGGTTGGAAGGACCCTAGCAGGAGAGCCACATAATGTAGGTGATAGACCCAGAGATATGTCACATTGCCCTCCTCCAGGCATCCACAGGATAAGGAGGAACCTTGCCTGTGCGCCGGTCCTTGCGCTATGTCACTATCATTCTGTTGTGCAGTGCCCATTCCAGAGAGGAGACTCACATCAACTATGAGGTAAACACAGAAATATGTCACAATAATTTTGGTGGGCAGGGTGCAAGTAAGGATGTAACGTTACCTGGGAGCTAGGTCCAGTGATATGTCACAATCATTACTGAGAGATAGGACAAGGCAGGAAAGTCATGTCACCTCGAGGTTGGCCTAGGTAGATTTCATAACCCCACCTATGAGCTGGAACAAGTCCGGAGCCTCAGATTACACAAGTGCTTAGCAAAAATTTATATCATACTCACACTGTCAGAAAATTCCAAAGATGAGATTTACCATCTTACCACACATGCCCTGTTTCATGTGTGACAGTTACCTTTATCCATGTGAGATAATGAGTTCTTACTTTCAGCTGGGTGTGCAAACAAGACTCATGATTTCATCTGTGTGCTGAGCCCTGCTTTGACTTTGTGTGTATGACCCAAAGACTTTGTAAAATATGTATGAGTGTTGTAATATTTTGTGACCTTTGTACAAGAAGGAGATCCAGGACATCATGCATGTCCCTAAACTGAGTTATAAGATGCAAAATATCCTCTATTGGCTGAGTCCACACATGAGAGTCATTATCATGGCTGTGAGCCATGCATAGGTATATGTTACAATTCACTCTGTGGTTAAGAAGGAGGCCTGACAGCCATATCACATAAATGCTGGGTCAGAAATATTCCAATATTCTTTTTGTAGTCAGAGCCCTCTCAGAAATATCACATAACTTATGTGCTATGTCCAGCTCTATGGCTCAATATCCCTTGTGGACAGTGTCTAGGCAGGAGAGGAGAGTAATATCACCTAAATGATGGGCCCAAAATTTTGTCACAATTCTTCCTGTTGACAGGTCCCAGGCAAGAGTGTCATATCATTTGGATGCAGGGATTATAAATACTACAATCCACCAAAGAAGCAGGGTACAGGCAGGAGAGAAGAGTCACGTAACCTAGATGAAGGGCACAGAAATATGTTACAAGAGCCCCTGAGGACATTTCAAGATACATCAGCCAGATCACCAAGGTGCTTGACCAATGTATCTGTCAAAATCTCATTTGCTATACCTAGGCAGAATTATTAAATCACTCAGGAGTTGAGCAAAGGTATATGTCACAATCAGACTTGTGGAAAGGCTTAAGTCTAAGAGTCACCATCCTGCACAAGTCGTATGCTCTAGTCATATGAGTTGTTACTAGGCTTTTGTTTTGGTCTCTGGTACATGGCAGAATATCACCTGTGGCCAGAGAGAACACAAGAAAGTCCCATCACCTATGTGGGTCTGGGCCACTAAGACATCACTATTCACCTTGTGGGTAGGAACCTGGTGGAAGAGCCACAGCACCTGGATTTCAGTGACATATCAAAAGCCTCTCTTCTGGGCAGGGCTTTGGCAAGAGAGGAGACTCACTTCACAAAGGCAGTTGGCCTAGATGTTTGCCACAATGTCTATTCCGTGCAGTAACCAAACTGTAGAGTGGCCTCACATAGGTGTTTGTCCCAGGAAATATGTCACAATCTGCCTGTGGTCTGGGCCAAGGCGAAAGTGAAGAAACATCACCTAGGTACTGAGCCAAGTGATATGTTCAATGCTTCCTGTTGGCAGAACCCAAAAAGAAGAATCACATCACTTGAATGCAGTACCCAGTTCTTTGTCACAATGCCCTGTAAGTGCATGGCCAAGGAAGTAGAAGAGAGTCACATCACTTACAGGATGGACCTAGATATATAACAAAATTCCTTTTGTAGAAAGGTTTCAGGCAGATAACTCACATCATCTGGGTGATGGTCCCAGTGACATATGTAAAATTTCCCTTTGAAGGCAGAGCCACGATGGATGTTATCTATTGCTTAGCTGCTTGTTCCACATATGGCACAATTACTTCTGTGATCTGGGCCTAGAAAATGAGTCAAATTATTCATTTGCTGGACAAAGTGACCTATCCCAATATGACACTCTCATATATGTTCGGAAATAAGTTTCACATCCCACACAAGTCCTGGTTTTGTGTATGTGAGTCAATTCTTTCTGTAAGTTGGATCAAAATGGAGGAGTCAAAATCTCAACAATGGGCAAGATTCATGTATAAGAGCCGCAATCCCCCTTGAACATTGTGGTCCAGGAGGGGAGTCACGGCACCACAGGTGTGCTGAATCCTGGTTCAAATGTTAACAAACCACC
Organism: Homo sapiens; assembly: GCF_000001405.40. Lineage (NCBI taxonomy): Eukaryota > Metazoa > Chordata > Mammalia > Primates > Hominidae > Homo > Homo sapiens. The sequence goes on from NC_000024.10 coordinate 25,038,401, forward strand.
TGTGGATCAGGTCCATGTAGGTGAGTAATTATTTCAAACATCGACTGCTTTTTATGTGTGAGATTTAGTCCCTCATTCCTAGACCCTGTTAATATGCGAGAATGACAATCATTTCAGTGAAGTGTGCATACAAGAGTCATATTCTTACCTGGTTGCTGGTCTCTGTTATGACACTCTTTGCACCATTAATGCTTTATATGATATACCTGAGTATTATAATCCTTCGTGACTTTTATACAAGTGAAAAACACAGGGCTTTACCCATGGCCGTGAGACTGGCTATGAGAGTCAAAATATTCCTACAGGCTGGGCCCAGGTATGAGAGTTATTTTTGTCCATGCGTGCTTAACCCAGGTACGTGTCAAAATTTCACCTGTAAGCAGAGACAAGGAAAGGGAGTCAACTCACCTCGACACTGAGCCAGTGATACAGCATAATCTCATTTGTATGCTGGGCCTAGTCAGAAGAGTCACTTCACCCGGGTACAGTTTCACATAATATGTCAGCAAGCCCACTATGGACAGGGAAGAAAAAAGAGAGGACAGTCAGTCCACCTATGTGCTGGACTCCGCAATATGTAACAACCCTCTCTCTTGGTAGAGTCTAGAATATGAAGGAGAGTCACATCATGTAGGTTTTTCAATCAGCGGTATGTCACAATTTGTTTGCTGAGCAAGGCTCAGGCAGGAGGTGAGAGTCACATTACCTAGATGTTAAGCCAAACAATATTTCACAATGTCTTCTGGGTGCAGGACACTGTCAGAAGAGACAAATCCTCTAGCTTATAGACCCATAGATATGTGATAATATCCCCTTTTGGCAGGGTCCAGACAGAAGAGACACATTATGATTCTAACACAGTGATATGTTACAATCCACCCAAGGAAAGGAATTTAAGCCAAATAGTCTCAACACCTAAGCACTATGCCTATTAATAGGCCAAATCCCCTTGTCTTTGAGAGTGACATTATAAACTCTGAGCTGGGTGTGTATATGAGAGTAACAATTTCACTAGTATCCTGGGCCGTTGCATGACTCTCAACAATTTTCAAAAGCTTTATACATCACGCATGAGAGTTTCAAACCACTCTAAGGCCTACATATTCACATGGATTCATGACCTTACATATTCCCCTAAACCCAGGTATAATAGTCAGCATCTCCTCTATAGGCTGGGTTAGAAATGAGACTCATTTTTATGCCTGTGAGCTGGATCTAGAAATAAGTCACAATCCCACCTGTGGCCAGATCCACATACGAAAGTCACAATTCCAACTTTGCACTGCATTCATTTGTAAAACTCAGGTTCTTAACAATGGCCTTTGGACATGTAGAATGATGACAGCACTTGCTTTTACCTGGGTGTGTAATCAAGAATCTCAAACTGAACTCTTCACTGGTCCCTATCACCAAACTCTCTATACCAACAAAGAAGTTCATACATTATGAGTTAGTGTTGTAAAGCTCTGTGAGCTTGGTACAAATATGCAACCCAGACTTTATGTATTGCCCAAAGCCTAGCAATGAAAGGTAAAATATCTCCTATTGGCTGAATCTCAGTATAAATTTGACCATCATGCCTGTGAACTGAAGTCATAGTCCCATTTGTGAGCAAAAAAAGTAGGCCCGAGGGTAACATCACTTAGGTGTTGTGCCAAGCAACATGCCACAGTGCCCTCTCTAGGTAACATAGAGGAATTAGAGTCATGTTAACTGAGTTCTGGACTCAGCAATATGAAACAATCCATTATGTGGAAACAAACAAAAACAAAAGTGAAAAAAAAAAAAAAAAAAACAGCAAAAAGATAAGAGCCAAAACACCTACATAATGGGCCCAGGATCTGTGAAAATACCTTCTCTGCCTCCAGCAAAGTCATGAGTTTTATATTTTCAGGATGCTGGGCCCAGCAGTATGTTATAATATTCTCTACATACAGGACCCACGTAAAGGCGTAACATTATCTGGGTGCTGGGCCCTGCAATAGGCCAAAATTTCTGTTAGTGGGCATGATTTGAGATTAAAAAAAAAAAAGGTGAATCAAATAACCTGATTGCTAGGTTGAGCAATATTTCACAATCTCTCCATTGTAAAGACCCAGCAGAAAAAGAGAGTCACTTCCCTTAGTTCATGGGCTCAGAGATATAGTCCAGTGTACCCAGTGAACAGGGCCCAGGCAGAAAGGGAGACTCATATCACCTAAATGTTTCCCTAGTTATATGCCAAAAACCTTACCCACGGGCAGAAACCAGGCAGAAGAGCCACATCACCTGGGTACAACTGCAAGTAATATGTCACCATCCCCAGCATAGATAGGTTTCTTATAAAATTAGATAATGACACCACGTGGGTGCTCTGCTCACCAATATGTAACAATTCCCTCTCTTGACAGAGTCCAGGAAAAAAAGGGGACTTCTGTCACCTAGGCTCTGCACTCAATGGTATATGACAATTTTTTCAGTGAGGAGGATCCAGGCAGTAAAGATGGGTCAAATTTCCTAGATTCTAAATCCAGCAATATGTCAGTGTCTCCTCTGGGCAAAGTACTGGCAGGAGAGACATATTACATAGCCAATAGGCCTGGAGATATGGGAAAATATCCTCTGTTTGCAGGGCCCTGGAAGAAGAGTCACATTATTTTGATTCTGACCCAGTGATATGTAACAATGCCCTAATGGAATGAAATTTAAACTAAAAGTTCTCAACACCAGCTAGTAGGGCAAGATATATGACAAAATCTCCTCATCTTTAAGGGTGACACCATTAAATGTTAGCTATCTGTGTATAAGAGAGTCACAATCTCATGTGTGTGCTTGCCATTGTATGACACTCTCTATAATACCTGAGAACGTTATGCAACATGCATGAGAGTTGCAATCCTCTCTGAGGCCTACAGGCATTTACAGAATTATGATTATGCATATTGCCCTAAACCCAGGTATGACAGTCAGCATCTCTCCTATAGACTGGTGTTAGGGATGAGATCATTATTATGACTGAGAGTTGGCTCCAAAAATGAGTCACCATCCCACCTGCGGCCATATTCATTTATGAAAGTCACAACTCCATCTTTGTGGTGTATTTGCTTAGACTCAGGATCTCAACAATGGGCTTTGTAGATGTAGGATGGTAAAAACTTACTTTCATCTGAGTGTGCAGTCAAGAATCATAATCTTAACTGTTTGCTGGGCACTGTTAAGAAACCCTTTGTATCACCCAGGAAATTTTTATTACATGAGTTAGTGTTGTAAACTACTGTGAGCTTTGTAGAAATGTGCAATGAGTAACCTGACTCTTTGACCTAAACCTGGTGGTGAGAGGAAAAATCTCTCCTATTGGCTGAATCCCAACATAAGCTTGATCATCATACCTTTGGACTGAAGCAAGGTATTTCTCACATTCCCATTTTTTAGCAACCTATGCAGAATATTAACATCACTTAGGTTCTTTGTCAAGCAATATGTCATGATGCCCTCTGTAAGCAGCACCTAGGAAAGAGGGCCACATTAACTGCAGGCTGGAGTCAGCAATATAATACAACCACACGTGGAAGAAATTCAGCAAAGTGGTAAGAGTGAAAACACCTAGAAAATGGGCCAAAGATATGTCGAAATACCTTCTGCGGTCCTGGCACAAGCAGGAGAGTCACATCATTAGGGTTCTAGGCCAAGAAATATGCCACAATTTTCTCTTTATGCACAACCTAGGCAGAAGAGCAGCTTCATCTGGGTACTGGGCCCTGAAATACGGCAAAAGATCTGTTCCTGGGCGTTGTTCAGTTACAAGATGAGAGTCACATTACCTAAATGCTGAGCTCATCAATATCTCATAATCTTACCATTGTAAAGCCCTAGACAAAAATAGAGTCACATCACTTAGGTCACAGGCTTAGAAATATGGCCCAATATCACCAGTAGGCTGGGTTCAGACAGAAGAAGAGTCATATTACCTAGATGCTTCTTTAGCTATATGTCACAATTTAATATGTGGGTGAAAACCAGGTTGAAGAGCCACATCATGTGGTCCTGGGTACTGAGGTATTCACAAGTCCCTCTTAGAAAAGGACCCAGGCAAGAGAGTTATGTCACCTAGGTGCAGATTCCACGCTTATGTCTCAATACTTCATGTGGGCAGGACCAAGCAGGAAGTCACATCACCTTGGTGATAGGACCAGGTATATATGACAAGGCATTTTTGAAAGCATGGCCCTGGCAAAAGAGTTCCATCACCATTGTGCCTGGCCTAGCAGTATGTCACTATTCAATTGGGCAAGTTTCAAGCAGAAGAGCCGTATCACCTACACGATAGGTCCTGTGATATGTCAAATGCCCTTTTTTGGGCATAGCCCTGGGAAAAGAGCATCATCACCTGTGTGCCTGGCCTAGAAACAGGTCACTATTTTGCCCAGTGTTCAAGGCCCTTTCCAGAGAGGAGAGTGACATCTTCTAACTGATGGACACTGCAATATGTCACAATGATATCTGCGAGCATGGCGCAAGCAAGAATGTAACGTCACCTGTGTGCTGGATCCAATGATGTTATAATTCTGAGTGGAGGGCCCAGGCAAAAGAGTCACGTCACTTCAAGGTTGGCTTAGGTAGATACCAAAATCCCATAGGTAGGCTGGAACCAATCTGAAGGGTGAACTCACACAGGCACTTGGCAAAGATTTATATCAGTCATGATGGAATAAAATTCTAGGGATTAGATTTACAATATCAGGCGTGTTCTATTTTTATGTGGGACAATTGCCTTCATCATCTGTAATGGTGAAAGCCGTTACTGTCAGCTGAATGTACATATGAGAATCCCAATTTTCTCCATGTGCTAGGCCCTGTTATGACTCTCTCTATACGACACAAGGATGTTATAAAATATGTGTGAATGTTGTAATCTTCTGTGACCTTTTTACCAGAAGGAGATGCTGGATATCACTTATCTCCCTAAGCCTAGTTATAAGAGTCAAAATGTTTCCTATTGGCTGGGTTCACATATGAGAGTCCTTATCATGTATTTTAGATGTGTCTACAGATACGGCGCCATCTCATCTGTGGTAATTAAACAGGCAGAAAACGACATCACCTAAATCCTAAGCCAGAAATACCCCAACTTTATTTTGTAGAGAGGGCCCTAACAGAAATATGACAAAACTTAGGTGCTAGACTCAGCTCTATGGCATAATGCCCTTTGTGGAGTGTGTCCAGGCAGTAGAGGAGAGTCATATCACCTAAATGAAGGGCCCAGAGAGATATCACAAAGCCCCCCCTTTAAAAAGCCCAGACAAGAGACTCATGTCATTTGGGTGCAGTGCTTAGAAATGCTACTCTTCACTGGAAGCAGGGTTCATGCAGAAGAGGAGAGTCATGTAACCTAGACAATGGCTCCAGAGATATGTTATGATCACTTCCGAGAACCTGTTAGGACACAAGAGTAAAATCATAAAGGTTCCTGGGAAAGGTGTAGGTCCAAATGTCATCTGCGGGCTATAACAAGGCAGGATTATTAAATCACTCAGGAGCTGGGTAAAGGTGTATGTCACAATAGTACCTGTGAAAATCTGGGGCAGGGATGAGAGTAATGATCCTGTCCTGCACGTGTCCTGGCTCTGGGGACAAGCGTCATCATTAGGCTTTTTATCTGGTCTCAGGTAAATGGAACAATATCACCTGTGGGCAGAGAGAAAAAGGAAAGTTCCATCACCTTAGTGGATGCTGGTCCAGTGAAATGTCTCAATTGTCCTTGTGGCTAGGACTCTGATAGAAGAGTCACATCATCCGGATGCTGGTTTCAGTGACATATAAGATCCCCCCTGTGAGCAGAACTTAGGCAGGAGAGAAGACAAACTTCACTTAGGCAATTGGCCTGAATATACGTCACAATGGCCCCTATGTGTAGGATCAAGGCAGGGGAGTAACCCTCGCTTTGGTGCTAGGTTCAGCAACATGTCACAATCTCTCTGGCGGTCAGGGCACAGGCAAGAGAAAAGAAATATCACCTAGTCGCTGAGCCAAGTAATACGTTACAAAGCTTCCTACTGGCAGAAACTTCATTCTCCAAAAAAGTCACATCACCTGGGTGCAGTACCTAGTTACGTGTCACAATCCACCACCAGAAGTGCAGGGCCAAGACAGTAGAAGGAAGTCATGTCACTTAAGTAATCAACTTATATAAAAACCACAGTGCTCTCTGTAGGCAGGCCTCAGGCCAAGATTTCACATCAGCCAAGTGCTGATCTCAGTGATATGTAAAAGTGCCCTATGTTTCATTACCAAAAAAGATGTTACTTATTGCTTAGGTGCTTGGTGCATGTAAGTCACAATTTCAACTGTGCTCTGGGCCTAGAAAGGAGAGTCAAAACACTCAGATTCTGTGCAAAGTTATACTTCTCAGTTACACACTCAAAAATGTTCAGAAATAAGTTTCACAGTCCCACACAAGTCCTGGATTTGGGTATGAGAGTCAACACCTCCTATAAGTTGGGTTGAAGTACAGGTGTCACAATCTCAAAAATAGGAAAGATCCACATAGAAGAGTCTCAATCCCACTTGAAGATTGTGTTCCAGTAGGAAAGTCAAAGTACCACAGTTTGACTAAATCATAGTTCAAACATCACCAAATCACCTATGGATCAGATTCGTGTATGAGAGTAACAATTTCAAGCTTCAACTGCTTATGTGTGTGAGATTTACTACCTCATTTGTAGGCTCTGTACATGTGTGAAGATGAAAATCATGTCAGTTGTCTATGCATCCAAGAGTCACAATGGAACCTGGTTGCAGGTACCTGTTATGAAACTCTTTGTAACATTCAGGCTTTATATGATATGCCTGAGTAGTATAATTTCCCGTAAATTATTACAGGTGGGAGATCTAGGACTTTACCCATGGCCTTAAGACTGCCTGTGAAAGTCAAATATCTCCCACTGGCTAGGTCTAGGTATGAGAGTTATTATTGTGCTGAATCCAGTTATTATATGAGCTGAATCCAGGTATACATCACAATTTCACCTTTGGACAGAGACAAGAGAGAAGAGTTACATTATCTGGTTGCTGAGCAAGGGATACGTTATAATTTCCTTTTTAGTCAGGACCCAGTCAGAACAGTCATATCACCTGGATACAGTCTCAGATAATATTATCATGACCACTAAACCCTGGATTGAAAAATAGAGGATTGTCACGCCCCTAGGTGATGGGCTCAGCAATATTTTATTATTTCCTCATTAGCAGAGTTCAAGACAAAGCTCACTGGCAGAGTCCAAGACAAAGAAGAGAGTCACATCACCTAGGTTTTGCACTCAGTGGTATGTCAAAATTTCTTCAGTGGCCAGAATCCAGGCAGGAGTGGAGAGTCACATTACCTAGATACTATAGTGATATGTCCCAGTGTCCACTGTGGCAGGGCACTGGCATGAGAGACACCACATCACCTAGCTGATAGGCCCAGAGATACGTGATAATATCCCCTGTTGGCTGGGTCCAAGAAGAAGTTTCACATTATTAGGATTCTGACCCAGTGATAATTCACAATGCACCTATGGGCAAAATTTAAGCCCTAATTCTCAACACTTGGTTACCAGGCCTAGTGATAAGACACACTCTCCTCATCTTTTAGGGTGACACCTTTAACTTTCAGCTAAGGTTGAATATTAGAATCACAATCTCACATGTATGCTGGGCCAATGTATGACACTCTTTACATCCGAGGGCTTTATAAAACCTGCATGAGAGTTGTAAACCTCTCAGCGACCTGCATGCTCATATGGGTTCACAATTTTACACATTGCCCTCAATTCAGATTTGATAGTCAGCATCTCTTTTATATGTAGGGTTAAAGGAGAAGACCCATTATTATCCCACCTCCAGACAGATCCACATATAAATTCACAATTGCAACTTTGTGCCGTATTCCACAGTGGGCATTGTATATGTAGGATGGTGACAACTTTTAATTTTACTGGGGTGTATAATCAGTACTCCAAATCTGAACTTTCTACTGGGCCCTGTTATGAAAGTTTTTACCACCAATGAGTTTATACAATATAAGTTAGTGTTGTAATCTTTGGACTTTGTACAAATATGCAACTCTCTGTGTACAAATATTACTCTCTGTGGTTATGAAGCAGGCAGAACAATCACATCACCTAAATTCTTGGCCAGAAATATTCCAATATTCTCTTTGTAGGCAGGATCCTGTAGAAATGCCACATAAATTGTGTGCTAGATCCAGCTTGGTGGCACAGTGTCCCTTATTGGCAGTGTCCAAGCAGGAGAGGAGAGCTGCCATATCAGGTAAATGATGGAACCCAAAATATGTCACTATGCCTCCTCTTGACAGGGCCCAGGCAAGAGAGTCATATCATTTGGATACAGTGTTTAGAAATGATACAGTTACCAAAGAAAATCATGTACAGGTGGGAGAGAACAGTCATGTAACCTATGTGATGGGCCAGAAATACGTTACAGTCACGCCTGTGGATATTATTAAGATAACACAGTCAAATCATGAAGATGCTTATACCAAGGATTTGTCAAAATCTCATTTTGATGCTATACCTATGCAGAATTATTAAATCACTAAGGAGCTGGGTAAAGGTATATGTCACAGTTACACTTGTGTATCGCTTTAAGACTAAGAGTCACCATGCTGCACATGTCCTGGCTCCAGATATATGTGTTGTTATTAGGCTTTTATTTATGGTCTCTTGTATAAGGCACAATATCGGCAGTGGCCAGAGAGAAGAGAAGAAAATCTCATCAGCTACATGGGTGTGGATTCAGTGAGAAGTCACAGTCTACCTTGTGGACAGGACCCTGGCAGAAGAGTCAAATCACCTGGATGCTGGTGTCAGTGAAATATCAAAACCTCTTCTCTGGGCAGGATTTTTGCTAGAGAGGACACTCACTTCACTTGGGCAATTGGCCTAGCTATTTGTCACAATGCTTCTTATGTGCATTACCAAGGCTGGAGAGTGACCTCACAAGGGTGCTGGACCCAGAAATATGTCACAATCTCCCTGTGGTCAGGGCGAGGACAATGCGAGGAAACATCACCTACATTCTGAGCTAAGTGATATGTTACCATGTTCCAGTTGGCAGAACGCAAAAAGGACAATGATCTCCTGGACACAGTTTCTGCTTATGTGTCAAAATGCACTGTAAGGGCAGGGCCAAGGCAGTAGAAGGGAGTCACTTCAATTCATGGTGGATGTAGATATAAAACACAATTCCTCTTGTAGGCAGGTTTTAGGCAGATAATTCACATCACCTGGGTGATGGTCCCAGTGATATATGAAAGTGCCCTTTGCAGACAAGGCCAAAGAAGGTATTACATATTTCTTAGGTGCTTGTTCAACATAGGGCACTATTTCATCCGAGTTCTGGGCCTAGAAAAGAGAGTCAGATTATTCATGTGCTGGACATGGTTACCTGTCCAAATCACACTCTCAGATATGCTTGGAAATAAGTTTCACATGCCACACAACACCTAGTTTCCTGTACCTGAGCCAACTCTTTCTATGAGGTAGATCTTAGTAGAGGAGTCACAATCTCAACAATGGTCAAGATTCATGTATAGGAGCCCCAATCCCCCTTGAAGACTGTGTTCCAGTAGGGAAGACACAACACCACAGGTGTGCTGAATCATGGTTCAAACTTTACCAAACCACCTGTGAATCAGATCTATGTGTAAGAGTAATTATTTAAACATTTGACTGTTTTTTTATGTGTGAGATTAGTATCTCATTCCTACGCCCTGTTCATGTGTGAGAATGACAATCATGTCAGCTGGGTGTGCATTTAAAAGTCCCATTCTCACTTCATTTCTGGCCTCTCTTATGACACTCATTGTACAATTAAGGCTGTATATGATATACCCGAGTGTTATAATCCTTTGTGAACTTTATACAGTTGAAAAACTCAGGACATAACCCATTGTCGTGAGACTGCCTATGAGAGTCAATTATCTCTACTGGCTGGGTCCAGGTATGAGAGTTATTATTCTGCATGTGTGCTTAACCCAGATATATGTCAAAACTTGGCCTGTGAGCAGGGACAAGAAAGGAAAGTCACATTACCTGGGTGTTGAGCCAATTATACAGTGTAGTATTATTTGAAGGCTGGGCATAGTCAGAAGTGTCAGCTTTATGCTGGTCCAGTGATACAATATAATCTTGGTGATGTGACAGCCTCAAAGATTATGTCACCAAGCACACTATTGCCAGGAAAAAAAGAAAAAGAGGAGTGTCACTCTACTCTACCTCAGTGCTGGGCTTTGCAAACTGTAATAATCTGCTGGCTTGGAAGAGTCTAGAATATGAAGGAAAGCCACATCACATAGATTTTGCAATCAGTGCTATGTCACAACTTCTTTGGTGAGCCACACCCAGGCAGGAGAGTAGAATCACGTGACCCAGATGTTAAGTTAATATTTTCCAATGCCTTCTGGGGGCAGGGAACATGCAGGAGAGAAAAATTCCCCTACTTATAGGTCCAGAGATATGTGATAATATCCCCTGTTGGCAGGGTCCAGACAGAAGAGTCACATTACAATGATATGAACCCAGTGATACGTCACAGTGCACCTGTGGGAAAGAATTTATGCCAAAATGTCTCAACAGGTGGGTACATGGCCTAGTAATATACCAAATTTTGTTGCCTTTGAGGGTGACACCATTAACTGTGAACTGACTGTCTACATGAATATAACAATTTCATGTGTTTCCTGGGCTGTTGATTGACACTCTGTGACATTTGAAGGCTTTATACAGCATGCGTGAGAGTTGCAAACCACTCTGAGGCCTACATGTTTGTATGGATTCATGATCTTACATATTACCCTAAACTCAGGTATAATAGTCAACATCTCTTCTGCAGTTTGGGTTCAGGGATGAGACAGTTTATTATGCCTGTAAGCTGGATCCAGAAATGAGTCACCATCCCACCCGTGGCCAGATCCACATATGAAGGTCACAATTCTGATGTTGTACTGTATTCACTTGTTAGACTCAAGACCTTAACAGTGAGGTTTGGACATATGGAATAGTGACAACGTTTGCTTTTACTTGGTTGTGTAATCGAGAGTCCCAATCTGAATTTTTGCTACTCCCTGTCATGAAACTCTCTGTACTCCACACATTTATACATTATGAGTTAGTGTTGTAAAGGTCTTTGAGTTTGGTACAAATATGCAACCCACAACCTCACCTATTTCCCTTGTTCTAGTGATAAAAGGCAAAATATCTCCTTTGGCTGATTCCCAGTGTAATTTAGACCATCATGCCTGTGAACTGAAGTAAGGTATATGTCATAATCCTATTTGTGGGCCAAAACTAGGCAGGGGTGTAACATCACTGTGCTGTGCCAAGCATCATGCCACAATGCCATCTCTAGGCAGCGTATAGGAATTAAGTCATATTAACTGGGTACTGGACACAGCAATATGACACAATCCCATATGTAGAAAAAGAACAGGCAAAAAATCAGAGCCAAGACATCTACAGAATAAGCTCAGTATATGTCAAAATGCCTTCTGTAGCTGCAGGAAAGCATGACAGTCACATTTTTAGTGTGCTATTATTATATATTAGTATATGCCATAATTCTCCGTGTACGCAAAATCCAGGCAAAAGAGTAACATTATATGTGTGCTGAGCCCTGCAATAGGTCAACATTTCTGTTTGTTTGCATGGTTCAAGAGAAATAGCTGTCAATAAATCTGAGTGCTGGGCTCAGCAATATGTCACAATGCCGTCACTGCAAAGACCAGACTGAAGAAGAGAGTCACTTCACTTAGGTCTTGGGCTCAGAGATAGATCCCACTGTCCCAGTAGGGCAGGGCATGGGCTGAAAAGGAGAGTCATATACCTAGGTGCTTTCCTAGTTGTATGTCACAATCTAACATGTGAGCAGAAATCAGGCTGAAGAGCCACATCACCTGGGTAGACCCTCAGGTAATATGTCACCATGCCCAATGTAGACAGATTTGATGAAAAATAAAAGTAAAAAAAGAATCACAACACCTGGGTGCTGGGCTCAGCAATATGTAGAAATTCCCTGTCTTGGCAGAGTCCAGGACAAATAGGAGAGTCATGTCACCTAGGTTTTGCACTCAGTTGTATGTCACAATTTATTTGGTGGACAGGTTCCAGGCAGGAGTATTACCTAGATGCTGTATCTAGTGATATATCACAATGTCCCCTGTGGGCAATGCACTAGCAGGAGAGACATATCACCTGGCCAATAGGCTTGGGGGTGTGTGAAAATATCCCCTGTTTTCAAGGCCATTATCATTATTCTGACCCAGTGATATGTGACAATGCCCTTTTGGAAAGGAATTTAAACAAAAATGTCTCAACACTGGGGTATGACGCCAAGTGATATGACACAATCTCTTCACCTTTAACGGTGACACAATTAATGGTTAGCTAGTTGTTTATATGACAGTCACAATCTCATGTGTGTGCTGACCCTTGTATGACATTCTCTGCAATATCTGAGAACACTATACAACATGCCTGAGAGTTGAAAACCTCTCTGAGGCCCACATGCTTATATGAACTCATGATCTTACATATTGCCCTAAACCAAGGTATGACTCTCAACATCTCTTCTCTAGGCTGGCTTCAGAGATGAGACTGTTTTTAAGCCTGTGACCTGGGACCAGATATGTATGAGTCACCATCCCACCCGTGACAAGATTAGCTTTTGAAAATCACAACTCCAACTTGGTCCTGTATTCACTTGTTAGACTCAGGACCTTAACAATGAGATTTGTAAATGTGAGAAGATAACAACTTTTACTTGCATTTGAATGTGTAGTGGAGATTCACAATCTCAATTTTTTGTTGGGATCCGTCATAAATATCTCTGTACCACCCAGGAAGGTTTTATGATATGAATCAGTGTTGTAAGTTTCTCTGAGCTCTGTATAAATATGCAATGAAGGGACTAACTTATTGATGTAAACCTAGCAATGCAAGGCAAAATATCTCCTGTTGGCTGAATCCCGATATAAGCTTGATCATCATGTTTTTGAACTGAATCAAGGTATCTGTCATAACCCCATTTGTGGGCAAAATCTAGGCAGAAGGTTAACATCACTTAGGTGCTGTTCCAAGCAATATGTCACAATACTCTACCTAGGCAGGGCCTAGGAAAGAGGGTCACATTAACTGGGGGCTGGAACCAGCAATATGCTACAACAACACGTGGAAGAATACCAGCAAAGTTATGAGAGCCAAAACACGTACAGAAAGGGAACAAGATATATCAAAATACCTTCTGTGGCTCTGGCACAAGCAGGAGAGTCATATCATTACGGGACTGGGCCAAGCAATATGCCCTAATTCCCTCTTTACGCATGACCTAGGCAGAAGAGTAACATCATCCAGGTGTTGGGCCCTGAAATACAGCAAAAGTCTTGTTTGTGGGGGTTGTTCAGCAACCAGACAAGACTTACGTTACCTAAGTGCTGGGCTCATTAACATTTCACAGTCTTCTTATTGTCAAAGCGCAGACAGAATAAGAGAGTCACATCATATAGGTTATGTGCTCAGAGATATGGCCGAATGTCACCAGTAGGCAGGGATCAGGCAGAAAAAGAGAATCATATCACCTAGGTGCTTCTTTAGGTATATGTCACACTTTAATATGTGGGAAAAAACAAGGCTGAATACCATATCACATGGTCCTGGGTCCTGAGATATTCACAAGCCCCCCTTAGAAAAGGACCCAGTCAAGAGAGTTACATCACCTAAGTGCAGGTTCCACACATATGTCACAATGCTCCATGTGGGCAGGGTCAAGCAGGAAGTCACATCACCTAGGTGATAGGCATAGAGATATGTCACAAAGCTTTTCTTTTCTTTCTTCCTTTTTTCTTTTTTTTTTGAGATGGAGCCTCGCTCTGTTGCCCAGACTGGAGTGCAGTGGCACGATCTCGGCTCACTGCAAGCTCCGACTCCTGGGTTCACGCCATTCTCCCACCTCAGCCTCCCAAGTAGCTGGGACTTCAGGCACCTGCCATGGCACCTGCCTTATTTTTTTGTATTTTTAGTAGAAATGGGGTTTCACCGTGTTAGCCAGGATGGTCTCGATCTCCTCACCTCGTGATCCACCCGCCTCGGCCTCCCAAAGTGCTGGGATTACAGGTGTGAGCCACCATGCCCAGCCATAAAACTTTTCTTAAAGCCTGTCCCTGGCTGAACAGTACCATCACCTTTGTGTCTGGCCTAGCAATGTGTCACTATGCAGGTGGGCAGATCCCAAGCAGAAGAGTCATATTACCTGCATGATAGGCCCTTTGATATGTCAAAATGCCTTCTTTTGGGCATGGCCCTGGCAAAAAAAAAAAGTATCATCACCTGTGTGCCTGGCCTATGAATATGTGACTATCCTATCCTATGTGCAGTGCCCATTCCAGAGAGGAGAGTTACATCTTTTAAGTGACGGACACAGTAATATGTCACAATGATGTCTGTGTCATGGTGCAGTCAAGAATATAACATTACCTGGTTACTGCATCCAGTGATGTCAAAATTCTTACTGAGAGCAGGGCCCAGGGAGAAGAGTCAAACCACTTCAAGGTTGGCCCTGGGAGATCTCAAAATTTTATATGTAGGCTTCAACCAGTCTTAAGAATGAAATCACAATGGTGCATGACAAAGATTTGTATCAGAGTCATGATGGAATAAAATTCTAGAAATTAGATTTACAATACCACACATGCCCTATTTTCATGTAGAAGAGTTGCCTTCATCCGTCTATGATGGTGAAAGTTCTTGCTGTCAGCTGGGTTTGCATATGAGACTGACAATTTTCTCGGTGTGCTAGGCCCTGTTATGGCATTCTTTATACAACACAAGGGTGTAACAAAACATGTGTGAGTGTTATAGTCTTCTGTGACATTTTTACCGGGAAGAGATCATTGACATCACTTATGTTCCTAAACCTAGTTATAAAAGTCAAAATTTCTCCTATTGGCTGGGTTCACATATGACAGTCACTATCATGGCCGTTAGTTGCGCCTAGGTATATGCTACCATGCTCTCTGTGGTTATTAAATGGGCAGAAAAACCACATCACCTAAACCATGAGCCAAAAATGTTCCAATATTTTATTTGCAGGAAGGGCCATAACAGAAAAGCCACAAAATTTGGTCATAGGCCCAGGTCGTTGGCATAATGTCCTTGCTGGAGAGTGTCCACACAGGAGAGGAGAGTCATATAACCTAAATGATGGGCCCAGAGAAATGTAACAATGCCTCCTATTGAAAGGGCCCAGGCAAGAGGGTCATGTCATTTAAATGCAGTGCTTAGAAATGCTACACTCTTCACTGGAAGCAGGGTTCATGCAGGAGAGAAAAGTCAAATACCCTAGATGATGGGTCCAGAGATTTGTTACGATCCCTTCTGAGGACACTGCTAAGACAGGGAAGTCAAATCACCAAGGTTTTTGGCCAATGTATATATCAAACTGTTATCTCTGGGCTATAAATAGGCAGGATTATTAAATCACTCAGGAGCTTGGCAAAGGTGTATGTCACAACAACACCTGTGGAAAGGTTCAGGGATGAGAGTCACCATCCTGCAAATGTTCTGGCTCTAGGTACAGGAGTTGTTGTTATAATTTTTTTATCTTCTCTCAAGTATATGGCACAATATCACCTGTGGGCAGGGAGAAGAAAGGAAAGTCACATCATCAGAGTCGGTGCTGGTCCAGTGAAATGTCACAATCCTTCTTGTGGGGAGGACTCTGGAAGAAGATTCACATCGCCTGGATGCTGATTTCAGTGATATATCTAAATTCCTTCTGTGGACAAGGCAGGCGTAGGAAGGAGAGGAGAAAAACTGCTCCTAGGCAATTCGCCTGGATATATGTCACAACTGTCCCTATGGGCAGGAAAATGCAGGAGAATGACCTCACCTTTGTGCTGAGTTCAGCAATATGTTACAATCTCTCTGGTGGTCAGGGCTCAGGCAAGAGAGAAAAAACATCACCTAGGTGCTGAGCTAAGTGATATGTTACAAATCTTTCTATTGGCAGAACTCCACCCAAAAATGAGTCACATCACCTGGGTGCAGTATCCTGTTATGTGTCACTAGGCACCATAAGTGCAGGACCAAGGCAGTAGAAAGAAATGACATCACTTACATGACAGAGCTAGATAAAAGCCATAATGCTCTTTGTAGCCGTGTTTCAGGCCAAGATTTTACATCGGCTGGGCGCTGGTCCCAGAGATATGTAAAAGTGCCCTCTGTCGCATTCCCAAAAAGGTGTTATACGTTGCTTAGGTGCTTGGCGAATGTATGTCACAATTTCAACTGTCCTCTGGGCCTAGATAAGAGATGCAAAACACTCATAGGCTGGGCAAAGCCATATTTCTCAATCACACTCTCAAAAATGGTCAGAAGTAAGTTTCACAGTCCCATACTAGTCCTGCCCTCAGGTATGAGAGTTAACATCTCCTATCAGTTTGGTCGAAGTACAGGAGTCACAGTCTCAACAATGGGCAAGATCCATGTATAAGAGCCCCAACTCTGGCCAGGCACTGTGGTTCATGCCTGTAATCCCAGCACTTTGGGAGGCCGAGGTGGGTGGATCACCTGAGGTCAGGAGTGGCCAACATGGTGAAACCCCGCCTCTACTAAACACAGAAAAAATTAGCCGGGCATGGTGGCAGGTGCCTGTAGTCCCAGGTACTCAGGAGGCTGAGGCAGAAGTATCACTTGAACCCAGGAAGTGGAGGATGCAGTGAGCTGAGATGGCACCACTGCACACCAGTCTGGGCAATAAGAGAAAAACTCTGTCTCAAAACAACAACAACAACAACAATAACAAAAAACCCACTCCCACTTGAAGATTTCGTTCCAGTAGGAGAGTCAAAGCACCACAGGTCTGCTGAGTCATGCTTCAAATGTCACCAAACCACCTGTGGATCAGATTCATGTATGAGAGTAAGAAAAATTTCTACTGCTTATGTGTGTGAGATTTAATATCTGATTTGTAGGCTTTGTTCATGTGTGAGAATGACAACTGTGTCAGCTGGGTGGGTGTCCAAGACTCCCAATAGCACCTGGTCACTGGTGCCTGTTATGACATCCTTTGTACCACTCAGACTTTATGTGATATGACAGAGTAGCGTACTTTTCTATGAATTCTTACATATGTGAGATTGAGGAATTTAACCATGGTAGTCAGACTGTCTAAGGGAATCAAAATAAATCCCCTGGCTGGGTCCAGGCATGAGAGTTATTATTGTGCATATGAGCTGAATCCAGGTCTATGTCACAGTTTCACCTTTGGACAGAGGCAAGAGAAGAGTCACATCACCTGGGTCCTGAATCAGGGAAACAGTATAATCTCCTTGTAGGCAGGACCCAGTCATAAGAGTCATATCAGGTGGGTACAGTCTCAAATAATATGTCAATATGCCCACCGTATACAGGATTGAATAAATAGTGGACAGTCACATCCCCTAGGTGCTGGGCTCAATAGCATGTTACATTTCCCTCTTTTGGCAGAGTCCATAACAAAGAGGAGAGTCATATCACCTAGGTTTTGCACTCAGTGTTCTGCAACAGCTTCTTCAATGGGAAGGATCCAGTCAGGAGGGTAGAGTCATATTACATAGATGCTATATCTAGCAATATGTCAAAATGTTCCCTGTGGACAAGACATTGGCAGGAGAGACATATTCCTTAGCTGAAAGACACAGAGATGTTTGATAACATCCACTGTTTGCAGGGCTCAGGAGAAGAATTACATTATGATGATTCTGTCCCAGTGATATGTAACAAGGCATTCAGGAAAAGGAATTTGACGCAAAAAGTATCAAAACCTGGGCACTAGGCCTAGTGATACGACACAATATCTTCATCTTTGAGGGTAACACCTGTAAATTTTGGCTGACCATGTATATTAGTGTCACAATCTCATGTGTATGCTGGGCCAATATATTACACTCTGTAAAATACCCGTGGGGTTTATGAAACCTGCGTGAGAATTGCAAACCTCTCTGAGGCCTACATGCTCATAGGGACTCACAGTCATACATATTATCCTAAACCTAGGTTTGGTAGTCAACATCTCTCCCGCAGACAGGGTTAAGGGGGAAGACCTATGATTAAGCCTGTGAGCTGGGTCCAGAAATGAATCACCATTTTCCCTGTGGCCAGATCCACATATAAAAGTCACAGTTCACACTTTGCGCTGTATTCCCTTGTTAGACTCAAGATCTCAACAGTGGGCACTGTAAATGTGGAATGGTGACAACTTTTATTTTCAACTGGTTGTGTAAGCGAGAGTCATAATCTGAACTTTTTGCTGGGCCCTGTTATGCAACTCTCTACCAACAAAGAGTTTATACAATGCAAGTTATTGTTGAAAGATTCTATGAGCTTGATACAAATATGCAACCCAGGATTTAACCTATTGCACTAAGCCTAATGATGAAAGGCAAAATATCTTTTATTGGGTGAATCCCAATATAAAGTTCGTCATAATGCCTGTGAAGTGGACCTAAGTATATGTCATACATGAGAGCCAAAGCACCTACCTAATGGGCACAAGAGACATCAAAATATTTGACTCCAGCACAGGCAGGGAGTCAAATTTTAAAAATACTGGGTTCAACAATGTGCAATATGCCATAATTTTCTTTTTATGCAGAACCCAGGCAGAAGAGTAATATCACCTGGGTGCTGGACCCTGCAATAGGTCAAAATTCCTTTCTGTGGGCATCATTCGGGAAAAAGAGGAGAGTCACATATCCTGAGTGCTCTGCCCAACAATGAGTCAATATCCTTATTTTGAAGGCCCAGGCAGAAAAAAAGAGTCACATCACTTCAGTCTTGGTCTCAGACATGTGTCCCAATAGCCCCTCTAGGCATGGCACAGGCAGATTAGGAGAGTCATATCACCTAGGTGCTTCCCTAGGAATACGTCACAACATAACATAAGGACGCACACCGGGCAGAAGAACCACATAATTTGGGTGCTGTGTCCTGAGATATGTCATGAGGCTCTCTTAGGACGTCAGCTAGGCAAGAGGCTTACGTCACCTCAGAGTAGGTTCTCTGCTTATGCCACAATGCTTCATAGGGGTAGGGCCCAAGGAGCAAGTCGCTTCACCTAGGTAATAGGCCTAGAGATATGTGACAATGTCCTCTATGAAGTATGGCCCAGGCAAAAGAGTAACATCACCTGTGTGCTTGGCCTAGAAATATATCAGTCTCCAGATTGGCAGGGCCCAAGTGGGAGAGCAGCATAACCTAGATGATAGGCTCAGAGATATGTCACAATGCCCTTTTTGGGCATGGCGCTGGCAAAAGGCACCTATGCCTTTGTGCCTGGCCTTGCAATATGTCGCTATTCTTTCTCTGTGCAGAGAACATTCCAGAGAAGAGACTTACATCATCTGTCAGGTGGACACAGGCATATGTCACAATAATTGTGGTGGCCATGGTGCAGGCAACAATGTAACATCACCCGGAGGCAAGATCCAGTGATATACTACAATCCTTACTTAGAGAATGGCCCAGGCAGAAGAGTCACATCACCTTGAGATTGGGGCCTAGGTAGATATCAGAATCCCATATACATGCTGGAACAAGCCTGGAGAGGCAAACTACACAGGTGCATGGCAAAGATTGATATCACAATCACACTGTCCAACTATTCCAAATATGAGATTTACAATACCCCACACATCCTTTTTCGAGTGTGACAGTTGGCTTCATCCACGTGAGATGATAACAGTCCTACTGTCAGCTGGATGTGCACACAAGACTCACAATTTTACCTGCATTCCGAGACCTGCTTTGACTCCTTCTGTATAACCCAAGGACTTTGTAAAGTATGTGTGAATGTTGTAATCTTTTGTGACCTTTGTGCAAGAAGGTGATTCAGGACACCATGTATTTCCCTAAACCTAGTCATAAGAGTCAAAATATCCTCTATTGGCTGAATCCACATATAAGAGTCATTGTCATTCCTGATAGGCATGCCTAGGTATATCTTAAAATTCCCTCTGTGGTTATGAAGCAGGCAGAAGAGCAATGTCACCTAAAGGCTGGGCAAAAAACATTCCAATATTCTCTTTGTAGGCAAGGTCTTTTCAGAAATGTCTCAAAACTTGTGTGCTAGATTTATCTCTGTGGCACAATGTATTTGTGGGCAGTGACCAGGCAGTAGAGGAGAGAGATACTACCTAAAACCTGTGCCCAGAAATATGTCACAATGCCTCCTGTTGACAGGATCCGGAAAAGACCGTCATCTCATTTAGATGCAGTGTTTACAAATGCTACAATTACTAAAGGAAGCTGGGTACAGGCCAAACAAGAGAGTCATGTAACCTAGATGATGAGTCCAGAAATATGTGACATTCCCTCTGAGGAGACTGTTAAGATAGCACAGTCAAATCACCAAGGTGGCTGGCACAGATATTTGTCAAAATCTCATTTTGGGGCTATACCTAGGCAAAATTATTAAATCACTCAGGAGCTGGGCAAAAGTATATGTCACAGTTAAACTTGTGGAAAGGTTTAGGAATAAGACTTATCATACTGCACATATTCTGGCTCCAGATAGATGAGTTGATATTAGGCTTTTGTTATGACCTCAGTTATAGAGCACAATATCACCTGTGGCCAGAGAGAAGGAAAGAAAGTTACATCACTTATGTGGGTGGGGGTCCAGTGAGATGTCACAGTCCCCCTTGCAGGCAGGATCCTGGCAGAAGTGTTACATCACCTGGATGCTCACATCAGTGACATTAGAAAACTCCCTATGTGGGCAGGACTTTGGCAGAAGAGGATGCTCATTTCACCTGGGCAATTGTCCTGGATGTTTATCACAATGGCCCTCACGTGCAGTACCCAAGCTGGAGAGTGACCTCACATTGGTGCTGGGCCCAGCGATATGTCACAATCTCCCTTTGGTCAGGGCCCAGGCAAAAGCAAAGAAACATTACCTAGCTGGTAAAACAAGTAATATGTCACATAAATCCTGTTGACAGAACCGTAATAGAAGAATCACTTCACCTGCGTGCAGTACCCGTTATGTGTCACAATGCACTGTAAATGCAGGGACAAAGGAGTAGAAGGGAGTCACATCAATTACATAATGGACCTACATATAAGACACAATTCTCTTGGTAGGCAGTTTTCAGGCAGATAATTCGCATCATCTGGGTAATGGTCCCAGTGATATGTAATAGTGCCCTTCATAGAAAGAGCCAAGGGATGTGTTACATATTGCTCAGATGCTTGTTCGACATATGGCACAATTTCTTCTGTGATCTGGGTGTATAAAAGAGATCCAAATTATTCATGTGCTGTGCAAAGTTACCTGTCCCAATCACACTCTCAAAAAGGTTTGAAAATAAGTTTCACGTCTCACCAAAGTCCTGGTTTCCTGTATGTGAGTAAACACTATCTATGTGCCGGGTCAAAGCAGAGGAGTCACAATCTCAACAATCAGCCAGATTCATATATGACAGCCCATTCTCACTTGCAGATTGTGTTTCAGTTGGTGAGTCACATCACCGCAGTGTGCTGAATCATGGTTCATATGTTACCAAACCACCTGTGAATCAGATTCCTTTATGAGAGTAATTATTTCAGCTTTTGAGTGCTTCTTTATGTGTGAGATTCAAGGGCTACATTAGTAGGCCCTGTGCATGTGTGAGAATGACAATTGTGCATGTGTGAGAATGACACAGATATTTTGCTTTGCCAGTCCAGCTGAGGCTCCCAGGCCACTCAGACTCTGAGGAGAGTCCTGTGAAGAATGACAAACTTGGCACTAAGCAGCTTGCAATCCAGGCATTTCTTCAATATAGAATTAACAACAGAAGCTTTGAGTAAACACAATTGTGGATAATTAACATGGTTAAGAAAGTAGTTCTACAAATGATTAAGGTCAGGTACCATGGTCTAAAATAAATACTATTAGGGGGCAACTTTCCTGGTCGAGCTCCCCACTGAGAGAGCTATCTGGTTCAAAGACTGGTTAATGGAGGTAAAATAAACAGACTTAACTGGGGAAGCCTATATTGTCCCTCATTTTACCCTATGACCTAATATTCTCAAGTAAGAACTGGCCACCTTAAGCCTGTCCAATTATTACAAGCTATGTAACTTTTCAGCCTTCCAAAGCTTTGTGACTCTTCCTTATTACGTTCCCCAGTATTTCCTTTTAATATTTCTGCCACAAACCTGAGTGAATCACAACATACTGGCTCTGTCCAGGTATGAGAGTTATTATTGTGCAGGATTGCTTAACCCAGGCATTTGTCACAATTCCACCTATGAGCAGGAAGAAGCCAGAAGAGTCACATCACCTGGATGCTTAGCCAATTACACAGTATAATCACATTTGTAGGCTGGGCATAGTCTGAAGTCACATCAGCTGGATACAGACTGAAATAGTATGTCATTAATCCGGAGATTGACAGAAAAAGAGAAGAGTCACTCAACCTAGGTGCTGCACTCTGCAATATGTAATAATCCCCTCTCTTAACAAGGAATATGAAGGAGAGTCATATTCCCTAGGTTTTGTAATCAGCAGTATGTTACAATTTACTTGGTGAGCAGAACCCAGACAGGAGAGGTAGGTAGTATGACCTAGATGTTAAGCCAAATGATATTTTACAATGTCCTCTGGGGGCAGGGCACAGGCAGAAGAGACAAATCACCAAGATTATAGGTCCAGAGATATGTGATACTATCCTCTTTTGGCAGGGTCCAAGCAAAAGAGTCACATTTTTATGAATTCTAACCCAGCGATATGTCACAATGAACCCATGGGAAGAAATTTAAGCCAAAATGTCTCAACACCTTGGTACTCTGCCTAGCAATATGCCAAATCTCTTTGTCTTTGAGGGTGACACCATTAACTGTGAGCTGGTTGTGTATCTGATAGTCACAATCTCACATGTTTCCTGGGCCACTGTATGACCCTCTACAACATTTGAAGGCCTTAAACAGCATGCATGAGCATTGCAAACCACTCTGAGGCCTACATGCTTCTATGGACTCACAATATTAGATATTTTCCTAAACCAAGGTATGACAGTCCACATCTGTCTTATATGCTGGCTTCAGGAATGAGACCATTATTATGCCTGTGAGCTGGCTCCAGAAATGAGTCACCATCCCACCTGTGGCCAGATTCACTTACGAAAATTACAATTCCAATTTTGTACTGTATTCACTTGTTAGACTGAGGACCTCAACAATGAGTTTTGTAAATATAGCATGGTCACAACTTTTACTTTCACCTCAATGTGTAGTTGAGAGTCACAATCTTAATATTTTGATGAGCCCTGTTATGAAACTCCCTGTACCACACAAGAAGTATTTATGATACGAGTTAATACTGTAAACTTCTGTGAGCTTTGTACAAATATCCAATGAAAGAACTTACCTATTGACCTAAACCTAGTGATGAGAGGAAAAATATGTCCTATTGGCTGAATATAAGCTTGATCATCATGCCTTTGAACTGAAGCAAGGTATATGTCATAATCCAATTTTTGTGGGGGCAAAACCTAGGCAGAAGTTTAACATCACCTAGGTTCTGTGTGAAGTAATATATCATGACGCCCTCATTAGGCAGGGGCTAGTAAAGAGGGTCACATTAACTGGGGGATGGAGCTTTGTAATATGATAAAACCACACATGGAAGAAAGCAAGCAAAGTGATGAGAGCCAGAATACCTACAGATTTGGCCAAAGATATGTCAACATACTTTCTGTGGCTCTGGCACAGGGAGGAGAGTCACATCATTACGGTGCTGGGCCAAACAGTATGCCATAATTCCCTCTTTATGCACGACCTAGGCAGAAGAGTAACATCATCTGGGTGCTGAGCCCTAAAATATGGCAAAAGGCCTGTTCATGGGCGTTGTTCGGCAACCAGTCGAGAGTCACATTACCTAAGTGGTGGGCTCAATATGTCACAATATGTCAATTGTTTAGGTATATTTCACATACCTAGACAATTTAATAGGTGGGCAGAATCCAGGCTGAAGTGCCACATCACACGGTCCTGGGTCCTGAGACATTTGCAAGCCCTCCTTAGAAAAGGTCCCAGTCAAGAGAGTTACATCACCTGGGTGCAGGTCCCACATATATGTCACAATGTTCCATGTGGGCAGGGCCAAGCAGGAAGTCACATCACCTAGGTGATAGGCATAGAAATATGTCACAAAGCTTTCCTTAAAGCATGTCCCTGGCAAAAGAGTACCATCACCTTTGTGTGTGGCCTAGCAATATGTCACTATTCAAGTGTGCAGGTCCCAAGCAGAAGAGACATATTATCTCTATGATAGGCCCTGCAATATTTCAAAATGCCCTCTTTGGGGCGTGGCCCTGTCAAAATAGTATCATCACCTCTGTGCCACTCCTAGGAGTACGTCACTATCCTGCCCTGTGTGCAGGGCCCATTCTAGAGAGGAGAGTTACTTCTTTTAAGTGATGGACACAGTAATATGTCACAATAACGTGTGTGTCATGGTACAGGCAAGAATGTAACATCACCTGGATGCTGGATCCAGTGATGTTACAATTCTTACTGAGAGCAGGGCCCAGGCAGAAGTGTAACATCATGTCAAGGTTGGCCCAGGTAAATATCAAAATGCCATATGTAGGCTTGAACCAGTCTGAAGAGTGAAATCACACCGGTAACTGGCAAAGATTTATATCACAGTCTTGAAGAAATAAAATTCTGGGGATTAGATTTAGAATACCACACATGTCCTGTTTTCATGTAGGACAGATGCCTTCATCCACCTGTGATGGTGAAATTCCTTGCTGTCAGCTGGGTGTGCATACAATACTCACAATTTATTCTGTGTGCTAGGTGCTTTGTGACACCCTCTATTCAACACAAGGGTGTTAAAAAATATGTGTGAGTGTTGCAATCTTCTGTGACCTTTTTACCAGAAGGAGATTCTACATCACTCATGTCCCTAAACCTAGTTATAAGAGGCAACATTTCTTCTATTGGCTGGGTCCACATAAGAGAGTCATTATCATGCCTATTAGCTGTGCCTAGTTATATGTCACCATCCCGTCTTTGGTTATAAAAGAGATAGAACAAACACATCACCTACATTCTAAGCCAGAAGTATTACAACGTTCTCTTTGTCAGCAGGGCACTAACCGAAAAGTCAGAAAACTTTGGTGCCAGTCCCAGCTCTATCGCATAATGCCTCTTGTGGACAATGTCCAGGCAGGTGAGGAGAGTCATATCACCAAAATGATGGGCTCAGAGATATGTCACAAGGCCTCCTGTTGAAATGGCCCAGGCAAGAGAGTCATGTCATTTGGATGCAGTGTTTAGAAATGCCACACTCTTCACTGAAAGGAGGTTCAGACAAATGGGGAACATCACATTACCTAGATGATGGGCCCATAGATATGTTATAGTTTTTTCTGAGGACCCTCTACAACAGGAGAGTCAAATCACCAAGGTTCTAGGTCCAGGTATATGTCAAAATGTCATATGCAGGCTATAATTAGGCAGGATTATTAAATCACTGAGGAGCTGGACCAAGGTGTATGTCACAATAGCACTGGTGGAAATGTTCAGGAATGAGAGTCACCATTCTGCACATCCTGGCTCCAGGTATAAAGTTGTTATTATTCCTTTGATCTGTCTCAGGTATATGGCATAATTTCACCTGTGGGCAAGGAGAAGAAAGGAAAGTCACATCACTTCAGTGGGTGCTGGTCCAGTGAAATGTCACAATCCTCCTTGTGGGCAAGACTCCTGGAAAAGAGTCACGTCACCTGGATGCTGGTTTAAGTGATATATGAAAATCCACCCTAAGGACAGAGCTTAGGCTGGAAAGGAGACAAAATTCACCTAAGCAATTGGTCTGGAGATATGTCACAATAGCCCCTATGTGCAGGACCAAGGCAGGAGCGTGTCCTCACTTTGGTGCTGGGTTCAGCAACATTTCATAATCTCTCTAGTGGTTAGAGCTCAGGCAAGAGAGAAGAAACATCACTGAGGTGCTGAACCAAGTGTTATGTTACAAAGCTTCCTATTGGCAGAGCGCCACAGGAAAATGAGTCACATTACCTGAGTGCAGTACCCAGTTATGTGTCACAATGCACCATAAGTGCAGTGCCAAGGCAGTAGAAAGAAGTCATATCACTTATGTGATGGACCTAGAAAAAAGCCACAGTGCTGTCTGCAGGCAGGGCTCAGGCCAAGATTTTACATCAGCTGAATGCTGGTTTCAGTGTCATGTAAAAGTGCCCCCTGTCACGTTGCTAAAGGTGTTATATGTTGCTTGTTGCATGTATGTCACAATTTCAACTCTGCTCTGGGCCTAGAAAGCAGAGTCAAAACACTCAGATGCTGGGCAAAGTCACACTTCTCATTCACACACTAAAAAGTGTTCAGAAATCAGTTTCACAGTCCCACACAAGTCTGAGCTTCATGCATGAGACTCAACATCTCCTATGACTGGGTCAAAGTACAGGAGTCACAATATCAACAATGGGCAAGATGCATGTATAAGAGCCCCAATCCCACTTGAAGATTGTGTGTCAGGATAAGAGTCAAATCACCAAAGGTCTGCTGAGTTGTGGTTCAAACATCGCCAAACCACCTATGGATCTGATTCATATATAAGGTAACAATTTCTAGCTTCAGCTGCTTATGGGAGGGAGATTTAGTAAATCATTCATAGGCCCTGTTTATAACAAACATGCCAGCTGGGTGTGCGTCCAAGAGTCACAATAGCACGTGGTCACTGGTGCCTGTTATGACACCCTTTGTACCACTCAGGATTTATATGATATGCCTGACTAGGCTACTTTTCTGTGATTTCTTATAGGTGGGAGATTTGGAATTTATCCGTGGCTGTAAGACAGACTATGAGAGTTAAAATATTCCCCCTGGCTGGGTTCATGTATGAGAGTTATTATTGTGCAAGTGTGCTGATTTCTGGTATGTATCACAATTTTCCCTTTGGACAGAAACAAGGCATAAGAGTCACATCATTTGCATACTGAGCCATGGATACACTATAATCTCCTCTGTGGTAAGGAGCCAGTGACATGGGTCATATCACTGGGTACAATCTCAAATAATATGTCATCTTGACAACTGCATACAGGGTTGAAAAAATAGTGGATAGTTACATCCTCTACGTGCTGGGCTCAGCAATATGATATAATCGCTGCTCTTAACAGAGTCCAGGACAAAGGGGAGAGTCACATCACCTGTGTTTTGCACTCAGGGGTATGTCACAATTTCATCAGTGGGCAGGATCCAGGCAGAAGAGGTGAGTCACATTACCTTGATGCTATATCTAGTGGTATGTCATAGTGTTCCCTGTGGGCAAGACACTGGCAGGAGAGACACATCACCTAGCAAACAGGACTAGAGATATGTGATAATATTTCCTGTTTGCTAGGTCCAAGAACAAGAGTACACATTATTATGATCCTAACCCGGCGATATTTCAAAATCCACCTATGGTCAAGAATTTAAGCCACTAATCTCAACACCTAGGGTTACCAGGCATAGTGATATGACACAATCTCCTTATCTTTTTGGGTGACACTTTTTACTGGTATGTATGTAAGTGTCACAATGTAACGTGTTCTGGGTCATTGTGTGACACATTCTACAATATTCAAAGGCTTTATGTAACATGCATGAGATTTGCAATCCATTCTGAGGCCTACATGCTCCTGTTGACTCACAATCTTATGTATTGCTTTAAATTCAGTTATGATAGACAACATCTCTCTTATAGGCTGGGTTCAGACAGGAGACCCATTATTATGTCTGTGATCTGAGTCCAGAACTGAATCACCATCTCAACTGTAGCAACACACACATATGAAAGTCCCAATTCCATCTTTGTACTTTATTTACTTGTTAGACTGAGGACTTCAACAGTGGTCTTTTTAAATGTGGGATAATGAAATCTTCATCTCTCTCCTGCATGACATGTGTAATCAAGAGTCACGATCTTAACCTTTTGCTAGGCCCTGTTATAAAACTCTGTGTACCAGCCAAAAAGTTTACAGAATTTGAATTAGTGTTGTCATATGTGAGCTTTATGCAAATATGCAACTTATAACCTTACCTATTGCCCTAAGTGTAGCAATGAGAGGCAAAGTGTCTACTATTGGTGCAATCCCAATATAAGTTTGATTATTATGCCTTTGAAATGAAGCAAGGTAAATTTCAAAATCCCATTTGTAGAAAAAAAAACTTGGCAGGAGGGTAGCACAATTTAGGTGCTGTGTCAAGCAATATGTCACAATGCCCTCTCTAGGCATGATATAGAAGTGAGGGATCCATTAAATGGGGGCTGGACCCAGCAATATGACACAATCCCAAATGTGGAAAAAAAAAAGAACCCAGACAAATGATGACACCAAAAACTCCTACTGAATGGGTCTATAATATGTAAAAATACTTTATGTTGCTCTGGCACAGGAAGGAGCGTTACATCATCAGGGTGAGGGGCCCAGCAATATGCCATAATTATCTCTTTATGCAGAACCCAGGTAGAATTGAAAGATTATCTGGGTGCTGGGCCCTGCAATACCTCAAAAATCTTTTTCTTGGGCATGGTTGGGGAAAAAAGAGTCATAGTACCTAAGTATTGGGCTTAGCAGTATGTCAAATCACCCCATTGCAAAGACTCAGGCAGAAGAAAAGATTCACATCACTTAAGACACAGGCTCAGATATATGACCCAATGTCTCAAGTAAGGAGGGCTCAGGCAGAAGGGTAGAGTCATATCACATAGGGGCTTCCCTAGGTATATAACACAATCTAACATATGAGGTGAAAGCTGGCAAAAGAGCCACATCGCCTTGATGTGGGCTCTTGAGATATATCACACAAGCCTCCCTTAAGACAGCACCCATGCAAGAGTGTTATAACAAATAGGTGCGGGTTGTACCATTATGTCACAATGCTCCACGTGGGCAGGGCTCAAAAAGATAGTCAGATCACCTAGGTAATAGGCCAGAGATATGTTACGATATCCTTCTTAAGGCATGGCTCGGGCAAAAGAGTACCATCACCTGTTTGCCTAGCCTAGTAATGTGTCACTATCAGGGTAAGCAGGGCCCAGGCAGGAGAGCAAAATCACCTAAGTGATAGTACCAGAGATTTGTCACAATGCCCTCATTAGGACACGGCTCTAATAAAAGATTACTGTCATCTACGTGCCTGACCCAGCCATATGATACTATCCCCCACTGTGTGCAGGGCCCATTGTCATGAGGAGAGTTACATCACCTAAGTGGTTGTATGACATACGACACAGTGATATGTCACAATGATGTCTGTGGGAATGGCACAGGCAAAAATTTAACATGACTTGGGTGGTGGACCTAGTGATATGTCATGACCCTTACCGAGAGCAGGACCCAGGCAGGAGAGTCACATCACCTAGATGTTGGACCAGGTAGAAATCACAATAACAACCTCAGGCTGGAACCAGTCTGGAGAGTCAAGTCACACAGATGGTCAGCAAGGATGTTTTTTCAAAATGACACTGGGAGAAAATTCCTGAAATGAGATTTACACTACCACACATGTCTTGTTTTCATGAGTGAGAGCTGGCTTCACATATTTCAGACAGTGACAGTATTTACTGTCAGCTGGGTGTGTATATGAGACTCACAATTTCACCTTTCTGCTGAATAGTGTTTTTACACTCTCTGTACAAGCCAAGGGCATTATAAAATATCTGAGGGTGTTATAATCTTCTTTGACCTTTTTTTTTTCTTTTTTACCAGAAAGAGATTTATGAGATTTATTCACTCTTGTTTTTGTTGTTGTTTTTGTTGTTGTTGAGACAGAGTCTGGCTCTGTCACCCAGGCTGGAGTGCAGTGCTGCAATCTCTGCTCACTGCAACCTCCACCTCCTGGGTTCAAGCAATTCATCTGCCTCAGCCTCCTGACTAATTTGGACTCCAGTCGCACACCACCACACCCAGCTACTGTTTGTAGTTTTAGCAGAGATGGTGTTTCACCATGTTGGTCAGCATGGTCTCGATCTTTTGACCTTGTGATCCACCTGAATCACCCTCCCAAAGTGCTGGGATTACAGGCCTGAGCCACCACGACCAGATAATTTACTCGTGTTTCTAAAGTAAGTTAGAAATGTCAAAGTTATTTTTATTTGTGGGGTCTACATAAAAGAGTCATTATACCTGTAAGTTGTGCCTATGTATAGGTCACAATTTACTCTGTGGTAATGAAATAGGCATGACAGCTAAGTCATCTAAATGCTGAACCAGAAATTTTCCATTATTTTTCTTGTAGACAAGTTCCTTGCAGAAAAGTTTTGTAACTTGGGTGTTACACCCAGATGTATGGCATAATGCCCCTTGTGGGCAGTGTCTAGACAGAAGAGGAGTCTCATACCACCTAAATAATAGGCCCAGAGATATTTCACAATGTGTCCCATTGAAAGGACCAGGCAAGAGAGTCATATCATTTAGATGCAGTGCTTAGAAAAGCTATAATCCCCAGTGGAAGCAGGGTCCAGGCAGGAGAGGAGAGTCAGGTAACTAGATGGTGGGTCCAGAGACATGTTACAATCTTTCCTTAGGATATTGTTAAGACAGGAGAGTCAAATCACCAAGGTGATCACCCGAGGTATATTTCCAAATCTCATTTGTGGGCTACACCTAGGCAGGATTATTAAATCACTCAGGAGCTAGGCAAAAGTATATATAACAATAACACTGGTTGAAAGTTCCAGGAATGGGAATAACCATCTTGCATATGACCTGGGTCCAGATTTAAGAGTCGTGATTAGTCCTTTTGTCTGGTCTCAGGTATATGGCACAATATCACCTGTAAACAGAGAGCAAGGAGGAAGGTCACATCACCTGGGTGGGTGCTGGTCCAGTGAGATGTAGTCATCTTTCTTGTAAGCAGGGCCTTGGAAAGAGTGTCACATCACTTGGATGCTGGTTGCAGTGATATATCAAAATCCCCCATGTGGGCAGGGCTTAGGTAAGTGAGGAGACCCTCTTTACCTAGGCAATTGGCTTAGACATATGTCACACTGGCCGCTATGTGCAAAACCAAGGTATAAAAGTGATCTCACCTGGTGCTGGGTTTAGCAATGTTACAATCTCCCCTTCGGTCAGGGTGATACAAGAAAGGAGAAACATCACCTAGGTGCTGAATTAAGTGATATGTTACAAAGCTTTCTGTTGGCAGAACCCAAAATGCAGAGTCACATCACCTGGGTGCAGTATCCAGTTATGTGTCACAATGCACTATAAGTGCAGGGCCAAGGCAGTAGAAAGCAGTCACATCACTTACATGATGAACTTAGATATAAGCCACAAAGTCTTTTATAGGCAGGGATAAGGCAAATATTTCACATCACATGGGTGCTGATCCCTGTAATATGTAAAATTGCCCTTTGTATGCACACCCAGGCATCTATACTTAGGTGTTTGGTCGTCAAATTGTTCAGGGGATCAGCTAACTTTTATGTCCTGACCACATGATAGTAAATATTTAGAAATAAGTTTCACAGTCCCACACAAGTTCTGGATTTTTGTATGTGAGTCAACACTTCCTGTGAGTTGGGTCAAAGCAGAGGAGTCACAGTCTCAACAGTGGGCAAGCTTCATGTATAAGATGCCCAATTCCACTTGAAGAATGTGTTCCAGCAGAGGAGTCACAGCCTCACAGATGTGCTCAATCGTGCATCACCAAACTACCCATATAGAAGAGGAGCAATTTTAACTTTTGACTGCTCTCTTTGTGAGGTTTAATGCCTTATTTGCAGGCCCTGTTCTTGTGAGAGAATGACTACCGGGTCAGCTGGCTGTGCATTCAAGAGTCACAATGATACTTCCTTCCTGTTCCCTGTTATAACACTGTTTTTACCACTCAGGCTTTATATAATATGCCAGAGTGTCATAATCCTCTGTGAACTTTATACCATTAGGAGACCCAGTACTTTACTTGTGGCCATAAGACTGGCTATAGGAGTCAAAAAATCTCTCCTTTCTGGTTCTAGGTATGACAATTTTATTTGTGCATGTGAGCTGAACCCAGTTATATGTCACAATTTAACCTGTGAGCAGAAGCAAGGTGGATTCTGAGCTCAGGATACATTATAAACTCCTTCAAAGGCAGGGCCAAGTCAGAAGAGTCACATCACCTGGGTACCGTATCAAGTACTACGGCATCATGTCCACTGTAGACAGGTTTGAAGAAAAAAAGGAGAGTCACACCACCTAGGTGCTGAGCTCAGCAATATGTAGTAATTACCTCTTTTGGCTGACTCTGGAACAAGGAGGAGAGTTGCATTACCTAGGTTTTGTACTCCGTCGTATGTCACAATTCATTCTGCGGTCAGGACCCAGGTAGGAGACGAGCGTCACACTTCCAGATGTTACTTCAAGATATGTCATAATGTTCCTTGAGGGTAAAGCATGGGCAAAATAGACAAATTACCTAGCTGATAGGCTCAGAGATCTGTGATAATATACATTTTTGGCAGGGCCCAGGTAGAGCAGTCACATTATTATGATTCTGAACCCAGGATATATCACAATGCAAACAAGGGAAACAATTTATGCAAAGGTTTTAACACCTGGGTACTAGGACCAGCGATAAGACACAATCTCCTCATCTTTGAGAGTGACACCTTTAACTGTTAGCTTGGTGTGTATATGAGTCACAATGTCACGTGTGTGCTGGGCCATGCTATGACACCCTCTGTAATGTCTGAGGGCTTTATATAGCATGCGTGAGAGTTGCAAACTACTCTGAGGCCCACATGCTTATATGAAATCACAGTCTTATATATTGCCTTAAGCACAGGTATGATAGCCAACATCTCTTATTTAGGCTGATGTCAGGAATGTCTGTGAGCTTGGTCAAAAATGAGTCACAATCGCACATGTGGCCAGATCCATATATGAGAGCCACAATTTTATCTTTATATTCTTTTCACTTGTTAGACTCAGTACATCAACGGTGGGCTTTGTAAATGTGGGATAGTGACGACTTTTACTTTCACCTAGGTGTGTAATTGACAGTCACAATCTTAACTCTTTGCTGGGCCTTGTTATGAAACCCTGTATCACCCAAGTAGTTTATACAAGACAAATTTGTGTTGTAAACTTCTGTGAGCTTTGAAGAAATTTCCAACCCAGAATTTTACATGTTGCCCTAAGCCTAGCGATGAGAGGCAAAATATCTTCTATTGCCTGAATCCTAATATAAGAGACCATCATACCTGTAAGCTGTAGCAAGGTATATGTCATAA
Source organism: Homo sapiens (assembly GCF_000001405.40). Classification (NCBI taxonomy): domain Eukaryota; kingdom Metazoa; phylum Chordata; class Mammalia; order Primates; family Hominidae; genus Homo; species Homo sapiens. The sequence goes on from NC_000024.10 coordinate 25,071,695, forward strand.
TACCATTTGTGGGCAAAAAATTAGGAAAAAGAGTAACATCACATAGGCGATATGGCAATCGACATGTCACAATGCCCTCTCTAGGCAGAACCTAGGAAGGAGTGTTACATTAACTGGGTGCTGCGCCCAGCAATATTACAGAATTCCACATGTGAAAAATATTAGCCAAGGGATAAGAGCCAAAACTCCTACAGAAAAAGCCGAAGACATGTCAAAAATACTCTCTGTGGCTCTGGCACAGATAGGACAGTACCATCATCAGGGTGCTCAGCTGACCATCTGCAATAATTTTATCTTTATTCAGGACTCTGGCAGAAAAATAACATCATCTGAGTGCAATAGGTCAAAATTTCTTTGCGGTCACGGTTCAGAAAAAAGAGTAGAGTCACATGATGTAAATGTTGGGCTCAGAAACATGTCACAATCCCACCATTTTAAAGGCCCTGGTACAAGAGAGCCATATGACTTTGGTCATGGGCTCAGAGATATATCCCAATGACCCCAGTAGGCAGGGCTCAGGCAGTCAAGGAGATTCATATCACCTAGGTGCTTCCTGAGGAATATATCACAATGTTACATGTGGGCAGAAAACAGACAGGAGAGCCACATAGCTTGGGTTCTGCATGCTGAGATATTTCACAAGGCTCTCTTAGAACAGCTGCCAGACAATGGAGTTACGTCACCTACATGCAGGTTCTCTGCCTATGCCACAATGCTCCATGTGGGTAGTGCCTAAGGAGGAATGGACTACACCTAGGTGATAGGGCCAGAGATATGTCACAAAGTCCTCTATGAGGCATGGCCCTGGCAAAAGAGTACCATCACCTGTGTGCCTGGCCTAGAAACATGTCACGCTCCAGGTTGGCAATACCCAAGCAGGAGAGCCACATAACCAGAGATACATCAGAATCCTCTCCTTTGGGCATGGCTTTGGCAAAAGAGTAGCCTCACCTGTGTTCTCAGTCTTGAATCATGTCACTACCTTTTCTTTGAGCAGGGCCCATTCCAGAGAGGAAAGTTACATCACCTATGAGGTGGACACAGAAATATGTCACAATAATTTTTGTGGGCATGCTGCAGACAAGAATGTAACCTGTGGCCAGAGAGTAGCCAAGAAAGTCACATCAGCTATGTGTGTGCGGGTCCAGTAAAATGTCACAATACACTTTGCGGGCAGGACCCTGGCAGAAAAGCCACATCACCTGCATGCTGCTTGCAGTGACATATCAAAACTCACTATGTGGGCAGAACTTTGGCAAGAGAGGAGAACCACTTAGCCTAGGCAACTGGTGCAGATATATGTCACAATGACCCTCATGTGCAAGACCAAGGCTGTAGAGTGACCACAACTTAGTGCTGGGTGCAGCAATATGTCACAATTTCCCCATGGTCAGGGCCCAGAGAAAATATGAAGAAACATCACCTAGGTGCTGAGCCAAGTGATATGTTCCAATGCTTCCTGTTAGCAGAGCTCAAAAAGGAGAATCATGTCACATGGGTGCAGCACCCAGTTATGTGTCACATTTCAGTGTAAGTGCAGGGCCAAGACAGTAGAAGGGACTCACTACACTTATGTGATGTACCTAGATTTAAGACACAATTCTTGTAGGCAGTTTTCAGCAGATAATTTACATCACTTAGGTGATTGTCCCAGTGATATATAAAAGTGACCTTTGCAGTGGGAGTTCTGGAAACTATTATATGTTTCTTAGGTGCTTGTTTCACATATGGCAAAATCTAGTCTGGGATTAGAAAAGAGAGTCAGACGATTCATGTGCTAGGCAAAGTTACCTCTCCCTTTTATATTCTCAGAAAGATTTGGAAATAAGTTCCACATCCCACACAAGTATTTCTTTTGTGTAAGTGATTCAATTTTTCTGTGAGTTGGGTTGAAGCAGAGGAGTCACAATCTCAGCAACGAGCAAGATTCATGTATAAGAGCCCCAATCTCACTTGAAGATGGTTTTCCAGTAGGGGAGTCAGCACTACAGGTGTGTTGAATCATGGTTCGTATGTTACCAAACCACCTGTGAATCAGATCCATGTATAAGAGTAATTATTTCAATCTTTGACTGCTTTTTATGTGCATGATTTATTACCTCATTCCTAGGCCCTGTTCATGTGGGAGAATGTCAATCGTGTCAGCTAGGTGTACATACAAGTGTTCTCACCTCATTGCTGCTTTCTGTTATTACACTCTTTGTATCATTAAGGCTTTATGTGATATACCTGAGTGTTATAATCCTTCGTGAAATTTATACAAGTGAAAAGCCCAGGACTTTACCAATGGCTGTGAGACTGGCTGTGAGAGTCAGTTATCTCTACTGGATGGGTCCAGGTATGAGAATTATTATTGTGCATGTGTGCTTAAACAAGGTACATGTCACAGCTGGATCTGTGAGCAGAAAAAATGCCAGGAGAGTCACATCAGTTGGGTGCTGAGCCAGTTATATAGTATAATCTTGTTTGTAGTCTGGGGCTAATCAGAAGGGTAACATCACATCACCTGAGTGCTGAGCCAGTGATACAGTATATACTCATTTTTTGGCTGGGCCTAGTCAGAAGAGTCACATCACCTGGGTACAGCCTCAAACAGTATGTCACCAAGCCCACTAAAGACAGGAAAGAAGAAAAAGAGGAGTGTTCCACCACCTAGATGCTGAGCTCGGCAATATGTAATAATCCTTCTTTTGGAAGAGTCTAGAATATGAAGGAGAGCTACATCTCCTAGATTTTGCAATCAGCGGTATGTCACAACTTCTATGGTGAGCAGGGCCCAGGCAGGAGAGGATAGTCACATTTTCTAAATATTATGTAAACCGATATTTCACAATGTCCCCTGGGGACAGGGCACAAAAAGAAGAGACAAATCACCTAGCTTATAGACCCAGAGATATGTGATAATATTCCCTCTTGGCAGCGTCAAGGCAGAAGAGTCACATTATTATGATTCTAACCCAGTGATATGTCACAGTGAATCCATGGGAAGGAATTTAAGCCAAAAAGTCTCAACATCTTGGTAACAGGCTTCGTAATATGCCAGAACTCCTTGTCTTTCAGAGTGACATGATTCACTGTGAGCTGGGTGTGAATATGAGAAACACAATCTCATGTGTTTCCTGGATCATTGTATCACACTCTACAACTTTCAAAGGCTTTATACAGCATTCGTGAGAGTTGCAAACCACTCTGAGGCCAACATGCTTGTATGGATTCATTATCTTATATACTGCCATAAACCCAGATACGATAGTCAACATATCTTCTGTAGGCTAGGTTCAGGGATGAGACCCCTTATTTTGCCTGTAAGCTGGATCCAGAAGTGAGTCACCCTCCCATTTGAGGCCAGATCAACATATGAAGATCACAACTCCAATTTTGTTCTCTATTCACTTTTAGACTTAGGAACTTAATAGTGGGCTTTGTACATGTGGGATGGTGACGACATTTGCTTTCACCTGGGTGTCTAACGGAGAGTCCTAATCTAAACTTTTGATGATCTCTTTCATAAAACTCTCTTTACAACCCAAGAAATGTATACATTATGAGTTAGTGTAAAGTTTTTGAGTTTGATGCAAATATGAAACCCAGGACCTCATCTATTTCCCTAAGCCTAGTAATGAATGGCAAAATGTATCCTACTGGCTGAATCCCAGCATGAGTTTGACCATCATGCCTGTGAACTGAAGTAAGGTGTAGGACATAGTCCCATTTGTGGTCAAAAAGTGAGTCAGGAAGGTAACATCACTTGGGTGCTGTGACAAGCATCATGTCACAATGTCCTCTCTAAGAAGGGTATAGGGATTAGAGTAACATTAACTGGGTGTTGGAACTGCAATATGACAAAATCCCATATGTGGAAAAAGACAACCTAGAAATGAAAGCCAAAATTCCAACAGAATGGGCCCAGGATATATCACAATACCTTCTGTGGCTTTGGGTCAGCCATGAGAGTCACATTATTAGGGTGCTGGGCCCAGAAATATGCCATAATCCCTCATATGTGCAGGACCCAGGCAAAAGAGTAATGTTATCTGCATGCTTGGCCCTGCAATAGGTCAAAATCTTTGTTTGTCTAATAACCCGAGTGCTGGGCTCAGCCATATGTCACCAATGTCACCATCCTCTCATTGTAAAGACCAGGCAGGAGAAGAGAGTCACTTCACTTAGGTCATGGGCTCAGAGAAACATCCCGGTGCCCCTGTATGCAGGGCTCAGGTAGAAAAGAAGAGTTATATCACTTATATTCTTCTCTAGTTATATGTCACAATCTAACATGTGGGCAGAAACCAGGAAGAAGAGCCACATCACCTGGGTATAGCCTCAAGTAATATGTCACCATGCCCAATGTAGACATCTTCAAAGAAAAAAAAAAAAAAAAGAATTAGACCACGAGCATGCTGGGCTCAATAATATGTAATAATTCCCTCTTTTGGCAGAGTACACAACAAAGAAGAGAGCCATGTCACCTAGACTTTGTGCTCAGTGGTATGTCACAATTTCTTCAGTCAACAGGATCCATCCAGGAGAGGAGGGTCACATTACCTAGATGCTATATGTAGCAATATGTCACAGTGTCCCCTGTGGGCAGGGCACTGGCAGGAGGGAAATGTCACTTAGCCAATAGATGCAGAGATATGTGAAAATATCTGCTCTTTGCAGGGCCAAGATAGAAGAGTCACATTGTCATGGTTCTGATCCAGTGATATGTAACAATGACCTCATGGAAAAGAATTTAAACCAAAAAGTCTCAATACCGGTATACTAAGCCAAGGGATGTGGCATAATCTCCTCATCTTTAAGCATGACATCATAAACTGTTATCTAGTTGTGTATATGACAGTCACAATCTCCCAAGTGTGCTTGCCATTGTATGATACTCTCTACAACATCTGAAAACTTTACGCAACAGGCATGAGTGTTGCAAAACTTTCTGTGGGCTACATGTTTATATGGACTCATAATCTTACATATTGCCCTAAACTGAGGTATGTCAGGCAACATGTCTCCTACAGGCTGGCATCAGGGTTGAGACCATTATTAGGCCTGTGAGATGGGTGTAGAAATGATCCACCATTTCACCTGTAGTCAGATTCACTTATGAGAGTCACAATTCAAACTTTCGGTTCTATTGACTTGATCAATTCAGGACTTCAGCAATAAGCTTTGTGAATGTAGGATATGAGTTAATGTTGTAAAATTCTGTGATCTTTGAACAAATATGAAATGAAGGTCCTTAACTATTGACCTAAACCTAGGGGTAAAAGGTAAAATGTCCCCTATTGGCTTAATCCCACAATAAGCTTGATCATCATGCCTTGGAGCTGAAGCAAAGTGTATGTCATAATCCCATTTGTGGGCAAAAAACTAGGCAGAAGGTTAACACCATTTAGGTGTTGTGCCAAGCAATATATCATAGTGCCCTCCCTAGGCAGAGCCTAAGAAATGGGGTCACATTAACCGGGGGCTGGAACCCACAATGTGACACAAAAATACGTGGAAGAAACCCAGCAAACTGGTTAGTGCCAAAGTACCTACAGAATGAGCAAAAGACATGTCAAAATACCTTCTGTGGCCCTGGCATGGACAGAAGAGTCATATTCTTAGGGTCCTGGGCCAAGCAATATGCCACAATTCCCTCTTTATCCATGAGCTAGGCAGAAGAGTAATATTATCTGGGTGTTGGGTCCTGATATACAGCAAAAGCCCTGTTCATGGGCACTCTTTAGCAAGAACATGAGAGTCACACAACCTAAGTACGGGGCTTCTCAATACATCACAATTCTCCCACTGTAAAACTACAGACAGAAGAAGTGAGTCAAATTACTTAGGTCATGGGCTCAATGATATGACCCAAAGTCATTTGTAGGCAGGGCTCAGGCAAAAAAAGTGAGTCGTATCACCTAGGTGCTTCTTTAGGTATAGGTCACAATTTAGTATGTGGGAAGAAGCCAGGCTGAAGAATCACATCACCTGGTCCTGGGTCCTGAGATATTCACAAATCCCCCTTAGAAAAGGACCTAGGCAAGAGAGTTACATCACCTAGGAACAGGTTCCACCCTTATGTTACAATGCTCCATGTGGGCAGCCTATGAAGGAATTCACATCACCTAGGTGATAGGCCCAGATATATGTCACATAACCTTCCTGAAACCATGGTCTTGGCAAAAGAGTACAATCACCTTTGTCACCTGGTCTAGCAATATGTCACTATTCCAGTGGGCAGTTTTCAAGCAGGAGAGCCATATCACCTATACAATAGGCCCTGTAACATGTCATAATCTTATCTTTTGTGCATGGCCCTGGCAAAGAAAAGTATCATTACCTGTGTGCCTGGCTTATGAATATGTCACTCTCCTGCCCTGTGTGCAGGGCCCGTTTCAGAGAGGAAAGTTATATCACCTCAGTGATGGACAACATAATATGTCACAAGGATGTGTGTGGGCATGGGGCAAGCATGAATGTAACGTCACCTAAGTACTGCATCCAATGATGTCACAATTCTTCCTGAGAGCAGGCCAGGCAGAAGAATCACAAGACTTCAATGTTGGCCCAGGTAGATATCAAAATTCCATGTGTAGGCTGGAACCAGTCCAAAGAGTGAAATCAAAAAAGCGCATGGAAGAGTTTTAGATCACAGTCATGATAAAATAAATTTCTAGGGATTAGACTTATAATGCCACATGTGTCTTGTTTTCATGTAGAACAGTAGCTTTTATACATCTGTGATTGTGAAAATCCTTCCAGTCAGCTGGGTGTCCAAACGAGACTCACGATTTCCTCTTTATCCTAGGCCCTGCTATGACACTCTCTATACTACTTACAGGTGTTATAAGAAGGTGTGAGTGTTGTAATCTTCTGTGACATTGTTAACAGTAGGAGATGCTTCATGTCACTCATGTCTCTAAACCTAGTTGTAAGAGTCAAAATTTCTCCTATTGGCTGTGTCCACATATGAGAGTCATTATCATGCCTGTTAGCTGTGCCTAGGTATATGTCACCATGCCCTCTGTGGTTACTAAATAGGCAGGACACTACATCACCTAAATCCTAAGCCAGAAATATTCCAATATTCTCTTTGTATGCAAGGCCCTAACGGAGAAGTAACAGAACTTAGGTGTTATGCCAAGCTCTATGCTGTAATGTTACTTGTGAAGAGTGTCCGGGCAGGAGAGGAGAGTCATATCACCTAGATGATGGGTGCAGAGATATATCATAATGCCTTCTGTTGTAATGGCCCAGGAAAAAGGGTCATATCATTTGGATGCGTGCTTAGAAATGCCACACTCTTTGCTTTAATCAGCGTGCAGTCAGGAGAGGAAAGTCGCATAACCTAGATCATAGGTCCAGAGATATGTTATGATCCCTTCGGAGAACACTGTTAAGACAAAAGTCAAATCCCCAAGGTTTTGGCCCAATTGTATGTAAAAATGTCACATCTGGACTCTAAATAGGCAGGATTATTAAGTGACTCAAGAGCTGGGCAAAAATAAACGTCAGAATAACACCTGTGAAAAGGTTCAGTGTTGAGAGTCACAATCCTGCACGTGACCTGGTTCCTGGTACAAGAGTCATTATTAGACCTTTTATTTGTTCTCAAGTATATGGCACATTACCACTTGTGGGGAAGGAGAAGAAAGTAAGGAAAGTCACATCATTTAAGTGTGTGCACGTCCAGTGAAATTTCACAATTCTCCTTGTGGGTGGGACTCTTGGAGAAGAGTCAATCACCTGGATGCTGGCTTCAGTGACATATCTAAATCCTCTCTGTTGGCAAGGCTTAGGCAAGAGAGGAGACAAACTGCACATGGGCAATTGGCCTTGATATATGTCACAATGGCCATTGTGTGCAGGATCAAGACAGGAGAGTGAACTCACCTTGGTGCTGGGCTAAGCAATATGTCAAAGTCTCTCTGGTGGTCAGGGTCAAGGCAAGAGAGGAGAAACAGCACCTAGGGGCTGAGCCAAGTGATTTGTTACATAGCTTTCTATTGGCAGAACTCCCCTCAAAAACTCTCACATCACCTGAATGCAGTGTGTCACAATACAGCATAATTGCAGGGCCAAGGCAGTAGAAGGAACTCACATTATTTACATGATGGATCTGGATAAAATCCATAATGCTCTTTGTAGGCAGGGTTTAGGCCAACATTTCACACCAGCTGGTTGCTGGTACCAGTAACATGTAAAAGGGCCCCTAGTTGCATTGACAAAAAGTTGTTATACATTGCTTAGGTGCTGGTGCATGTATGTCACAATTTCTAGGCTTGGCCTAGAAAGGAGAGTCAAAATACTCAGATGCTGGACAAAGTCAAACTTCACAATCACACACTTGAAAATGTTCAGAAATAAATTTTACAGGCCCACACAACTTCTGGCTTCGGGTATGAGAGTCAACACCTCCTACGAGTTGGGTCGAAGTAAAGAAGTCATAATCTCAACAATGGGCAAGATACATGTGTAACAGCCCCAATCACATTGAAGGTTGTGTTCCAGTAGGACAGTCAAAGCACCACTGGTCTGGAGAATCATGGGTAAATTTCACCACAGCATCTGTGGATCAGATTCATATATGACGGTAACAAATTCCAGCTTCAACTGCTTATGTGTGTGAGATTTTTTAACTCATTCATAGGCTCTGTTCATGTGTGAAAATGACAACTGTGACAATTCGATGTGTGTAACACCTGGTTGCTGGTGCCTGTTATGACACACTTTGTACCACACAGACCTTAAATGATACACCTGAGTAGGATACATTTGTCTGAATTTTTACAGACATCTAATTTTACAGAGATCTGAGACTTTACTCATGGCCATAAACTGGCTCTGAGATTCACAATATCTCCCTTGGATGGGTCATGCATGAGTTATTATTGTGCATATCAGCTGAATCCAGGTATATGTTAGAATTTCATCTTTGGACATAGACAAGATAGAAAAGTCACATCATCTGTGTCCTTAGCCAGAAATACATTATATCTTCTTTTTAGGCAGGATCCAGTCAGAAGGCTCATATCTCCTGGGTACAGTCTCAAATAATATATCATCTTGACCATTGTATACAGGGTTGAAAAAATAGAGGGTAGTCACATTCCCTAGGTGCTGGGCTCTGCAATATGTTATAATTCCCTCTTATAGCAGATTCCAGCACAAAGAGGAGAGTCACACCACCTAGGTTTTGCACTCAGTGGTATGTCACAATTTCCTAGGTAGGTGAGATCCAGGCAGGAGAGGAGAGCACATTACCTAGATACTATATCCAGCAAAATGTCGGTGTCCCCTGTGAGAGAACACTGTGAGAGGAGAGACATATCACCTAGCTGATAGGCCCAGAGATATGTTACAATATCCCCTGTTGGCTGGATCCGTGAAGAAGAGTCACCTTTTTATGATTCTAACCCAGCAATATTTCACAATACACCCATGGGAAAGAATCTAAGCCAAGACTCTCAACACCGGGGTGCTGGGCTTTGTCATATGACACTATCAATTTATCCTTTAGGTGACACATTTAACTGTTAGTTTGTTATGTATGTAAGAGTCACAATCTCAAGTGTGTTCTCAGTCATCTTATGAGACACTCTACAACATCTGAAGGCTTTATGCAAAATACCTTAGTGTTACAAACCACTCTGAAGCCTACATGCTCGTTTGACCCAAAACATACATATTGATGTAAACCCTGTTATGATAATCAACAGTTCTCTTATAGGCTGGGTTCAGACAGAAAACCCATTATGGTGCCTATAATCTGGGTCCAGAAATGAGTCACCATCTCATCTGTAGCAAGATCCACATATGAGAGTCACAATTCCATCGTTGTACTTTATTTACTTCTTAGAGTCAGAACTTCAACAGTGGGCTTTATAAATATGAGATGCTAAAAACTTTTTCTCTCACCTGCATTTGTAATCAAGGGTCACAATTTTAATCTTTTGCTGAGCTCTATTATAAAACTCTGTGTACCACCCAAGTTTATAGACTATGAGTTAGTGTTGTAAATTTCTGTGAGCTTTGTGCAAATATGCATCTCATAACTGTAACTATTGCCCTAAGCACAGCTATGAGAGGGAAAAGTCTACTATTGGTGGAATGCCAATTATGTTTGATCATGATGCCACTGAGTTGAAGCAATGTAAGTATCATAATCTCATTTGTAGAAAAAAAAACTTAGTGGAAAAGTAGCACAACTTACATGCTGTGGCAAGCAATATGTCACAATACCCTCTCTAGGCAGGGTCTAGAAATGAGGGTTACATTAACTGGGTGCTGGAGTGCTGGACCCAGCAATATGACACAATCTCAAATGTGGAAAAACAAGCCCAAACAAATAAGGACAGCAAAAACACCTACAGGATGGGCCCAAGATATATAAAAATACTTTCAGTTGCTCTGGTACAAGCAGGAGAGTTATATCTTCAGGGTGATGGGCCCAGCAATGTGCCATAATTATCTCTTTCTGCAGGACTCAGGCAGAAAAGGTACATCATCTGGGTGCTGTACCCTGCAATACAGCAAAATTTATTTTATTGGCATGATTTGGAAAAAGAACAGTCATTTAATCTAAGTATTGGGCTTAGCAATATGTCACAGCATCCCACGGTAAGGGCTCAGGCAGAAGAAAACAGACACATCACTTAGAACACAGGCTCAGATATATGACCCAATGTCTCAAGTAGGCAGGGCTGAGGCAGAAGAGAAGAGTCATATCACCTAGGTGCTTCCCTAGGTTTATAACACAATCTAACATATCAGGAGAAGTCAGGCAAAAGAGTCACTTCACCTTTATGCTGGTTCCTGAGATATGTCACAATGCTCCCTTAGGACAGGACATGGGTGAGAGAGTTACAACAAATAGTTACAGTTTTCACACTTATGTCACAATGCTCCATGTGGCAGGACTCAAGCAGCAAGTTATATCACCTAGAGGATAGGCCAAGAGATTTGTCACAATACCCTTTTTAGGATAAGGTCCCAGCAAAGGAGTTCCATCATCTGTGACCCTAGTGCAGCCATATGTGAGTATACCATACTCTGTGCACAGCCCAATCTAATGAGGAGAGTTGCATCACCTACAGGGCTGACACAGTGATATGTCACAATAATTTCTGTGGGCATAGCTTAGGCAAAAATATAACATGACCTGTGTGCTGGAGGTAGTGATTTTTCGTGATTTTTACTGGGAGTAGGTCCCAGATGGGAGAGTCACATCACCTCAAGGTTGGCCCAGGTAGATACCACAATAACATATGTGGGCTGAAACCCTTCCAGAGAGTCAAATCATATGGGTGATTCACAAAATATTAAATCACAAGCACACTGGCGGAAAACTCCCAGGGTAAGATTTACAATACCACACATTAGTTGTTTTTATGAGTGACAGTTGGCTTCATATATTTAAGATGGTGACATTCCTTACTGTCAGATCAGTGTGCATATGAGACTCAGAATTATGCCTTTCTGCTGCATTCCATCATAACAATTTCTGTACAAGCTGAGGACATTATAAAATACTTGAGGCTGCTATAGTCTTCTTTGAACTTTTTTATTACCAGAAAGAGATTTAATCATTCATGTTTCAAAAGCAATTTATGGAAGTTGAAAATACTTCTATGTGTGAGGCCCACATATGACAGTCATTACCATGTCTGTGAGATGTTTGTAAATTGAACATTGAAATAAAAGCCCAACAAGGTACTCTTAAGGCACTAATCTGTTCCTTACCAACATTTGTAAAGAATTATAAAATAATTTATAAAAATTATCTTTTCCATTTCTAAGTCATCATTTTTGTTAAATAAGTAATTTAGGAAAATCTGGAATTTTATTTCAGGATTTTTAAACCTCTAAGTTGTAACATCCTTCTCAAAACCACACTGTAGTTACAAAATTATCTTTCTTTATTTCTAGCTTTTGGATGCTACAGAGGGCCCATAGAGTATCAACAAGAGAGATAAACAGGATTATATGGCATGATTAGTTACACGGAATTGCCAAATGGTGTTCAATATTTTTAGGTGATATTTTGGTGACTAATACTAATACATGTTCTAAAATTATATGGGATTTCTAAAATTCTAATGTCTGAAGTATATGCTATCATCCACAATTAAGGTTGTTAGGTTAATTTATTGCAAACCATATAGATAACGAAAATTTTTGTCATATTTCTGACTGTAACTACCTTGCACACTTTGTAATACACAGATAATTATTCCTTTTTTGATTTTTTTATGAAGTGCTTTTTAATCAGCTATAGATCTTTAATAGGTGCTCTCAATTGCAGGCTTCCGATAACTTTGGAGCTTGTGACATTGAAATACAGGAAAAACTTACAGGACTCTCAAAGAGCTAAAATATGTATGAATATCAAACAAAAGAAGAGTTGACTGAATGGACCGGACTAATAGAAAATTGAAGTAGCCCTTCTGACTTTTGTTTGAGACATTACTCATTCTTGTATTATTTACCAGAGTCAAGGAAACATCTTGAGATACTTACAGCCTTTAATATGTGAGCAAGGTGTACTCATGTGTGCACAATTTGGATCACGTTTGCCTTTCTCGGCAGGACTTCTCCTGAATTCGAAAAATAGTTGTGAGTGTTCTTAACTTGTGGCAATATAGGTGTTTGTATCAGTGCAATAACAGTCCAATTTCTCTTCCAACAGAACACAACTGGAGAAACTGGTTGTTTGAACAAGGCCTTGACTAAAAAATAAGCTTCCCTTTAAGGAGTCAAGATCAACTTGCAGAACCAAGAAAATCCCAGTGGAAAAATTGGCTTTATACCTCATCTAAACAGTCCTTTAGCAGGGTTCCTGATCTGTGGTAACTAAATAATGACACTTTCTGACAGGCCCAGGAGCTCCAAGTTTATCTTGGGACCATAAGAGCAGAGAATCACCCAACTAAAAATTATCTGATTGTACAAACCCGTGGCTGGGCTTGACTTTAGAAAGTCCCATCTGAAATTTCTTGTGGAACAGAGTTCCATCAAAGCCAATGTAAAAGACCTATCTAGAAATAATTATTCTTGCTGCATTTTATGCAAATAATCAGGCCCAGTATCAGAATAAAGTTTATTTTACAAACAACTCAGTCCTATCATGATTTATTTTTTAATAGAAGAGGACTGGATAAAGTTTATGTTTCACAACTTATTATATATTTGTCATTAAATTCTAAACTCACAAGTTTTGCATTGTTGCCTACTTTTTAGAACAATCTTGCTTATTTCTGTGACCCCACTAATGATCTTCAACTGCAGCCCACAATAAACAAAAATGAATTGGTACACATGAAAATCTGGATTAACATTATAATTCTGGACAATTATCCTGCAAATTCTGCAGAGTGATGGGAATATATAGGGTGCCCACCTAAATTTTATGAAGCACAACTATAGCCACTAGTTTCCTCAGTATGTCACAGTCATTCTTTTCTCACCCTTGTAGAAGAAGAACTCAATTCCACAGCTTCATCTTAGCATTCAGCTCATGATAAAGAGTCCATGCAATGCCCTGAGACACATTTTTGCCCCAGCCTCAATTCTAAGCTTCTGTTTGACACCATAGAAAAAAGTAAAAAATTTGAGAAATCCAGAGGCAGGTGATAATGGAGGTAAAAAAGCACAATGCTGGTGAGCATAACTAATTCCCAGGGATTAAGCCAAGCCCCCGATTTCATGGATAAAGATTATGCTACTATCCATGCCATAAATGAGGTCCAGTGAACTCCAGAGCTACTGACAGCAGGGAAGAAAGGGTACACATGTGTAAGAGCAGATATATCCACCCCCTTAGGCCTCCCTGTTAACATTGGTGAAAGCTGCCTCGACACCCATGGGAGGCACCCTGTTACAATCAGTGGGACTTGGGGATACAAGGATTGAAGTGGGAAAAAGAATATTCTTTCTCCTATAGCTCAACACACCCTGGGTAATTGCTAGGAAGAGAAAGGAGCCAGGGACTCCTGCTCCTCTATCTCTTTCAAGATAAGTAACCATTCATTTTTAGTCTAGACCCATTTTGAATGCATCCTGAACCCTTGGAACTCCTTTGAAAAAATGCTAACTTTTCATTTTTTCTCCTCCGTTTGCTGTTTAGAGATAGGTAATCACATCTCCATGTTTTGGGACATTCCTCTTCAATGCATCCTCCAAGTTTGGAAGAGTTAATTTCCCAAACATTAAACTGGACAGCTTAGGATTGGACCCAGGAGAAAAGAACCCAGAAGTCTCATATGCCGTCAAAAGGGTAAAAGTTTTTTCTTTCTTTCTTTCTTTCTTTCTTTCTTTCTTTCTTTCTTTCTTTCTTTCTTTCTTTCTTTCTTTCTTTCTTTTCTTTTTCTTTCTTTCTTTTATTTTTTCCTGTTGGGCTTTTGGCCTCCCTCTACCTATGCAAACTGGTGAAAACCCTGGATTTTTTTTGAGCTGTCTCTTCCACATTTCCCTTGGTTCATTTTAATACGTGCTTTTTAGTAACACAGTTTGATTCTCCTCACCTTCAGGCTATCAAACTTCAAACAGTCACACTACCATAGGCTGAGACAATGGCCCCTTTCACTGGAGACACTTAGGCCTCTAAGGAATAACTGACTGCCATTTATTTCACAACAGTGCCCCCTGTCATCAGGAAGCACTTAAAAGTGGTTTTTGTCCTCATCTTTATCCTTATTCTAACAGCAGTTAGATATACTTATTGACAGTGGAAAATAACAGAGTTAGAAAACAGCCAAGTGTCTTGGACAAAACCCCATCTTCAAGCCTAAAACAGCCTGAAGGCTGAAAAATCGAGTGCTTGTGCTAGATGAAGCCTGCCTTTTTCCAACAGATTCTCTTTGAATAATTTCCATCTGAAAACTGGGGGAAGGGAGTGGAGGCTTGGAAGGCCATGGAAACTTTACCCCTTGTGCAGGGAGGAGGAGCCTGGCTTCATCAGTTCCTGTGTGATGGTCTGGTGTTCAGCAATCCGTGAAGTGGGGGCCTGGTAAACACGACTCCCACTCACTTCGTTGAGAGTTTTTCTTTTTTTCTTTTCTTTTACCCAATCAGCTCTACTCTTTATCCTTCAGGAGTGTCCCTGAGCCTAATCTTTCCTAGTCATGTGACAAGAACCCAATTTTGCTGAAGGAGAACGTTCTGCAACATGAGGAATTAGAACGTTTGTTTAAGATAAGCTGAATTTTATGCATGTGGGTTTCATTCTGGCCTCTGTTATTTGCCTTAACATTGATTTAACTGTCTTTATGCCAGCACCACACTATTTTGATTACTGTAACTTGGCAATATGTTTTGAAATAAAAAGTATTTATCTAAGTATATTCTTTTTTTCCAAAGTTGTTTTGCTACTTTTTTTGTTTTGTTTGTTTTTGAGTGTTTACATAAATTATAGTGCAATATTTGAGGGCTTACTCCTGTGATCCCAATACATTGGGAAGCCAAGGAAGGTGGATTGCAGGACCCCAGTAGTTTGACACCAGCCTGGGCAATATGGTGAAACCCTGTATCTACAAAAAATACAAGAACTTGCTGAGCATGGTGGCATGCACCTGCAGTCTCAGCTACTTCTGGAGCTGAGGTGGGAGGATCAATTGAGCTTGATGTGTCAAGGCTATGGTGAGCCATGATTATAGCATTGCACTCCAGCCTGGGTGACACAGCTAAATATTGACTCAAACATTTTAGAATATTTTACTACTTCTGCAAAACAAAAACAAAAACAACAACAACAAAAAAAACTATTGGCTCTTTGAAAGAGTTCTCATTGACCTGTAGATCATTTCTAATACCATTAACTGAGGCACCACTCTTTTCATGAGGGCATTAGCTGCAGGGAGTCTGTCCCTTGCAGACCCCTGACCGAGCGACAGATGAATAAAGTACCCTGTCACACAGATATTCTGCTTTTCAAGTCCAGCTGAGGGTCTGGGGCCACTAACAGTCTCCAAAGGGAGTCCTGTAAAGAGTGGCAGCTGTGCCCTGAGCAACTTGCACTCCAGGCATTTATTTAGTATAGAATTATTAACAGAAGCTTTGAGTAGACACACTTGTGGATAATTAACCTGGTTAAGAGAATAGTTCTGTGAATAACGAAACCTCAGGCACCACGGTCTAAAGTAAATGCCAGTGGGGGCAATTTCCCTGGTTGACATTCCCCAGAAAGGACCATCTGGCTTAAAGGTTAGTTAATGGAGGTGGGGTAAAAAAACTTAATTGGGGAAGCCTCTATTGTCCTTAGCATTTACCCTATGACCAAATGCTTTAAGGTTAAAACCGACTACCTTCAGCCCCTTGAATTATTACAAGCTATGCAACCTTTCAGCCTTCCAAAAGTCTGTGACTATTCCCTATAACTTTCCCTAATTATTTTCTTTTAATATTTCTGCCATCCTCCTGAGTGAATCTCAAAATCCTCCTCTCTGTTCTTTTCTGCATCAGGTTTTTGATTGCAGAGCACAGATATGTGCAGTCATAGGTTTGTCAGGTGAGGTGGTCACTGATCTTATTCCAGCTTTGCATCATATAAATAGCAAATAACACAAAACAATCATGAGTATAATTAACAACACTTCTTCCAGTCAGAGTGACTTGCAGAGTTACTTGCCATCTGAGTTCACTCTGTGCTATTAATGAGGAACCTCACTGGGGGAATGTTGATTTCCTTTTATTTAAGCAGTGATGTTGTTAGAAGCTGGAAAGGGGGTGTTAGTCTAAGTACTAGGGTAGAACAAAGGAGGTTACAAGATGGGCTTAATAGAGCTTGGCAGATACAGGTAGTAGACAAAGTGAGAGAATAAAAAAGAAGCAGGATTTGCATAGCCTTCTGAGTCATCTTTCTCTGATAAAGCTGCATCATCTTGCAGGGTCTCTCCTAGGCTGGCTCGAGTTTTTTCTTCTTTTAATCCTTTGATGAGGATGCAGTGTCTTGGCTGGTGCTTGTGTATTGGAAATTGTAGAGATTGTGTCTGTGCTAAGATATCTCTCATAATCTTTGTTAAAGAGCAGGTTAGTGCTTTAAGAAAAACTTGTGCTTTTAATGTCTTGTTTACAGAAAAACTGGATGACACATCTTTTTTAAATTAATTTATTTTTATTATTGTACTTTAAGTTTTAGGGTACATGTGCACAATGTGCCGGTTAGTTACATATGTATACATGTGCCATGCTGGTGTGCTGCACCCACTAACTCATCATCTAGCATTAGGCATATCTCCCAATGCTATCCCTCCCGCCTCCCCCCACCCCACAACAGGCCCCAGAGTGTGATGTTCCCCTTCCTGTGTCCATGTGCTCTCATTGTTCAATTCCCACCTATGAGTGAGAATATGCGGTGTTTGGTTTTTTGTTCTTGCGATAGTTTACTGAGAATGATGATTTCCAATTTCATCCATGTCCCTACAAAGGACATGAACTCATCATTTTTTATGGCTGCATAGTATTCCATGGTGTGTATGTGCCACATTTTCTTAATCCAGTCTATGATTGTTGGATGACACATCTTTAACTTTAGTCAATATGTTTACTCAGAGAATTTTGTTAACAATTAACATTTTAAAACTTGCTTAGACTTTCAAAACAAAATTATACAACATGTCCTGAATAGTTTTCTTTTTATAATGTTTTTATGACTTCCACAGACAATTTTCAACATGCCTTAACTTTATTTCTTTCATAACCTTCCTTAATAAAGGTGCAGTCTAATGGTTATAACTTTCTTAACATTTCTTTCTCTTTATGTCTTTTCTTTGTCTTACTTTTTGTGACTTTGACCTCTGGTTTTTCTAGTCTTTCTTTTTTTTCCCCTCTATTTCTCTCTTTAACCTTTCTGTTTCTCTCTGATCTTGGACAGCAATTAAATGAGTGTTGGTATCAATAGATACTTGTACATATCTAAGTTTTCCAAATTCAAGTATGGGTGTAACATCTGTTTGCTATAGCAGGTTAAGTTCTGTTTCCCTAGGGTTAACACCTGTTGAAGGAGGGGACTTACCTGTGAGCTGGCAATCTGGGCATTGTAGGATAATTTATTTAGCCAGTCTCTGAGTAAGTTGATAAGTTTCTTCAATTTGGATGGAAAAATTCATGCGATTGGGTGGCTTGGTCTAGCAGTGATGGCTTAACCTGTAGGTTTGCTTGATCACTGCTCATAAGCCAATGGGCTAGGAAGTAAGCTGTGGGCTCAAATATGTGTAATAAAAATGGGACTTGTATGTTGATCTAGCCAATTGCTGAAGTTGGAGAAAGAGTAAACCGTCCTGGCTCCAGAATAGAGTTAAGGCTGTAAAACTTCTTTAATAAATAAACAGAGTAACCTTAGCTTTCTGTTTGCTAGTAAACTCAGATTGCATGATTGAATTATATGGTCTCTACCAGACTGCTGCTTTTCCATGTTTGCGGACCCATCAGTAAACCGTGTTAAAGCATTAGTTACAGGGGAGTAAACTCTTTTTGTAGGCATTATTACCGGAGTATGAGATAAGAAATGAAAGACTTTATCAGCAGGGAGGATGTGCTTTATTTGCTCTGTGTAATGAGATAAAACTATTTGTGGGTGTATTGACAAAGATAATGAAGCTTTGAATTGCTCTTTACTTAAAGGAATCATGATGATATCGGTTATGTCGCAACTGATTTTTAACGTTTGTGACCTGAATAGATGACTTTAGTAATTAACTGAGTATAAGGAGACAGTGTTTTAGTCCCGGTATGGGGGCAAAAAACCCATTCTAGGAAACATAGCCTGGGAGTCATTTGTCCTAGTAACCCTGTAGGGGAGTGTTAGGTGGAAAAAATAAATAGCTGATTGGAATACGGTGGATCAATGCGATCTAGCTTCCTTTGAAAGACGGCTTGCTCAATTTCCTTGATTTCCCTTTTTGCTGCAAGGGTTAAATATCTGGGAGAATTGAGGGCTGGGTTGCCCTTTAAGATAGAGAACAGGTTTTGTAGTTTATTGGTAGGAATTCCAACAATGGGAGAAATCCAGGTAACATTGTCCAATAATTTCTGCTAATCATTTAATGTGTGTAAGTTGTTAGTACTTAGGTTAAACTTTTGAGGTCTTACTGACCAGGAGATTAACAGATATCCAAGATATTTTCAAGGAGGGAACATGGGTACTTTTTCAGGTGCAGTGACTAAACTTTTCAGTTGTGTATTCCTTATGACAGAGGTAAACAAATTTAAAGGTATTGGCTCCGTTGGGGCTGCTAGTAAAATATCATCCATAAAATGAATAATCATGTAATCAGGAATTTTTTTTCTACTAGTTAAAAAACAAAGTTTGCTTTTAACTACTTCTAAACTAACTCATGGGTTGTTTGTAATGTCTCAACCTTTAAACGTTACTGTTTTACTTGAATTTGGTGAGCTTCATCAGGGTGGAAGAGAGATGACAACAGTGGAGGTTATTAGAAAGAGGTTTTCTAATTCTTACATTTTACTTAAATTTTAGCTGAGAACTATAATCTGTGATGTTGCTTGTAAACAAGCAGCACATGAGATTTTGTCTTGGATAGCCTGTGGAGTTAGAGAAAGGAGCAGGCAGGTCCCGGCGCTGTGACTGCTTTACATTTATAAAGTCGCCATTTTTGCCTGTGCCATTTTTTGCCTGTGCTGGCTCCCTTCCCCAGCTGTGGGACACATGTGGCCTGGGTGGAATTTGTCACGTGTGCTTCTGTTCCACTCGCAGCAGGCTAGCTCTGGCTGCAGCTTGGCTCTTTGTTGCTTCTGTCACAGTGTGGGTGGAGTTTTTCTTTCTACTTACTGCTTCCTTGTCCTGGCCCTGTGGCTCTGGCTTTTAGTGATTATTCTTAACCCTTTATGTACCTGATTACTTGGCTGATTTTGCATTACCGGGCAGGCTAATAACTCTCCTTTTATTGCTGCCAGCTGAAGACAGGGACTAATAACTGGAGGGTATTCCTGGTCCTTTTTCTTACGTATTGAAGAAAAAGGCTCAGGTAAAATATCTGTTTCTTCTTTGTTATTTTGGCTCAGTAATATTAGGGCTGACGGAAGAGGAGGTGATAAGGCAGGTGACATTTCCTCCTCGTTCCCCTTTATAGTCTGTTCTGTGTATAATGGAGACAGGGCTGCTGTAATGAAAGCCCATAACAGCTGGGACCTGTTGCCTTTGTGTCTGATGTTGAAGATTTATCCCCACTTGTTCTCAGAGTACTACATCCAGTGTTCCTTTTTCTGGGAACCATGATCTTGGGATTGTGTCCAGAATTGATTCCTTCCAGTGGGTTATTGGTCTTGCTGTCTTCAAGAAGAAGATGCAGACCTTCACAGTGAGTGTTATAGCTCCTAAAGGTAGTGCGGACCCAAAGAGCGAGAAGCAGCAAGATTTATTGCAAAGAGTGAAAGAGCAGAGCTTCCACAGCATGGAAGGGAACCAAAGCAGGTTGCTGCTGCTGGCTCGGGTGGCCTGCTTTTATTCTCTTATCTGGTGTCACCCACATCCTTCTGAGTGGTCCATTTCACAGAGTGCTGATTGGTCTGTTTTACGGAGTGCTGATTGATCCATTTTTATCCAGTGCTGATTGGTGTGTTTACAAACCTTTAGCTAGACACAGAGCGTGATTGGTGCATTTACAATCCTTTAGCTAGACAGAAAAGTTCGCCAAGTCTCCTACCCAATTAGCTAGACACAGAGCACTAATTGGTGCATTTACAAACCTTTAGCTAGACACAGAGTGCTGATTGGTGCATTTACAATCCTTTATCTAAACAAAGTAGTTCTCCAAGTCCCCATCTGACTGAGAAGCCCAGCCAGCTTCACCTCTCAATCCCTTCTCTAAACAGGACATCTCAACTGCTGTTGGGAATTGGCCAATGACCTCTCTAGCTACTTCCTGCTAGATAGGGGCAAAGAATTATGCTGCAGTTGTAGTGTCCTCCAGAGGGGAACTCTTTAGGCCACAGAAAGGGCCAGGAGGTTGGTCCAGGGGTCCTCAGTAGAAGCTGTTAGTTGAGCTCATTTGGGGTTCCATTTGTAAGACCATCTCTAGGTTGATAGCCTCAATTCTAGAAGAAAGAAATTTGACAAGAAGGTTAACAATACAGGGCCCGAAGGCAAGTAATGGCAAGATGGCTGCCATGGGAGCTAGAAAGGGGAGGAGCCATGTTGCCCAACTCCAGAGGTTGGTATAAGGGTTTGAAAGATGTCTGATTTCAGAAGCCTTTTCCTGTAAACACCAGGCAGCATCTCGTACTATGCCTCACTGGTTAGTGTAAAAACAACTCTCTTCCCCTAAGAAGGTGCAGAGTCCTCCTTTCTCAGCAGTGAGGTGGTCTAGTCCTCTGCAGTTTTGGAGTGTCACTGCTGGTAAAGAATCTAGCTGGGATTGTAGAGTAAGGATAGATTTTGTTATTTCTCACAAACTATCTGAGAAATCCTTTGAGAGTGTGTGATGGTAAGAAAATGAAGTAGATAAATCTGCTATTCTGGTTCTTGTAGCAGTGGCCATTTCTAACCCTATAAGTAGGGGTATTAGTTGTATGGCCCTGCAATGATGGACTTGAGCTTTGAGGGGCACTGATAGGGCCTGATTTCCTGGGGCAATGTTAATGTTGGGACTTAGAAAGACTAAGGTGCAGGTGCCTGTCCAGTTAGTGGGGAGGCAGATATAGTTTGACATTCCACAGGAGAAGAATATGCCTTGGCTGGGTAGATATTTAGAAATTTACCCTGGCTTTTAAAGGAATAGGGTATACTGTTTTTTCTTTACTATTTCCATATCTCTTTCATTCTCTTTGACTTCTCCTTCATCTCTCTCTTTCTGTCTTTCTGACTCCCTCTTTGTCTGTCTGTCTCTTCCTCTCTCTCTCTCCCTCTGACTTTCTGTCTCTTCCTCTTTTTCCTTTCTGCTGGTCTTTCCCTGCCTCTGCCAGCTGCTTATGCTACTGTTCTCCCCTCTCCTTCCCCTTTTGATGGCTTTGGCAGTGTAAGAGTGCCATGCCACCTCCGTGGGTTTTTGCACTGTGTGCAATAACTCCATGATTTCCTTGTGGCATTTAATGGGGGTTTCCCCAGAGGTTAGGAACTCCCTTTCTTTCCATATTGCAGCATGGGCATGTAGGATCAGATGAGCATACTTGCTATCTGTATACACATTTATTCTTTTTCCCTTTCCCAGTTCTAAGGCTTGGGTAAGTGCCAGTATTTCTGCTTACTGGGCTCTGGTCTCTAGGGGAAAACACTTACTTTTAAGTATAGTTACATCACTAACTATGGCATAACCTGCCCTTTGTATCCCATTCTTCACAAATGAACTTCCATCAGTATATAGGCTAAGGTCAGGATTACCTAAGGGGACTTCTAAGAGATTATCTTGTGCGGCATAAGTCTGGACGATAATTTGTTGGCAGTCATGCTTGATTGGATCCCCATCCTCTGGGAGAAAAGCGGCAGGGTTGAGGGCCACGCATGTACATATTTGAAGCACCAGTGCCTCAAGGAGTAGCACCTGGTATCTAAGCAAGTGGTTGTCTGATAGCCATAAACTTCCTTTGGCACCTAGTATGCCATTTACATCATGAGTAGTCCAGACAGTGAGATCCTTTCCTTGTATTATTTTGATAGCCTCTGACACTAAGACAGCCACTGCTACAGCTACCCATAAACAGTGAGGCCAGCCTTTTGCTACTACATCCATTTCCTTACTTAGGTATGCCACTGGTTGGGGGATTGTTCCACAAATCTAAGTAAGAACTCCAAGAGCTATCCCTGCTCTCTTGGTGACATATAAAGAGAAGTTTTGTCCTGTGGGAAGGCTTAAACCGGGAGCCTGTACTAGCGCCTGCTTTAAGGTTTTAAAGGGTACTTTTGCCCCTAGTTCCCATTCTACTAGATGAGTATTTACCCTTTGGGTCTCCTTGATTACCGTACAGAGTGGTCTGGCCATCTTGCTGTATCTGGGGATCCATAGTCGGCAAAAGTGGGTGGTTCTAAGGAACCCCCGCAACTGTTTTAATGTCTTGGGGTGAGGATAAGCCAGTATTGGCTGTTTTCATTCCTTGCTGAGGGCCCTGGCCCCTCTGGCTAAGATTAGGCCTAAATATTTGACCTGCTGTAGGCAAAGTTTGGCCTTTGACCTAGACACCTTGTACCCTTGATTAGCTAGAAAGTTCAAGAGATTTAGACTAGCCTGCTGGCATGAGGCTTCCAAACCAGTAGCCAAAAGTAAATCATCCACAAGCTGAAGGACCAGAGTCCCTGGACATGACAAGTGGCCTAGATCTTGGGCCAGTGCCTGACCAAACAGATGAGGGCTATCCCTAAACACTTGAGGCAAGACGTTCCATGTAAGTTGGGACGTGTGATCTGTGGAATCCTCAAAGGCAAAGAGAAAGTGGGAGTCAGAGGCAGAGGAATACAGAAGAAGGCATCCTTGAGGTCCGGAGCTGTGAACCATTCTGCTTCCTCTGGTATTTGAGAGAGCAGGGTATAGGGGTTGGGTACAACTGGATATAGAGGAATTACTGCCTCACTGATGAGTCTAAGATCTTGCACTAGTCTCCACTGACTGGGTTTTGGTCTCCTAGAATTGGAGTGCTGCAGGGACTGCTGCATTTCCTTACTGAGGCTCAAGATTTTAAATGTTTAACAGTATCCTGTAATCCTCTATGAGCTTCAGGCCTTAAGGGAAATTGCCTTTGATAAGGAAAAGTGGTGGGATCTTTTAGCCTGATTTGGACTGGGCAGGCATTTTGCCCTTCCAAATTGTCCTTCCAATGCCCAAACTTCAGGGTTAATTCCCTCCTCAAGCCACAGACAACAAATGGGTAACTTGCTCCCCATATTCATGTAGATAATAGCTCCAGCTTTGACTAATATATCCCTCCCTAATAAGGGTGTGGGACTTTCAGGCATATTAAGAAAGGCATGTGAAAAGAGCAAAGTCTCCCAATTACAACTGAGGAGTTGGGAGAAATACCTGGTTACAGGCTGTCCCAGCATTCTTCAGATGGTAACGGATCTTGAGGACAGTCGTCCAGGACAGGAGATTAACACCGAGAAGACCGCATCAGTGTCCAGGAAGAAGCCAATTTCCTGGCCATTAATGGATAAGCATACCCATGGCTCAGTGAGGGTGACGACATGAGCTAGCACTTGCTCCAGGCACCCTCAGTCCTGTTGTTGGATCCTCTGGTTGGGGTCTTCTGGCCCAGAGAACCATTGTACTCTGGGGCAGTGCACCTTCCAGTGATTGCCTTGACATAGTGGACGTGGACAAGGGGGCAGCTTGTTTCTTATTGGATGATCTTTTTTTTTTTTTTTTTTTTTGAGACGGAGTCTCGCTCTGTCGCCCAGGCTGGAGTGCAGTGGCGGGATCTCGGCTCACTGCAAGCTCTGCCTCCCGGGTTCACGCCATTCTCCTGCCTCAGCCTCCCAAGTAGCTGGGACTACAGGCGCCCGCCACTACGCCCGGCTAATTTTTTGTATTTTTAGTAGAGACGGGGTTTCACCGTTTTAGCCGCGATGGTCTCGATCTCCTGACCTCGTGATCCGCCCGCCTCGGCCTCCCAAAGTGCTGGGATTACAGGCGTGAGCCACCGCGCCCGGCCTGGATGATCTTTTTTTTTAAGTGTCCTCGTAAACCACACTGATAACAAGCCCTACCGGGTGATTGCCCTGCTCCCTTTTCTGTCCTCTCTGAAACACCAAGGTTTGTTTGTCTGAGGGCCATGACTAAGGCAGCAGCATTTCTCTGATCTCACTTTTCCTTTTGGGCCTGTTCCTCTTGGTCCCTATTATAGAACACCAAGGTTGCCAGGTTTAGTAATGCCTCCAGATTTTGTTCAGGGCCCAGGGCTTGCTTTTGGAGTTTCTCCTGATGTCTGTGGCTGATTGGGTAATAAACTTATCTTTTAGAATCAATTGACCCTTGAGTGATTTGGGTGACAGGGCAGTATATTTTCTTAAGGCCTCCCTTAGCCACGCAAGGAAGGCAGAAGGATTTTCTTCCTTTCCCTGAGTTATGGTGGATATCACTGAATAATTCATGTGCTTTTTCCTAATTTTCCTTAGTCCTTCTAGAACACAGGTGAACAGATGTTTATGACTCTTGTCCCCATGATCTGAGTCAAGGTCCCAATAGGGATCCACACTGAGAATGGCTTGCCAACCCGTAGGGAATTTTTCCCTTTCTTCAGCTGTCATTCTATCATTTACTTGACTAAGATACAAGGTATCTCCAAACTCTCAGGCTAAAACTAAAGCCACATTCTTTTCATTAAAGGTCAGGGTTTGATCTACCAATAGCATGACATCTCTCCAAGTGAGATCGAGGCTTTGCCCTAGATCCTGTGGGACATCTATGTACCTATCAGGATCATCTGAAAGCTTTCCCAGGTCTACCTTGATCTGCTTTAAATCAGAGAGGGAGAAGGGGACATGTACCAAGGTTGGGCCAAATTCCCCTCTCCCTAGAGCTTGAAGGGGATGTAATCGATAGCCCGGGGAAGGGTTGTGTTCCTTTGGAGATTTCTTTGCTTGTTTCCTTCTGGGCAGGGGAGATTAGAGGAGGCTTATCATTAATAGGAAGGGGAGCTATAGGGAGGCTAGGATATGCAGGTAAGCTGAGTGTTCCTCCTGTGGGATGTAAATTGCAAGCTTTGCATAGTTTTGTATTCTCCTTCAATGAAAAGAAAACTTGGACTTAAGGTATTGCACTCCTTTTGCCTTACCTCTTACAGAAAAGGTCAAGCTACAGTATAGTATTGTAAGTTATATTTCTCTCAGGTGGCCATTTTTCCACATCAGAGAGAGAATATTGGGTCCTGGCCATAGTGCAGAAAAAAATAAGCCACCACTTTTTCAGGGTTTGTGGGTAAAATTGGTCCCAATGGCTTAGGATGCATTGCAAGAGTGGGTCTGTTAATGCCTGAGTGTTTCCCATCCGAAAGAGAAAACGGCCCACTCTTTTTGTTTGTTTGTTTCTCCACCTGCCCAAGAACCCACAATGGATCCTGGACCCTGCTGATCAGAATAGTTGTGCTCACTGATGCAGCAGCAGAAACACTGGTTTTCCTCCTGGACCACAACAAAACCTGCAGCCTTGCCTGTCCACCCAGACCACAAAGAGGACTGAGAAAAATCGGATTTAGTGGCCCTTACTGACATATTCTCAAAAACCTGTTAGAGTCCTAAGCATTATCCTGTTAATATTGGGAATTTATCCTTGTCCTATAAAGATGTTATGCCCCAAAAATGAAGTGGAGGGCCATACCCTGAGGGAGGGAAGAGATCACCAGAGTCAGAAGAGTGATGCCTTTTGTCCTCACTTATATGAATAAGAAAGATACAATTTCTGAGGCGTCCCATATCCTAGCTTCAGGAATAGGTTTTGTTAAGCCTGTTTGTCTGAGGAGGGATCCTAAAATTCCAGATAGTCCCCCTTAAAATGGGGCTTTGGGCAAAAATTCTCTCTTTCTGATTGCTGAGCCTGAGTGCCAGGAGAAGGGAATAGAGTCCTGGAGTTTATACCAGAAATAGTTCTTACAGGAGAAACTAGAAAAGCACCAGAGACAGGGAGTGGTTTTTAGAAGCAGGACTAGCCTCAGAGAACAGAAGCAAGAGGAAGATTGTCTGACAGGCTTTAGGACCCAGGAGGCAAGGCTCAGGATAGATAGGATAGATGGGAGAGTCTCGCTTGGGCGACATGACTAAGAGTTCCGCCATGGCTGCAGGGTCAACCAATTTGTTGTTGGGACCATGGAGCTGAATGGTTTTCCTATCAACCCTCATCTCAGCCCAGAAGTACAGGGAAAGTGGAAGCTAGTTCCATGCAAACCAACACTCCCAACTCCGAAGAGTTGGGGTTGCTAGAGAGCCCTTTCCCAGAAAGCCTGGCACCCATGTCTTTAGTTCAGTGACCAAGCTAGTTGCTTTTAACTGGCTGACAGGTGCCTGCTATTTAGCCCTAGAATTCTAAGGAAAAATAGGACAGAATAGCAAGCACAAGGGGTCGATGGTACTCACTGCTTGGCAATAGGCAATAGTCCCTTTGTGGTCACCAAAGTGTGTCTGGAATTGATTCCTTCCCATGGGTTCTTGGTCTCACTGACATCAAGAATGAAGCCATGGACTCTCACGGTGACTGTTACAGTTCTTAAAGACAGTGTGTCCAGAGTTTGTTCCTTCAGGTGTTCATGGTCTCGCTGACTTCAGGAGTGAAGTTGCAGACCCTCACAGTGAGTGTTACAGCTCTTAAAGTTGGTGTTTCTGGAGTTGTTTGTTCCTCTCAGTGGGTTCATGGTCTCGCTGACTTCGGGAGTGAAGCTGCAGAGCTTCACAGTGAGTGTTACAGCTCTTAAAGGTGGTGCATCCAGTGTTGTTTGTTCCTCCCGGTGGGTTTGTGGTCTTGCTGGTTTCAGGAGTGAAGCTGCAGGCCTTCATGGTGAGTGTTACAGCTCATAAAGGTAGTGTGGACCCAAAGACTGAGTAGCAGCAAGATTTATTGCAAAGAGCAAAAGAACAGGTCTTCCACAGTGTGGAAGGGGACCTGAGTGGGTTGCCACTGCTGGCTGAGGTGGCCTGCTTTTATTCCCTTATTTGTCCCCACCCTCATCCTGCCGATTGTTCCATTTTACAGAGTGCTGATCGGTCTGTTTTTAGCAAGTGCAGATTGGTGCATTTATAAACATTTAGCTAGACACAGAGCACCAATTGGTGCATTTACAATCCTTTAGCTAGACAGAAAAGCTCTCCAAGTCCCTTACCTGATTAGCTCTACACAGAGCACTGAGTGGTGCATTTACAATCATTTAGCTAGATAGAAAAGTTCTCCAAGTCCCCACCCCACCCAAAGCCCAGCCAGTTTTACCTCTCAGGATTACAACAGTTTGCATTATGTCCCCTAATTGAGCCTGCAAAACTGATGCTCCACTAGCCTTAAGCAACTGTTTCAACACTTTTATATACTGTTTCTGTTGAGCTGATAAATGTTGTCCCATGAGAATACCTCAGCTTGACCCAACTTCTCCCAGAACTTGGTAACCTCGAGTGGGCACCAATGACTTACTGATTAGTCACTGACTTCACCACGTGAATTCTTTTTCCACCTTTGCTTTCAGGGAGTCTGTCGCATTCCTCACTCTTCCTCTACAGCTTTCCTCATGAGGGTGGTTCTCACACTTCCTTCACAGACTGCCTCACACAATGGGCTCCAACTGCAGACCTGGCGATGGGTGAATAAACTACCTGACACACAGATATCCTGCTTTGCCAGCAGCAGAGGGTCCGAGGCCACTCCCAGACTCCACGGAGAGTCCTGTAAAGAATGGAGGCCCACCCTGAGCAACTCACCCTCCAGGCATTTATTTAGTATAGAATTAATCACAGAAGCTTTGAGTAAACACACTTGTGGATAATTAACATTGTTAAGAGAATAGTTCTGTGAATGATTAAACCTCAGTTACCACAGTCTAAAGTAAATACCATTGGGGGCAATTTCTCTGGTCGAACTCCCTGGAGAGAGCCATCTTAGTTAGTGGAGGTAGAGTAAACAGACTTAACTGGAGAAGCCTCAGTTGTCCCTAGTATTTACCCTATGACCTAATGCTTTAAGGTAAGAAGAGGTTGCCTTCAGCCTGTTCAATTATTACAAGCTATATAATAATTTTAGCCTTTTAGCCTGCCAAAAAGGTTTGTTACTATTCCTTATAACTTTTCCTAATACTTCCCTGTAATATTTCTGCCAGCGGCCTGAGTGAATCCAAACAATTAACATCTAAAGAAACTTGCCTATTCTAACTCTTGAAAAATAGTATGCTCAAGAATTTGTCTAGGTTTCATGTATATGCAGATATACTAGTTTTCTTTTGGTTTTTACTTCCAGTTATATTTTATTGTAGTCAGAAATAATATTTTTTGTGATTACCGTCAGTTTAAATATGCTAAAACTTGCATTCTAGCTTAAAAGTTTGCCTATCTAAGAAAACATGCCAAATGTATATAGAAATATGTACTATGCAATTGTTGGGTGAAACATTTTGTAGATTATCCCCAGGTCTTATTTTGCTCTTTAACTTTTATTTTTCTATATATTTTTCTTTTTCTTTTTTATTTTTTATTTACTTTCATTTTTTCTATGCATTTAAATTTGTTTCTATCTTTTATTTTTTATATTATTGTCTCTTCATTTCAAATGTTCTCCAATTTGTGTCTTGTTTGAAACATTTTATTTAATTTCTTTTTTATCTTATTTACTCCCATTCTTATCCCTTTATATTATTTTATTTTATTTCTCCATATTTATCTTTATTTTTACTTTTATTTTTTCTCCTGATTCATAAAGTTTTATTTTATTCTATTGCAAATTGTTTCATTTCTGTTTATTTCTCTTAATTTTATTGTATTTATTTTCTTCATCTTCATTTTATTTACTTTCCCTGATCTTAATTACATTTCTCTTTATTTTTCTCTATTTTGTTTCAGTTTATTTGTCTTTACTATTTTTAATTACTTTAAACTTATTTTTTAATTTTTTTCTCTTGATTTTACTTTTTTCACTTTATTTTTCTATATTTTGTATTGTAAATCAGAAGAGATAAGCTATTTTAGATTGACCCAGCCATAGTGGTCAAAACTGGTGTTTGCTCAGGCTCTCTGGCAGCCACTCTACCTCAGGTATCTCCAATCCAGGGTATAGTCAGGGCCTTCTAGCAGGATTGCTAAGATCCCTGGGCAGATGTTTCATTGTTACAGAGCCATCTAGCATTAAGTCCACGGGCTATTTATCCTGCTTTCCGAAGCCACCTGTAAGCTTCAGTGTTGCTAGGCCAAGGGCCTGGCTGCCCCTTTATTTGTGTGCCAATTCATCCTTCACACATAATCCTGGGTACTGGCCCTTCTTCCTTCTTTACAAAGACAGGCTCCACACCCACTCCACTCCACCAGGGCATATCTAGAACACATGTGTGTCTTTTTGTTGTAAGAAAGAAAAAATATTTTTCTGTTTGTCTGTTTTTGAGACAGAATCTTGCGGTGTCACTCCACCTGCAGTGTGGTGACACAATCTGGGATCACTGCAGCCTCCACATCTCAGATTCAAGAACTTGTCTGGCTTCAGCCTCCCAAGTAGCATTACAGGCATGTACCACCATCCCCAGAAAATTTTTTTTTTTTTTTGGATTTTTAGTGGAGACATAGTTTCACCAGGCTGGTTTGAAACCCCTGACCTCAAGTGATCCATCCACCTCAGGATCCTGAAGTACTAGGGTTACAGGTGTGAGCCACCACGACTGACTGAAAAATATTTTTTGAATTTAAACTTGACATATAACAGATTTATTATGAAAATTTCAGCTTTATGGGTAGATATACATGCAATTATGTGTGTGTGAAAATGGTAATAATATGAGAAGATAAACATTTCTACACCTTGTTTAATAAATTTATGGAGTTGTTATTTTATCTTTTCCTGTTTATCTCTACATGTTCAATGGAAAAATACTCAGTGAAGGCTCCTCAGTATGATAAAAAAAAGCTGTGCAATCAGACATTAATAGATGTACAGTGAAGTAACTTCTGGTTTTCATCTGGAGCTCTCATAGTTAGGACTGAAAACTCTTGGTTGTAAACTCATGTGATGAGGAATTATACTATGCTGTCCTCTTCTGCACATCTGTCTACCATCAAAATTGTTTGAATTTGCCAAAAGAAAAAAGTGGAAAGTTGTTTCCCTAACACCTACTCATCTCTCTTTCATAGTTTTTTTTTTTTTTTTTTGGTTTGGGCATTGTCCAGATTGCTTAGAAGCTCGTGATCACAGAGGACATATTTGTCAAAAGAAAGCTTTTTTGCACCAGGATTAAGTGAAGATGTTTATTACCCAGGGCCAATGGTTCCTCCAGAGCCAGGATGTAACCATTACTGAAACCAGAAAATGATGACAGAAGTTGAGAGCTGCTCATGGGGAAAGAAAAATGCTCCCTTTTGCTTTGAAAGTGGTCACTGCCTATTCTGGCATCAATCTTACATCTGACCACGATGTGTTTCATGTTCATCTTTCTTGGTATTCCACTGAAAGTTTATCTGAAAAAAGAGGCTTGAATGAGAGTAGTAAAGAGAACAATTGCATCTATAGCTGATGCTTTGGTGAGTTTTGAGGTTCAAGATGTCAAAGAATAGACTCAGAACCAGTGAATGAGATATGGAGTTTTACTTTGGACTTACATAAAGTGGAGAAAGTCCAGTGTCAGTGGGCTTAGTAGGATAACAACAGCCACTTGCAAAAAGCCTATAGTTAGTATAGTATTTTTATTTAACACATTTGTCTGAACAACCTTTCATCTGTCAGCCTTTATTTAACAAAAAATGAAAGGGCTTCAATCCTCTGTGTGGCCCGTGTTCCATGCCACAGGATAGGACAGACCAGGGTCTCAGACGTTCCTCATAGGTAAAGAATAACTTCTAGGTTGGCCACTACTAGATTTTTTTTTTCTTTGAGACAAAATCTCACTCTGTTGACCAGGCTGGGGTGCAATGGCATGATCTTCTCCTGTCTCAGCCTCCCATGTAGCTGGGATTACAGGCAAGTTCCACAATCTCTGGCTGATGTATATTTAGTAGAGAAGAGGTTTCTCCATGTTGGTCAGGCTTATCTTGAACTCTGTATTTTTAGTAGAGAAGAGGTTTCTCCATGTTGGTCAGGCTGATCTTGAACTCCTGACCTCTGATGATCCACCTGGCTTGGACTAACTAAGTTCTGGGATTACAGGCATTAGCCACTGCTCCCAGCCAGGCCACAATTTGATTTTTGTCACTTGGAAGTTTTAACACTCAGAAGCACTTTTAATGTAAGGTTAATGTCCAGCTATCCCCAAGTAAAGTTAACACTGTCAGTTGCATCCATCATATATTCTGATTCAGACAACAGAGGTTCTTCTTCCTGAGACTCTAGATAAACAAATTTTTGCTTTTACCTGAATCACTCCATTGACAGGATTTTATTTAAGGGGCTGATGTGTGTGCACGTTGCTGGTATGGATATCTAAGTTAATGAGATGGCTTCTTAGCTGGTAGGATCTGTTCCTATTATAGGTTCATTCAGGCTGCTGAGGTGCTCCTTCTCCAGAATTTCACTCAATCATATCATTCTGGGGCTCCAGTACTATTTTACAAGGTGGGACATGCTGAAATAAACCCTAAAATTGTGGTTCAGAATGACCAGGCTGAGGCTGCCCTTTAAAAGGGAGAACTGCCAGGGTTGTGTATTATTATCCTTGCCATTCTGACATATCTTTTGTTATGGAGACCAGAAAAGGATCTGAGTATGTGACAGTCCTCCTCCTAGAGTTGCTACTATTTGTACATGACTCTTAAGTGTCAAGGTAGGTTGTGAGCTCTCCCTTCCTGGCACAGCCTGAGTAGGCTAGAGCTCTGTGACCCTTGATGTTTGGCTCAGGCAGTCTTCAGAGGAATTTCAAAAATTATAGGGTGTGGAGGGTAGAGAAACAGCTGATACAGATGGCAAGTTACGGGAGGCTGGAAGAGAATGGGACCTGTTTGAAACAGTACAAACCCTGCCTGGGTGTAGCTGAGGAGGCAGGAAGAGAATGGGACCAACTTGAAACAGTACAAACCCTGCCTGGGTGTAGCTGGACAGTCAAGCCAGTTCTCTGATTTGGGATTTGTGCCACGGAATTAACAGGCCCACTTTTGCTCTGGCCTGGGTGCTTAACTCTTGTTCTAGAACAAAATGTGAATTCTGGACTCTAGAATTTCTGTTTTACAGTCCAGTAGAGTGTAGAGGCCCAGGTTGGCCCACAAAAGAAGCTGTGGGTGGGCTTACCACAACTGACTGGTTGCTTCTCTGCCTACAATCAGAAGGAAGAAGAATCTTTTTTCTAAAGGCAAGCCCAGAGAGGATTCAGGCAAGCCCAGGGAAGTCTGAAACTTAAGGGAGCCTGTAAAGAAAAAGGTTCTTGCCTCAGATGAGTGCTTTTGCCCCTCTTGGCTTGTGGCTTTGGGGGCTCAATTTGCCCATCAGAATAAGGGGCAATGAAATCCCCTCAGTGAGAGGCTGCTCACCCTCCTTTTACCAAGCCACTGCGCAGTGCCCACCCTGCAGCTCCAGAAGGTGCATTGCCACCTCTCTTTCCCAGTTTCAAGTGATTCTTCTGCCTCAGCCTCCTGTGTAGCTGGGATTACACGCACCCACCCAGATAATTTTTGTATTTTTAGTACAGATGGGCTTTCAGTATGTTGGCCTGGCTGGTGTTGAACCCCTGGTCTCTGGTGATCCACCTGTCTCAGCCTCACAAAGTGCTGAGATTTCAGATGTCAGCCACTGCACCCACACCAAAGAATGTTTTGCGGAATTTTCTGAAAAGAGAATTATACATTATGTCTACAGTTAGCAACAGGCAAAGGGACAAACATAAAAAGCAGAATTTGCCCAAGATTTTTCTAAGCCAGGAGCAATAATATTTTAAATAAATGAGTTTAACACAAAGCTGAGAAAATAGATTTGCTTTCAAAATTGTTGAAGTTTTTTATTTGGTGATAAGTTATCAACACTTGTAAAATTATCTGTTGCATTCTAACATTTTTCTTTCCTTCTCAAAGTAGATACACAGCCATAAATAACTCTCATTACTTGCTATAGATCTGTTACACACCTAAAGTTTATTTTACAGTAATATATCTCTTATATTTAAATTCATGTAAACTAAAGCTAAAGGTCTTTATGTGTTTAGCAGACCAGAGAAGTCATATGTTTAATAGAAAAAAGTAGGATAAAATTTTGTAAACACTTGTTCAGAATTCAGAAGACTGTAGCTCCATTATACTCATATAATCTCCATTAGAGCCATCATAATCACCTTTAGTTACAAGAAAAACATAAATGTAAGTTGTAAAAACCATATTTTCCAAATTATTTTAAGTTAAAGACCACTGACAAAAGAATGACTACAGACGTTATTTCACTGTGACCCTATAGCAAATTGTCACCATCTGTTACTTACAGCTTTGAGTAAGATACGATAACATCAGTGGCAAGACACACATTCAATATAAAATAGCCTTAACACAATAACAACAATTCTGGTTAATTTGAAAAAAATTAAGTCCACACATTGTCATTAAAAAGGTATTTTTAAATTCACTGTATTTTAATTACCTTAATTTGCAAATGGTAAAGCAATTTTTGTTTAAAATTCAAATTGTTCCTATTACTATGCATAATATTATCCTGAGCACTTACCACACTCCTATCATCCTGTCACTATGATACTGTTATAAACCAACCAGTACTTGCCCTTTTCACTTAGAAATTTTTCATGTATATTAGATTTCAGTTTTCTTAGTCTTCCATTGCAAAATAGATAAATCTGTCCATCTAATATGGAAGAACCTCTCATAACTCTGGTGGAGCAACAATTGTCCATGTTCTTTCCCATATATTTTAGATATGAAGACATAGCAACAAATGTAAGAGTTAAATTACATCAATATTTGCTTTTGAAAAATATTAAATTATTTTAATATTAAAAACTAGGTCCCTGTTATAGGAAAGTGATCAAGACTGCTGATGAGAAGCAGCTAGTCTGTGTAGTTCTCATAGAGAGGAATGCAAGTTGTGCATAAATACATCACCTTCAACTGAAACACCCAGGTGCTTGCATTGGGAAAAATCAAACAACTTAAGTTATGGAGAATGGAATAAAGCAAGGCAGGACAGTGAACCACCTGGGAACAACATGGAACCAAGAAAACATTCCCACTCAATAAAGCAGTGGGTATAAGTGTGACCCTGGGAACCCACGATTCTCCCACAGATCTTTGCAACCCTCAGGTGAGGAGATCTATTCATGAACCTGCTTCATCAAGGCCTTCAGTTGAACACACAGAGCTACGTGGAGTCTCAGAGATCAGCTGCTGAGGCCTGTGCAGAGATTCAAGAACTTTAGGTACTCAGTTTTTCCAGGCTTCCCAGAAAAAGTAGTTGCAACTCCAGTAAAGCAGGAATCTGTACTTCTGTAAGTATTCATAGAAAAGAGGCAGAATCCATGAGGCTGACCAGTCATGGTCTTAGGTCTTAGGACCCATGCCCACAGTGCCCCACAGGGTAAGACTTATTGGCTTAGCATTCTGGTCAGCCCATTGGTAGCAGCACTGGACCTCCCTGGCATGGAGCTATCAGAAAGTCGAGTGGGACACCACCTTAGCTGCTTGGGCAACTTAGGCATTCCAGCCTTCAGGCTTTAAAAAGCCCAAGCTAACGTGGGGAATAAAGAATCTCCTAGCACAGTATAGGTGCTCTAAAAAGACATGGCCAGAATGCCTGTTAAATCAGGTACCCAATCTCATTTCTTGCAACTGGAAAGGACTTCCTAACCAGAGTGAGCAGCTACCACCACTGGTAGTAGCTGTGATCAAAGACCACGATCTTTGGTCGATGGAATTTTGAAACCTCTTTGTGATATAATTGCTAGAGGGAAGAGTGAGCAGCAATTTTTCCTATGTGTGTGACTTGGCTGTTCCAGCCTTCTGGCTTTGGAGAATCCAAATAAACTGTGGATGGAAGTGGTACCTCTGCACAGCAGAGACGTACTATGAAAATGTTGCTAGACTGCTTTCTTAAGTGGCTCCCCAATTACGTTCTCTTTACTGAGTAAGAAATTTCAACAAGGGATTCCAGCTACCTCTTACAGGTGCTATTGGGTTGGAAAGAGGTCTATACCTCCCTGGGATTGAGCACCCAGAAAAAAAAAGGCACGCTGCAATTATTTAGTTTAGCAACATTCAGTGGTGGTAACTTCAAGTACTGGAAAATCTTAGGTGACTAGGAATGGCAATGGACACCTCGCATACTGAGGCAGCCCTTCAGAAAAGTGGCCATACTGTTATGTGAGTGCCTGTTCTCATATATTCTCACTGGACAGGTTCTCCAGGCCTGGGCCACTAGCCAATCACTGCCAGAGGTATTGAGATAGTAGCAACTTAGCGACTCCCTGGACAGGGACCCCAGTAACGACTGAAAATATTTCTGCCACTGCCTCTATAGTAGAACTTTCCTTGCTACCCTTAGACTAGTGAAAAATCCAAAACCCTGAGTGTCTTATTCAAACATCAAACAAGCTTCAGTTTACCCAAGGAGAGGAGGCCAGTTCATTCACCATGGGTCCCACAAACTACCCACTGCTCCTCACCAGACAGTTGACCCCTAACTTGACCAAAATCACAGATCTTTCATCATGGGCTGACTGTACTGAGGGATTGCTGACCTACATCTCTCTTAGATGCAGCCTTCAGAAAACCAGCAAAGAGGTAGGGCAGCAAGCCAGCTTATGTGGTGACCAGAGGGTTTGGTGCAAGGGCATCTGTAGTAAGGTGTGGCCAGTGATGGCCATTTCTCTACCAGCAACTTTTTCACATAAGAGAGTTTTGCCCTAGGGAAGTGTTGGACCTAATTACTGTACTATAGCTTTGAAAATCAGAAGCTTGTCTAACTGAGCACTCCGTGGTTTACCGCCTCTCCCAGGCACCCAGATCCTTACAGGCCAGTCTCAGGCACACTGAGAGCCCATACCATACCATCTGCACTGGTAGGTCACATATAACTCCTGAAGAGCAACAGCTAGGCAGCCCCTATGACTGCAGCAGCCCACATGTTTCTTTCCCACACTGCACTTTCCCTCGAAAACATGGCAACTCCTCATATTACTTTACTGGCACATGTCTTCAAAGGCAGATTTGGCTTTGCTTGGCCCACTAGCAAACGGGAATGCAGTATGCTCCTGCCAACCCAGCAGCTGCCATTGTAGATAAAGCTTTGGTGGGCAGAGAGCCAAAAAGACTCACTGCTAACTTTATGCTAACACTGTGCAGAGAACAGTGTATCCTCCCACATTCTGAACAATCACTTCTTCTTTAGGGGGCAAAAAGAAGGCTTCAAACCTTCATTGGTCAGCATCCTACCACATGCTAACACCACATTTATTGCAACAGCACACAGTCTCCAGCAGGTGCACCTACTCCCATCCCAGCTACATTGCTCCTGCTACTGAGATGAATAAGTGAAGACAGGCAGAAACTCCATATCCACTAGCACTCTGCTGAAGCTGCAGAAACTTAGTCCAACAGGGTGGCAGACTCCAAATATCAAAGAGACAGGGAAGAGAGTTGGGGCTCAATACAATTCCCGCTGAGTATGAAGCCTCTGAGTTGTGAGCTGAGCACTTCCCCCAACCCCTCCACAAAAAATATAAAAAATAAAAATAAAAAAATAAAAACTTCTCCCAAGAACAAAGCCTGTTGGATGAAAGCACCTTATGCCACAATCAGATACTCAAGAACATCAAAATATGATTAAAAAATCTTCATTCAAAGTTCAGCAACCTCAAATATATGCCTACAAAGATGAGACAAAATCAATGCAAAACTGCTGGGGAAAAAAAAAAAAAAGCTAGAGTGACTTATTTAATCCAAATAACCAACCTACATTTCCAGCAAGACCTAAGAAGACAGAAATAGAATTCAGAATGTGAATAGAAATAAGCTTCATTGAGCTACAAAAGTAAGTTGCAAACCAATGCAAGGAAGGGAAAATTGCAGAAACTGACAGATAAAACAAACAATCTGGAGGAAAATGTGGCCAGTGTGATAAAGCTGAAAAACAGAATACAAAACTTTATAATTTATTCACACATATTACTGCAGAATTGGCTAAGCAGAAGAAAGAATTTCAGAGTTTCAAGACTGGCTTTCTGAAATAATAGAGACAAGAATAGTAAAAAAAGAATAAATAGAAATGAACAAAACCTCTGAGAAATATTTAATTATGTAAAGTAACCAAATACATGATTAAAGAGAGTGCCTGAAAGTGATGGGGGGAATGAAAACAACTTGAAATACATATTTTGGAATATCATCCATGATAACTTCCCCACCTAGACAGTGAGGCAAACATTGAAATACATCAAGATAATATGGATCAATCAAACATAAAAAGGAATATACAGAAAACAATTATTTAAAGATGGAGTTTTAAAAATTAGCTGTGATAATTTGAATTGAAGTCTAGATCTATATTTAAAAGAAAAAAATTACCCTAAAAATCAATATTACCATCTGAAAGAGAAAATGAGAATAAAGATAAAAAATGAAATAACAAAAAGGAATTCACCAAAGATAAAGATCACAAAAAGAAATAAAAATTGTAGAGTAGAAGTACCAAAAAAAAACTAACATGGACTTCAACATTAGTAAAAAATATAAGAAATCAAGAAGCTCAGCAAATAACAATGAAGATTAACACAAAAATATTTCTAATAAGACACAACATAAACAATATTTTGAAATTCACAGACAAGAAGAGAATCTGGAATGCAAGAAGATAAAAGAGATGTGTTATTTGTATGCATGCTTCTGCAAGATTACAAGTAAATTTATGAACATAAATTTTTTGGGCAAGATGGGAGCAGGATGACATAGTTAAAACACTGAAAAAAAGAGTCTAAGCAAGAATACCACACCCAGCAAAAGTAACCTTCAAAACGAAAAAAAAAAAAAAAATTCTCACTATATCATGATGTATATTAAGATCAACTATGTCATGTCTTCAAGAGAATCACTTCAGATCTAATTTAAAAAAAGACAGAAAATGACAGGATGAGAAATACATTCCATGTAAGTGTTAACCCAATGAGTGGAAAAGAGGAAACAAGTTATTAAGTTGAAAACTCTGATATTTCATAAAATTTACTTTTTTTAATACCTGAAGTTCTAGGGTACATGTGCGCAACGTGCAAGTTTGGTAGGTATGTATACATGTGCCATGTTGGTGTGCTGCACCCATTAACTCATCATTTACATTAGGAATATCTCCCAATTCTATCCCTCCCCCTATCTCCAATCCCACGACAGGCCCTGGTGTGTGATGTTCCCCATCCTGTGTCCAAGTGTTCTCATTGTTCAATTCCCACCTATGAGTGAGAGCATGTGGTGTTTGTTTTTTTTGTCCTTGCAATAGTTTGCTGAGAATAATGGTTTCCAGCTTCATCCATGTCCCTACAAAGGACACGAATGCATCCTTTTTTATGGCTGCATAGTATTCCATGGTGTATATGTGCCACATTTTCTTAATCCAGTCTATCATTGTTGGACATTTGGGTTGGTTCCAAGTCTTTGCTATTGTGAATAGTTCCACAATAAACATACGTGTGCATGTGTCTTTATAGCAGCATGATTTATACTTCTTTGGGTATATACCCGGTAATGGCATGGCTGGGTCAAATGATATTTCTAGTTCTAGATCCTTGAGGAATCACCACACTGTCTTCCGCAATGGTTGAACGAGTTTACAGTCCCATCAAGAGTGTAAAAGTGTTCCTATTTCTCCACATCCTCTCCAACACATGCAGTTTCCTGACTTTTTAATGATCACCATTCTAACTGGTGTGACATGGTATCTCATTGTGGTTTTGATTTGCATTTCTTTTTTGGCCATGATGATGAGCATTTTTTCATGTGTCTGTTGGCTGCATAAATGTCTTCTTTTGAGAAGTGTCTGTTCATATACTTCACCCACTTTTTGATGAGGTCGTTTGTTTTTGCTTTTACCTTTGTTTGAGTTCTTTGTAGAGTCTGGATATTAGCCCTTTGTCAGATGAGTAGATTGCAAAAAATTTCTCCCCTTCTGTAGGTTGCCCGTTCACTGTGATGGTAGTTTCTTTTGCTGTGTAGAGGCTCTTTAGTTTGATTAGATCCCATGTGTCAATTTTGGCTTTTGTTGCCATTGCTTTTGGTGTTTTAGACATGAAGTCCTTACCCATGTCTGTGTCCTGAATGGTACTGCCTAGGTTTTCTTCTAGGGTTTTTATGGTGTTAGGTAGAACATTTAAGTCTTTAATCCATCTTGAATTGATTTTTGTATAAGCTGTAATGAAGAGATCCAGTTTCAGCTTTCTACATATGGCTAGCCAGTTTTCCCAGCACCATTTATTAAATAGAGAATGCTTTCCCCATTTCTTGTTTTTGTCAGGTTTGTCAAAGATCAATTGGCTGTAGTTGTGTGGTATCATTTCTGAAGGCTCTGTTCCATTCCATTGGTCTATATCTCTATTTAGGTACCAGTACCATGCTGTTTTGGTGACTGTAGCCTTGTAGTATAGTTTGAAGTCAGGTAGTGTGATGCCCCCAGCTCTGTTCTTTTGGCTTAGGATCGTTTGGCAATGCAGTCTCTTTTTTGGTTCCATATGATCTTTAAAGTAATTTTTTCCAATTCTGTGAAGAAAGCCATTGGTAGCTTGATGGCGATGGCATTGAATCTATAAATTACCTTGGGCAGTATGGTCATTTTCACGATATTGATTCTTCCTATCCATGAGCATGGAATGTTCTTCCATTTGTTTGTGTCCTCTTTTATTTTAATGAGCAGTGATTTGAGCTCCTTGAAGAGGTCCTTCACATCTCTTGTAAGTTGGATTCCTAGGTATTTTCTTCTTTTTCAAGCAATTGCGAATGGGAGTTCACTCTTGATTTGGCTCTCTGTTTGTCTGTTATTGGTGTATAAGAATGCTTGTGATTTTTGTACATTGATTTTGCATCCTGAGACTTTGTGGAAGTTGCTTATCAGCTTAAGGAGATTTTGGGCTGAGACAATGGGGTTTTCTGAATATAGAATCATATCATCTGCAAACAGGGACAATTTGACTTCCTCTTTTACTAATTGAATTCCATTAATTTCTTTCTCCTGCCTGATTGCCCTGGCCAGAACTTCCAACACTATGTTGAACAGGAGTGGTGAGAGAGACCATCCCTGACTTGTGCCAGTTTTCAAAGGGAATGCTTCCAGTTTTTGCACATTCAGTATGATATTGGCTGTGGGTTGGTCATAAATAGCTCTTATTATTTTGAGGTACGTCCCATCAATACCTAATTTATTGAGAGTTTTTAGCATGAAGGGCTGCTGAATTTTGTCAAAGGCCTTTTCTGCACCTATTGAGATAATCATGTGGTTTTTGTCTTTGGTTCTGTTTATATGTTGTATTACGTTTATTGGTTTGCATATGTTGAACAAGACTTGCATCCCCTGGATGAAGCCAACTTGATCGTGGTGGATAAGCTTTCTGATGTGCTGCTAAACTCGGTTCACCAGTATTTTACTGAGGATTTTTCCATTGATGTTCATCAGGGATATTGGTCTAAAATTCTCTTTTTTGTTCTGTCTCTGGCTGGCTTTGGTATCAGGATGTTGTTGGCTTCATAAAATGAATTAGGGAGGATTCCCTCTTTTTCTAATGATTGGAGTAGTTTCAGAAGGAATGGTGCCAGCTCCTCCTTGTACCTCTGGCAGAATTCGGCTGTGAATCTGTCTCGTCCTTGACTTTTTTTTGTTCATAGGGATTAATTATTGTCTCAAATTCAGAGTCTGTTATTGGTCTATTCAGGGATTCAACTTCTTCTTGGTTTAGTCTTGGGAGGGTGTATTTGTCAAGGAATTTATCCATTTCTTCTAGATTTCCTAATTTATTTGCATAGAGGTGTTTCTAGTATTCTCTGAGGGTAGTTACCATTTCTGTGGGATCGGTTGTGATATCCCCTATATAACTTTTTATTGTGTCTCTTTGATTCTTCTCTCTTTTCTTCTTTAGTAGTCTTGCTTAGCAGTCTATCAATTTTGGTGATATTTTCAAAGAACCAGCTCCCAGATTCACTGATTTTTTGAAGTGTTTTTTGTGTCTCTGTCTCCTTCAGTTCTGCTCTGATCTTAGGTATTTCTTGCCTTCTGCTAGCTTTTAAATGTGTTTGCTCTTGTTTCTCTAGTTCTGTTAATAGTGATGTTAGGGTGTCAGCTTTAGATCTTTCATGATTTCTTATGGGCATTTAGTGCTATAAATTTCCCTCTACACACTGCTTTAAATGTATCCCAGAGATTCTGATATGTTGTGTCTTTGTTCTCATTGGTTTCAAAGAACATCTTTATTTCTGCCTTCATTTTCTTATGTACACAGTAGTCATTCAGGAGCAGGTTGTTCAGTTCCCATGTAGTTGAGCAGTTTTGAGTGAGTTTCTTAATCCGGAGTTTTAGTTTGATCGCCCTATGGTCTGAGAGACAGTTTTTTATAATTTCTGCTCTTCTACATTTGCCGAGGTGTGCTTTACTTCCAACTATGTGGTCAATTATGGAATAAGTGTGATGTGGTGCTGAAAAGAACATATATCTGTTGATTTGGGGTGGAGAGTTCTGTAGATGTCTATTAGGTCCGCTTGGTGCAGAGCTGAGTTCTATTACTGGATATCCTTTTTAACTTTCTGTCTCATTAATCTGTCTAATGTTGATGGTGGGGTGTTAAAAAGTCTCCCATTATTATTGTGTAGTAGTTTAAGCCTCTGTGTAGGTCTCTAACGCCTTGC
The DNA here is from genome assembly GCF_000001405.40 of Homo sapiens. Classification (NCBI taxonomy): domain Eukaryota; kingdom Metazoa; phylum Chordata; class Mammalia; order Primates; family Hominidae; genus Homo; species Homo sapiens. The sequence continues at coordinate 25,114,077 of NC_000024.10, forward strand.
TTTATAAATCTGGGTGCTCCTGTATTGGGTGCATATATATTTAGGATAGTTAATTCTTCTCATTGAATTCATCCCTTTGCCATTATGCAACAGCCTTCTTTGTCTCCTTTGATCTTTGTTGTTTTAAGGTCTGTGTTATCAGAAATCAGGATTGCAACCCTTCCACCCCCCTTTTTTTCTATTTGCTTGGTAGATCTTCTTCCATCCATCTATGTTGAGTCTACGTGTGTCTCTGCACGTGAGATGAGTCTCCTAAATACAGCACACTGATGGGTCTTGACTCTTTATCCAATTTGCCAGTCTCTGTCTTTAATTCGAGCATTTAACCCATTTGTACTTAAGGTTGATATTGTTATGCTCGAATTTGATCCCGTCATTATGATGTTAGCTGGTTATTTTGCTCATTAGTTGATGCAGTTTCTTCCTATCATCGAAGGTCTTTAAAATTTGGCATGTTTTTGCAGTGGCTGGTACCAGTTGTTCCTTTCCATGTTTAGTGCTTCCTTCAAGAGCTCTTGTAAGGCAGGCCTGGTGGTGACAAAATCTCTCAGCATTTGCTTGTCTCTAAAGGATTTTATTTCTCTTTCACTTATGAAGCTTAATTTGACTGGATATGAAATTCTGGGTTGAAAATTCTTTTCTTTAAGAATGTTGAATATTGGCTCCCACTGTCTTCTGGCTTATAGAGTTTCTGCTGAGAGATCAGCTGTTAGCTTGATGGGCTTCCCTTTGTGGGTAACCCGACATTTGTCTCTGGCTGCCCTTAATATTTTTTCCTTCATTTCAACTTTGGCGAATCTGACAATTATGTGTCTTGGAGTTGGTCTTCTCAAGGTGTATCTTTGTGGCGTTCTCTGTATTTCCTGAATTTGAATGTTGGCCTGCCTTGCTAGGTTGGGGAAGTTCTCCTGGATAATATCCTGCAGAGTGTTTTCCAACTTGGTTCCCTTCTCCCCAATCAGACGTAGATTTGGTCTTTTCACATAGTCCCATCCTTCTTGGAGGCTTTGTTCATTTCTTCTTACTCTTTTTTCTCTAAACTTTTCTTTGCACTTCATTTCATTCATCTGATCTTCAATCACTGATACCCTGTCTTCCAGTTGATTGAACCAGTTACTGAAGCTTCTGCATTCATTGTGTAGTTCTTGTGCTATGGTTTTCAGCTCCATCAGGTCATTTGAGGACTTCTCTACACTGGTTATTCTAGTTAGCCATTTGTCTTATCTTTTTTCAAGGTTTTTTAGTTTCTTTGTGGAGGGTTCAAACATCCTCCTTTAGCTTGGAGAAGTCTGAAGCCTTCTTCTCTCAACTCACCAAAGTCATTCTCCATCCAGCTTTGTTCCATTGCTGGTGAGGAGCTGCATTCCTTTGTAGGGGGAGAGGTGCTCTGATTTTTAGAATTTTCAGCTTTTCTGCTCTGTTTTTTCCCCATCTTTGTGGTTTTATCTACCTTTGGTCTTTGATCATGGTGACGTACAGATGGGGTTTTTGTGTGGATGTTCTTTCTGTTTGTTAGTTTTCCTTCTAACAGTCAGGATCCTCAAGTCTGTTGGTATTTGCTGGAGGTCCATTCCAGACCGTGTTTTCCTGGGTATCAGCAGTGGAGGTGACAGAACAGCAAATATTGCTGAACAGCAAATATTGTTGCCTGATCGTTCCTCTGGAAGCTTCATTTCAAAGGGATACCCGGCCATGTGAGGTGTCAGTCTGTCCCTGCTGCAGTCTGTCCCTGCTGGGGGGTACCTCCCTGTTGGGCTAGTTGGGGGTCAGGGCCTCACTTGAGGAGGCAGTCTGTCCTTTCTCAGATCTCAAACTCTTTGTTGGGAGAGCCACTACTCTCTTCAAAGCTGTCAGATGGGAACTTTTAAGTCTGCAGAGGTTTCTGCTGCCTGTTGTTCAGCTATGCCCTGCACCCAGAGGTGGAGTCTACACAGGCAGGCAGGCCTCCTTGAGCTGTGGTGGGCTTCACCCAGTTCAACCTTCTGTGCCACTTTGTTTACCTACTCAAGCCTCAGCAATGGCGGATCCCCCTCCCCCAGCCTTGCTGCCACCTTGCAGTTTGATCTTAGACTGCTGTGCTAGCAACGAGTGAGGCTTCATGGGTGTGGAACCCTCCAAGCCATGCGTGGGATATAATCTCCTGGTGTGCCATTTGCTAAGACCATTGGAAAAGTGCAGTATTAGGCTGGGAGTGACCCGATTTTCCAGGTGATGTCTGTCATAGCTTCCCTTGGCTAGGAAAGGGAATTCCCTGATCCCTTGCACTTCCTGGGTGAGGTAATGCCTCGCCCTGCTTTGGCTCATGCTCAGTGACCTGTGCCCACTGTCCTGCACCCACTGTCTGACAAGCCCCAGTGAGATGAACCTGGTACCTCAGTTGGAAATGCAGAAATCAGCCATCTTTGTCATCACTCATGTGAGAGCTGTAGACTGGAGCTGTTCCTATTCGGCCACTTGGAACCGCCCCAAATTTTCTTTAAGACAATTTACAAGAGACCAAGTAGGACATTCAATTCTAGTAAGAGAGATCATTCACTGAGAATCTATAAATATATGAAAGTTTTCTCAAACACATTAAGTAAACATTGACAAAATTGAAGCCAAAATTGACAGCAATATAATAATGGAAGGGTACATCAATATCCCGCTTTTAGGAATAAATAAAACAAGACAGAATATCAATAAGGGAAGGAACAAGTTGAATGCACTATGCAATAATTACACCTAACAAATATATATAGAAAACTGAACACACATTCTTTTCAATAGCTAACAAATCATTTTGTGAGGTGGACCACGTGTGACACCACAAAAGACTTCATAATTTTTTAAATTAAAATTTTACAAGTATTTATAGTGCAAATGCAATAAAACTAGAAATTCGTAACAGAGAAAAGTTTGTGTGTGTGTGTGTGTGTGTGTGTGTGTGTGTGTGTGTGTGTTTGTTTTTGAGATGGAGTATCACTCTGTCCCTAGGCTGGAGGGCATTGACACAATCTCAGCTAACTGCAACCTCTAACTCCCGGGTTCAGTCAGTTCCCCAGCCTCACCCTTTTGAGTAGCTGGGATTAAAGGCATGCAAACCACCGTGTTTCCTGAGTAGCTGAGAATACAGTCACACAACCATAAAGTACAAATATTTTTTATAGTTTAGTAGAGACAGGGTTTCACCATGTTGTCCAGGATGGTCTCAATATCCTGAAGTCTCCATACACCCTCCTCAGCATCCCAAAGTGCTGAGAGTACAGGCATGAGTCACCACACCTGGCCAACAACACATTTTGAGCATGCTCTTCTTAAGAGTTGGAAGACATAATATTGTGATGTGTCCATGCTTCTTCGTGGCTTAATGTAACCCACATATAAAACATGACCCTTTTCAGTTTTAAATTTGAGTTTTCCAAAAATAGAAAAAAATTCACAAAATTATGTAAGATCTTAAGGGACCACGGAAAGCCTGACAAACTTTAAAAAGAAGAAAAATATTAGAAGCATTACACATAATAATTTCCAAACACACACATACAAAAATCTAGAGTAATCAAAGCACTTTGGCACTGGTAGAATAAAGGTAGAATACGAAGTAATGAAATAGAATGCAGCACAAACATATACTCTTGCATAGAGAGGAGAGATATGTCACCTAGCTTTTACATTCAGCCGTATGTCACAATTCTTTTGGGCTGAGGATGCAGGCAAGAGAGGAGGGTTACATTACTTGGACATTAGTTTCAGTGGTATTTCAAAATGTTCTCTGGGGGCAGGGCACAGGCAGGAGAGACAAACCACGCATCTGATAGACCCAGATAGTTGTGATTATATCCCCTGTTACCAGGGCCCAGGCAGAAGAGGCACATTATTATGATTCTGACCTAGCGATATGTAACAATGCACCCATGGAAAGTAATTTGAGGCAAAAAGTCTCAATACCACGATACTAGGCCAGTGATATGACACCATCCCTTCATCTTTGAGGATGACTTTAACCTTTAGCTGAGCATGTATATTAGAGTCACAATCTCACGTGTGTGCTGGACCAATGTATTACACTCTCAAAAACATCTAAGGGCTTTATAAAACCCGTGTGAGAGTTTCAAACCTCTCTGAGGCCTATTTGCTCATATGGACTCACGGTCTTACCTATCATCCTAAACTGAGTTATGATGCTCAACATCTCTCCTATAGGCAGTGTTAAAAGAGAAGATCCATTTTATTTTATTTATTTTAATTTATTTTTTATTATTTATTTATTTTTTTCTGAGATGGATTCTCACTCTGTCACCAAGGCTGGAGTGCAGTGGTGCCATCTCAGTTCACTGCAACCTCTGCCTTCTGGGATCAAGGGATTCTCCTGCCTCAGCCTCCCAGATGGCTGGGACTAGGGGTGTGTGCCACGATGCCCAGCTAATTTTTTGTATTTTTAGTAGAAATGGGGTTTCACCGTATTAGACAGGATGGTTTCGATCTCCTCACCTCATGATCCACCTGCCTCAGCCTCCCAAAGTGCTGGGGTTACAGTCATGAGCCACCGCACCCAGCCAGGAACACCTATTATTATGCCTGTGGGCTCGGTTCAGAAATAAGTCACCATCCCATCTGTGTCCAGATCCAAATAAAAAAAAAAAAGGTCCAATTTCAAATTTGTGATGTATTCCCTCATTAGACTCAGAACTTCTACAGTGGGCATTATAAATGTGGGATGGTGACAACTTTTAATTTCATCTGGGTGTGTAAATGAGAGTCCCATTCTGAACTTTTTGCCAGGCTCTGTTATAAAGCTCTCTACCAGCAGAGTTTATACAATATAAGTTAGTGTTGTAGACTTCTGTGAGCTTGGAAAAATATGCAACCCAGGACCTTACTTATTGCCCTAAGCCTAACACTGAGAGGCAAAAGATTTTTTAATTGGCTGAATCCAAATATAAGTTTAATCATTATGCCTGTGAACTGAAGAAAGGCATATGTCATAATCCCATATATGAGCAAAAAACTAGGCAGAAGGGTAACATCACTTAGACGCTTTGCCAGGCAATATGTAACAATGCTTTTTCCATGTCTGGTATAAGAAATTGGGTCAAATTAACTGGGTGCTGGACCCATCATTATGACACCATCCCACATGCAGAAAAAACCCAGTCAAGTTATGAGAGCCAAAACACCTAGATAATGGACTTAAGATATGTCAAAATACCTTCATTGGCTCAAGAACGGGCAGGAGAGTCACATCATAAGGGTGCTTGGCCCAGCAATATGCCATATGTCATAATTTTCTCTCTATGCAGAACCAAGGTTGTAGAGTGACATCATCTGGGCTATGGACCCTGGAATAGGTCAAAATTTCATTTATTGTGGCATAATTCAGGAAAAAAGGGAGAGTCACATATTGTGAGTGCTGGGCTTAGTAATGTGCCCAAATCCTCCTACTGTGAATGCCCAGGCAGAAAAAGAGTCACATCACTTAGGTCATGGGCTCAGAGATATGTCACAATGTCCCCAGGATGCAGGACTCAGGCAGATGACAAGAGCCGTATCACTTATGTTCTTTCCATGGAATATGTCACAGGTAATATGTGGTCAGAAAGCAGGCAGAATAGCCACATCACTTGGGTGCTGGGTCCTGAGATATAGCACAAGGCTCTCTTAAAACAGCCCCCAGCAGAGAGAGCTACATCACCTAGGTGCAGTTTCTCTGCTTATGCCACAATGTTCCATGTGGGTAGGGCCCAAAAAAGGAGTCACTTCACCTAGGAGATAGGTCCAGAGATATATCACAATGTCCTCTATGAAGCATAGCCCTGGCAAAAGAGTACTACTACTTATGTGCATGGCCAAGAAATATTTCACCTCGAGGTTGGCAGGTCCCAAGCAGGAGAGCCACATCTCCTAGGTGATAGGTCCAGAGTTATGTCAAAATGCCCTCCTTTGGGCAAGGCTCTGCCAAAAGAGTATCCTTGCCTGTGGGCCTGGCCTTGCAATATGTCACTATCCTTCCTTTGTGCACGGCCCATTCCAGAGAAAGGAGTTACATCACCTATGAGGTGGACACAGAAATATGTCACTATAATTTGGGTGGGCATGGCACAGGCAAGAATGTAACATTACTTGGGTGCTAGATCCAGTGATATATCACAATCCTTACTGAGAGAGGGGCCTGTGAAGGAGAGTCATATCACTTAGAGTTTGGCCTAAGTAGATATCAGAATCCCATATATGGACTAGGACCACCCTGGAGACTCAAATTACACAGGAGCTTGGCAAAAATTTATATCAAAATCACATTTTCAGAAAATTCCAAAGGTGAGATTTACAATACCACACATCTTGCTTTTATGTGTGACAACTGGCTTAATCCTTGTGAAATAATGACAGTCCTTACACACGGCTCGGTGTGTATACAGGACTCACAATTTCACCTGTGTGCCAAGCCCTGCTTTGATGCTGTCTGTATAAACTAAAGACCTTGTAAAATATGTGGAGTGTTGTAATCTCTTGTGATCTTTGCAGAAAAAGGAGATCCAAGACATCACGCATGTCCCTAAAGTTAGTTATGAGTCAAAATATTTTCTATTGGCTGAGCCCACATATGAGAGTCATAATTCCTGTGAGCCATGCCTAGTATATGCTACAATTCCCTCTGTGGTTATGAAGCAGGCAGAACAGCCACATCACCTAAATACTGGGCTAGAAATATTTCAATATTCTCTTAATAGGCAGGGTACTGTCAGAAATTTTACATAACTTGTGTTCTAGGTTCAGCTATGTGGTACAATGTCATTTGTAGCAGTATCGAGGCAGGAGGGGAGAGTTATATGACCTAAATCGTGGGCCCAAATATATGTCACAGTGCCTCATTTTGGCAGGGCCCAAGCAAGAAATTCATATCATTTGGATACAGTGTTTAGAAAAGCTACAATTACCAAAGGAAGCAGGGTCCAGGCAGGAAAGGAGAGGCATGTAAGCTATAATATGTGTCCAGAAATATGTTAACAATTCCCCCCTGCGGACACTGTTAAGATAACACAAGCAATCATTAATATGTGCGGCACAGTTATTTGTCAAAATCTCATTTATGGGCTATACAGAGGCAGAAATACTAAGTCAGTCAGCAGCTGGGCAAAAGTACTTGTCACAATTACCAGGCATATGAGTTGTTATTAGACTTTTGTAATTTTCTCTGGTATATTGCATAATATCAACTGTGGCCATAGAGAAGGCAAGAAAGTCACGTCACCTATGTGGAGGTGGCACCAGTGAGATGTCACAATCCACCTTCTGGGCAGGACCCTGGCAGAAAAGCCACATCACCTTTATGCTGACTGCAGTGACATATCCAAATCCCGTCTGTGGGCAGGACTGTAGCAAGAGAGGACACTCATTTGACCTAAGGAATTTATCTAGATATGTCTCACAATGTCTTTGATGTGCAGTACCAATGTTAGAGAGTGCCTTCACATTGTTTCTGGGTCCAGCAACAGGCCACAATCTCCGTGTGGTCAGGGCCTAAGCAAAAGTGAAGAAACATCACCTACATGCTGAGCCAAGTGATGTGTTACATCACTTCCTGTTGGCAGAACCCAAAAAGGAGAATCACATCACCTGTGTGCAGTACCCACTTCTGTGTCACAGTGCACTGTAAATGAAGGACCCAGGCAGCAGAAGGGATTCACATCACTTCCATGATGGGCTCAGATATGGCCCAATGTCACAAGTAGCCAAGGCTCAGGCAGAAAGAGAGAGTCATATTACATAGGTGCTTCTTTTTGCATATATCACAAATTAATATGTGGGCAGAAACCAGGCTAAAGAGCCACATCATCTGGTCCTGGGCCCTGACATGTTCATAAGTCCCCCTTAGAACAGGACCCAGACAAGAGAGTTATATCACCTAGGTGCAGATTCCACCCTTATATCACAAAGATCCATGTGGACAAGGCAAAGCAAGAAGTCATATAATCTAGGTGATAGGCTCAGAGATATGTCATAAAGCCTTCTTTAAAGCATGGCCCTGGCAAAAGAGTACAATCACTTTTGTGCCTGGCCTGGCAATGTGTCACTATTCAAGTGGGCAGGTCCCAAGCAGAAGAGCCATATCACCTACATGATAGGCCTATGATATGTCAAAATGCCCTCTTGTTACATGACCCTGGCATCCTCTTCTAAGTGATGGACACAGTGAAATGTCACAATGATGTTGAGGGAAATCAGGGACCCCGAACAGAGGGACTGGCTGAAGCCATGGCAGAAGAACATAAATTGTGAAGATTTCATGGACATTTATTACTTCCCCAATCAATACTTTTACAATTTCCTATGCCTGCCTTTACTTTAATCTCTTAATCCCATCATCTTCATAAGCTGAGGATGTATGTCACCTTAGGACCCTGTGATGATTGCATTACCTGCACAAAATGTTTGTAGGGCAGGTGTGTTTGAACAATATGAAATCTGGGCACCTTAAGAACAGGGTAACAGCGATTTTCAGGGAACAAGGGAGATAACCTTAAAGTCTGGCGGCCTGTGGGCTGGGCAGGACAGAGCCATATTTCTCTTATTACTGAAAACGGGTAAGATAAATACCGCTGAATTCTTTCCCCAGTAAGGAATATTAATAATTAACAGCCCTGGGAAAAGAATGCATTCCCAGGGGGGAACATCTAAAATGGACACCCTAGGAGTGTCTGCCTTATGCAGATATAGATAGGGATGAAATACACCCTAGTCTCCAGCAGCATCCCCAGGCGTGCTAGGATTAGGACATGCCAGCCTGGCAAAATCTAGTCAGACCGGTTCTCTGCCCTTGAACCCTGTTAAGATGACAATGCGTGCACAGCTGGACATGGACGTTCATTAGTGATTCTAATGTTGCCCTGATCTCATGATCTCACCCCGACCTTCTGCCTTGTGATCTTTTGTTGACCTTGAAGCATGTGATCTCTGTGACCCACACCCTATTCATACACTCCCTCCCCTTTGAAAATTGCTAATAAAACCTTGCTGGTTTTATGGCTCAGGGGGCATCAGGGAACCTGCCGACGTCTGATGTCTCCCCCGGATACCCAGCTTTAAAATTTGTCTCTTTTGTACTCTTTCCCTTTATTTGTCAGACCAGCCAACACTTAGGGAAATAGAAAAGAACCTACGTGAAATAACATTGAATTATCGGGGGTGGGCATAGTGCAGCAAGAATGTAACATCACCTGGGTGCTGGATCCAGTGATGTCACAATTCTTATTGAGAGCACAGCCCAGGCGGAAGTGTCACATCACTTGAAAATTGGCCCAGGTAGATATCAAAATTCCATATATAGGCTGGACCCAATCTGAAGAGTGAAATTACACAGGTGCTTGGGAAAGATTTATATCACATTCACAATGGAATTAAATTCTAGGAATTAGATTTACAATGCCACACATGTCCTCTTTTTATGTAGGATAGTTGCTTTCATTCATCTTTGATGTTGAAAGCCCTTACTGTTATTTGGGTGTGCATATGAGACTCATAGTTTTCTCTGTCTGCTAGGCATTATTATGACACTCTATATAACCCAAGGTTGTTATAAATTATGTGTGTTTGTTATGATTTTCTGTGAGCTTTTTACCAGATGAAGGTCCTTAACATCACTCATGTCTCAAAATCTTGTGACAAAAGTCAAAATTTACCTTATTGCCTGGGTTCCCATATTAGAGTCATTATCATGCCTGTTAGCTGTACCTAGGTAAATGTCATCATTACCTCTGTGGTTATTAAACAGACAGGACAGTCACATCACCTAAATTTTAAGTCAGAATTATTCCAATATTCTCTTTGAAGGCAAGACACTAACAGAAAATTCACAAAACTTGGGTTTTAAGCAAAGCCCTATGGCATAATACCCCTTGTGGAGAATGCCCAGGAAGGAGAGTAGAGTCATGTCACCTAAATCATGGCCCCAGAGATATGTCACAATGCCTCCTGTTGAAAAGGGCCCATGCAATAGAATTGTGTCATTTGGATCCAGTGCATAGAAATGCTAAAATCTTCACTAGAATCAGGATTCAGGCAGGAGAGGAGAGACACACAACCTAGAGGATGAATCCAGCAATATGTTATGATCCCTTCTGAGGACACTGTTAAAACATGAGAGTCAAATCATCACGCTTTTGTCCAGGTATATGTCAAAATGTCATCTGTTAGCTATAACTGAGTAGGATTATTAAATCACTCAGGAGATTGGCAAAGGAAAGTGTCACAATAACACCTATAAAAAGTTTCAGGCTCCAGGTGCAATGGTCGTTATTAGGCCTTTGATCTGCTCTCACATATATGACACAATATAACCTGTGAACATGGAGAAAAAAGGAAATTCTCATCACCTGAGTGGATGCTTGTCTAGTTGAATGTCACAATCCTTGCTGTGTACAGGCCTCTAGAAGAAGAGTCACTTAACCCGGATGTTGGTTTCAGTGATATATCTAAAACCCCCTGTGGGCAGGGCTTAGGCAGGAGAGGACACAAACCTCACCTAGGCAATTGGCTTGGGTATATGTCACAATGGCCCCTATGTTTATGACCAAGGCAGGAGAGTGAACTCACCTTGTGCTGGTTTCACCTATATGTCACCATCTCTCTGGTGGTCAGGGCTCAGTCAAGAGAGAAGAAACATCACCTAGGTGCTGAGCCAAGTGATATATTATACAGTTTTTATATTGGTAGAATCTACCCCCTCCAAACAAAGGGTCCCATCACATGGGTGCAGTACCCAGTTATGTGTAACAATGCACTAGAAGTGCAAGGCCAAGGCAGTAGAAGGAAGTCACATCACTTATATGATGGACCTTGATGAAAGCCACAGTGCTCTTTGTAGGCAAGCTTCCGGCCAAGGTTTTGCATCAGCTGGGTGCTTCTTTCAGGGATATGTAAAGATGTCCTTGGTCCCTCTGCCAAAGAAGATATCATATATTGCTTAGGTGCTTAGCACACATATGTCACAATCCGAACTGTGCTGTGGGCCTAGAAAGGAGATTCAAAACAGTCAGATACTGGGCAAAGTCATACTTCTAAAGCACACACTCGAAAATGTTCAGAAATACATTTCATAGTCCCACACAAGTCCTGCCTTCGGGTGTAAGAGTCAACATCTCCTGTGAGTTGGGTCGAAGTACAGACATCAGAGTCTCAACAATGGGCAAGATGCATGTATAAGAGCCCCAATCCCACTTGAAGATTGTGCTCCACTAGTAGATTCAAAGCACCACAGGCTTGCTGAATCATCGTTCAAATGCCACCAAACCAACTGCGGATCAGATTCATGTATGAGAGTTACAATTTTAAGATTTCAACTGCTTATGTGTGTGAAATTTAGTACCTCATTTGTAGGCTCTGTTTATGTATGAGAATGAAAATCGTGTCAGCTGGGTGTGCATCCAAGACTCAAAATAGCACCTGGTTGTTGGTGCCTGTTATGAAACTCTTTGTACCACTCATGATTTATGTGATATACCTGAGTAGCACAGTTTTCTCTGAATTGTTACAGGTGGGAGGTCTCAGAATTTATCCATGGCCATAAGACTGGCAACGAGAACCAAAATATCTCCCTTGGCTGCGTCAACGTTTGAAAGTTTTTGTTACACATATGAACTGATTTCATGAGTAAGTCCCAATTTTATGTTTGGGCAGAGACAAGACAGTAGAATCACATCATCTGGGTCCTTAGCCAGGCATACCTTATAATCTCCTCTGTAGGCACAACCCAGACCGGAGGCTTATATCACTTGGGTACAATCTCAAATAATATGTCATCATGCCCACTGTATACATGGTTGAAAAAATAGTGGATAGTCACACCTCCAGGTGCCATGTTCAACAACATATTAAAATTCCCTCTCTTGACAGAGTACATAACAAAGGGTACTGTCACATCATCTAGGTTTTATACTCAGTGGTATGTCACAATTTCTTCAGTGGGCAGGATCCAGGCAGCAGAGGAGATTCGCTTTATCTAGATGTTGTATCTAGCAATATGTCACAGTGTCCCCTGTGGGCAGGGCACTGGGAGGAGAGACACATCACCTACCTGATAGACCCAGAGATATGTGATAATATCCCCTGGTGCCAGGGTCCAAGCGGAAGAGTCACCTTTTCATCATTTTAACCCAGTGATGTGTCACAATGCACCCATGGTAAAGAATTTAAGCCGAAAATTCTCAACACCTAGGAGTACTGGGCCTAGAGATATGACACAATCTCTTCATCTTTTAGGGTGACACCTTTAAGGGCTAGCTTGGTGTGTATGTGAGAGTCACAATCTCATGTGTTTTCTAGATCATCGTATGACACATTCTGCAGCATCCGAAGGCTTTATGCAACATGCATAAGAGTAGCAACCTACTCTAAGGCATACATGCTCGTATTGACTCATAATCTTATATACTGCTTTAAACCCAGTTATGATAGTCAGCATCTCTCTTATAGACTGGGTTCAGATGGGAGACTGATTATTATGCCTGTGATCTGGGTCCAGAAATGAGCCACCATCTCATCTGTAGCAAGATCCATATATGAAAGTCAAAATTCCATCTTTGTTCTTTATTTACTTGTTATACTCAGTACTTTGACAGTGGCCTCTGTAAATGTGGGATGGTGATAACTTTTGCTCTCACCTGCATGTGAAACCAAGAATCATGATCTTAACCTTTTGCTGGGCCTTGTCCTAATAAGTTTATAGAATATGAGTTAGTGTTGTAACATTCTGTGAGTTTTGTACAAATATGCAACTCATAACCTTACCTATTGCCATAAGCATAGTGATGAGAGGCAACATATCTATTATTGGTGTAATCCCAATTAAAATTTGACCATCATCCCTCTGAATAGAAGGAATGTAAATTTAATAATCCAATTTGTAGGAAAAAACTTGACAAGAAGGTAGCACAATTTAGGTATTGTGCCAAGCAATGTGTCACAATGCCCTCTCTAGGCAGGGTGTAGAAATGGGGGTTACATTAACTGGGTGCTAGACCCAGCAATATAACACAATCCCGAATATGGAAGAAAAACAGATAAATCATGAGAGCAAACACACCTACAACATGGGACCAAGATATGCTAAAATACTTTCTGTTGCTGTGGCACAGGCAGGAACTTACATCATCGGGGTTGGGGGCCCAACTGTATGCCATAATTCTCTGTGAAGGACCAAGGCAGCAGAGGAACATCATCTGGGTGCTGGGCCCAGCAATATGTCAGAATTCCTTTTCACGGGCACAGTTTGGGAAAAAAGGAAGAGTCATATCTCCTAAGTATCAAGCTTAGCAATATTTCACATTACCTCATCGTAAAGTCTCTGGCAGAAAAGCAGGGTCACATCACCTAGGACAGGAGCTCAGATATATGGCCAAATATTCCAAGTAGGCAGGGCTCAAGCAGAAGAGAAGAGTCATAACACATATCATATAGGTGCTTCCCTAGGTATATGACACAGTCTTACATGTGGGGTGAAAGCAGGCAAAAGAGCTACATCACGTTGATGCTGGATTCTGAGCTATCTCACAAGGTCCCCTTAGGACAGGACCCAGGCAAGAGAGTTAGAGCAAATAGGTGCAGTTTTTGCCCCTATGTTTCAATGCTCTATGTTGGCAGGACCCAGGCAGGGAGTCACATCACCTAAGTGATAGGGCCAGAGATATTTCACAATATCCCCCTGAGACTTGGCCCTGGTGAAAGAATAACAATACATTTGTGCCTAGCCTAGCAACATGTCACTATACAGGTAAGCATGACCCAAGCGGTAGAGCAAAATCCCCTATGTGAAGACCCAGAAATTTGTCATAATGCCCTTTTTAGGACATGGCCCTAGCAAAAGAGTATCATCAGCTTTGTGCCTGGCCCAACTGTATGTTACTGCCCCTGACAGTGCACAGGGACCATTCTAATGAGGAGATTTATGTGACCTAAGTTGTTGACACAGTGATATGTCACAGTGATTTCTGTAGGCAGGGCTCAGGCAAAAATGTAACATGACCAGGGTGCTGGATCTAGTGGTATGTCATGATTCTTACTGACAGCAAGGCTCAGGCAGGACAGTCACATCACCTGGAGGTTATTCAAGGTACATATCACAATTACATATGTGGGATGAAAAAAGTTTGGAGAGTCCAATCACAAGGTACTCGGCAAATATTTATCTCACACTTACAGAAAATTCCCAGGATGAGATTTACAATCCCACACATATCCTGTTTTCAGGAGTGACATGTGGCTTCATATATATGAGATGGTGACAGTCTTTACTGCCAGCTGAGTGTGTGTATGAGACTCACCATGCACTCTCTGTATTCTGTTATCACACTCTCTGTTGTATTCTGTTATTGCACTCTCTGTACAAGCCAAGGGCTTTATAAAATTTCTGAGGCTATTATAATCTTCTGTGGCCTTTTTTTAAAGCAGAGAGATTCAATCACTCATGTTTCTAAAGCAAGTAGTGAGAGTCAAAATTACTCCTATTTGTGGGGTATGAGAGTCATTATTATGCCTGTGAGTTGTGCCTAGTTATATATCACAATTTACTCTGTGGTAATGAAGCAGGTGTGACTGCCAAGTCACCTAACTATTGAACAAGAATTTTTCAAATATTCTACTTGTAGAAAAGTTCCTGGACGAAAAGTTGCATAACTTGGGGGTGTCAACCAGATGTATGACACAATGCCCCTTTTAAGCAGTGTCTAGGCAGAAGAGGAGAGTCATATAACTTAAATTATTGGCCGAGAGATGTGCAACCATGCCTTCTGTTGAAGGAACCAGTCAGGAGAGTCATGTCATTTGCATGCAGTGCTTAGAAATGCTACAATCCCCAAGGCAGAGGTTGCAATGAGCTAAGATCACACCACTGCACTCCAGCCTAGGTAACAAAAAAAGAAAGAAAAGAAAAGAAAAGAAAAAAATGCTACAATCCCTGTGGAAGCAGAGTCCAGGCAGAGGAGGCAAGGCAGGGAGACAGGTAACCTAGAAGATGGATTCAGAGACATGTTACAATTCTTCCTGGGGATATTGTTAAGACAGGAGAGTCAAATCACCAAGGTGAGCAGCTGAAATATATAGGTGAATCTCACTTGTGGACTACACCTTGGCAGGATTATTAAATCACTCAGGAGCTGGACAATTGTGTATGTCGCAATAACATTAGTGAAATGCTTCAGGAATGGGAGTCACCATATAGCATATGACCTGGCTCCATATTTAAGAGTCATGATTAGTCAGTCCTCTTATCTCATCTCAGGTATATGTCACAACATCGGCTGTGAGTGGAGAGCAAGTGGGAAGGTCACATCACCTGGGTGGGTGCTGGTCCTGTGAGATGTCACAATCCATCTTGTGGGCAGGACTCTGAAAGAAGAATCACATCAACTGGATACTGTTTTTGGTGATATATCAAAATCCCACCTGTGGGAAGGGCTTAAGAAAGAGAGGAGGCTCACTTAACCAAGGCAGTTGGCATAGGTATATGTCACAATGGCTGCTGTGTGCAAAACCAAGGTAAGAAAGTGACTACACCTTGGTGCTGAGTTTATCAATATGTCACAATCTCCCCTGTGATCAGGTCGAGAGAAGAGAGGAGAAACATGACCTAGGTGATGAGCAAAGTGATATGTTACAAAGCTTCTCATTGGCAGAACCCAAAAGGGAGAGTCACATCACTTGGGTGCAGAACCCAGTTGTGTGTTGCAATGCTCCATAAGTGCAGGGCCAAGGCAGGAGAAGGGAGTCACATCACTTACCTGATGGACCTAGATATCAGCCACAGTGCTCTTCTTGGGCAGCACTCAGGCAGATAATTCAAATCACCTTGGTGCTGGTCCCAGTGATATGTAAAAGTGTAATTTGTAGGCAGGCCCAGGCACCTATGCTTAGGGGCATGGTCCAGGCATGTCACAATTTTATCTGTGGTTATGGCCTAAAAATGAGAGTCAAGTTATTCAGAAGCTGGGCTAACTTTTATGTCCTAATCACACACTAGGATATATTCAGATATAAGTTTCACAGTCCCACACAAATCCCAGCTTTGTGTATGTGAGTCAACACCCCCTATGACTTGGGCCAAAGTAGAGGAGTCACAGTCTCAACAGTGAGCATGATCCATGCATAAGATGCCCAATTCCACTTTAAGATTGTGTTCCAGGAGGGGAGTCACAGCTTCACAGGTGTGCTGAATCATGCATCACCAAAAGACCCGTGGACCAGACACATGTATGAGAGGAACAGTTTCAACCAGGGACAGCTGTTTTGTGTGAGATTTAGTACCTTATTTGTAGGGGCTATTCTTGTGAGAGAATGACAGTAGGATCAGCTGATCGTATGTACATGAGTCACAATAGCACTGGGTTACTGTCCCTGTTAGGACATCCTTTGTACCATTCAGGCTGTATATCATATGCCTGAGTGTCATAGTCCTCTGTGAACTTTATACAATTAGTAGACCCATTGCTTTACTTATGGCCATAAGACTGGTTAAGAATGTCAAAATATCTCTTCTTTCTGGGTCTAGATATAACAGCTGTATTTGTGCATGTGAGCTGAACCCAGGTATATGTCACTATTTCTCCTGTGGGCAGAACCAAGGTAGGAGACTCTCATCACCAGGATTCTGAGCTGAGAATACATTATAATCTCTTCTGCAGGTAGTGCCAAGTCAGAAGAGTCATATCATCTGGGTGCAGCTTCAAGGTGTTAGACTCAACAATATTTAAAAATGTCCTCTGTTGGCAGACTCCAGAATAAAGAGCAGAGTTGCATTATTTAAATTTTGCATTCAGCACTATGTACCTATTTCTTTAGAGCACAGGACCTAGGCAGGAGAGAGAAGTCACATTTCCTAAATGATACATTAAAAGATGTCATAATGTTCTTTGGGAGCAAAGCACAGGTAAAATTGACAAATCACCTAGTGGATAGGCTCATAGATATGTGACAATATCTCCTTTAGGCAGTGCCCTGGCAGAAGAGTCTCACAATGCACACACGGGAAACAATTTAAGCAAAAGTTTTAACACCTGGTTACTAGGTCCAGTGATATGACACAATCTCATTGACATAATATGTTATCGGAGCTCTTATACATGGATCCTGTCCACTGTTGAGATTGTGAGTCCTCTAGTTTAGCCTAACATAAATAGGATTGATTCACATATGTGAAACCAGGACTTGTGTGTGATGTGAAATTATTTCCAAACCTTTCTTAGCATGTGATTGGGACAGGTAACTTTGCCCAGCACATAAATAGCGGGACTCTCTTTTCTAGGCTCAGACCACAGATGAAATTGTGCCATATGTGGAACAAACATGAAAGCAATATATGATATCTTCCTTGACTCTGCCTACAAAGGTCACTTTAATATATTACTGAGACCATCACCCAGGTCATGTGAATTATCTGCCTGAAGCCTGCTTACAAAGACAATTGTGTTCTATATCTAGGTCCATCAGGTAAGTGATGTGACTCCCTTGTACTGCCTTGGCCCTGCAGTTACAGTGCATTGTGTCACATAACTGGGAACTTCATCCAGGGGATGGGATTCTCCTTTTTGCATTCTGTCAACAGGAAACCTTGTAACGTATCACTTGGCTCAGAACCTAAGGTGATGTTTCTTCACTTTTGCCTGTGCCCCAGCCACAGGGAGATTGTGACATATTGCCAAACCCACTGACCAACGTAAGGTAACTCTCCAGCCTTGGCACTGTACATAAGGGCCATTGTGACATATGTCTAGGCCAATTGCCTAGGTTAATTGAGTCTCCTCTATTTCCAAAGTCATGTTTACAAGGAGGTTTTTGTCACTGAAACCAGCATCCAGGTGATGTGACTCTTCTGCAAAGGTCCTGTCCACAAGGTGGATTGTGATATCTCACTGGAGCCACAGCCACTTATGTGATGTGACTTTCTTGCATTCTCTCTGACCAGAGGTGATATTGTGCCATATACCTGAAACCATAACAAAAGCCTAGTAACAGCTTATATACCTGAAGCCAGGATATGTTCAGGAGAGTTATTCTTATTCTTAAACGTTTCCGCAAGTGTAATCATGACATAAACCTTTGCACTGCTCCTGAGTGATTTAATAATTCTGCCTAGGTATCACCCACAAATGAGGTTTTGTCAAATGCCTGGGCCAAGCACCTTGGTGATTTGACTCTTGCTGTCTTAACAATGTCCTCAGGGGATATTGTAACATATTTCTGGACACATCACCTAGGTTACATGACTCCCCTCTCCTGCCTGTACCCAGCTCGCTTTGGTAATTGTAGCATTTCTAAACACTATATCCAAATGATATGACTCGTTTTTCTGGGCCCTGTCAACATTAGTCATTGTGACATATTTTTGGGGCCAACATTTAGGTGATATGACTCTCCTCTTCTGTCTGGACACTACCCACAAGGGACATTGTGCCACAGAGCTGGATTTAGCACAGAAATTATGTGAGATTTCTGACAGGACCCTGCCTACAAAGAGAATATTGGAATATGTACAGTCCAGCATTTAGGTGATATGACTATTCTTCCTGCTTTATAACCACAGAGAATATTGTAACAGATACCTAGGCATGACTCACAGGAGTGATAATGACTCTCATATGTGTACTCAGCCTATAGAGAATATTTTGACACTTATAACTAGATTTAGGGACATGCATGATGTCCTGTATCGCCTTCTTCTACAAAGGTCACAAAAGATTACAACATTCACATGTATTTTCCAAAGTCTTTGGGTTATACAGACAGAGTCAAAGCAGGGCTCAGCACACAGCTGAAATTGTGAGTCTTGTATGCACACCCAGCTGACAGAAAGGACTGGATGGAAGGACTGGACACAGGTGAAATTGTGACATATACCTGAAAAAGCATCTAGGTGTTATGACTCTTTATTTCTGCCTGAGTATTGCCTACTTGTGGCATTGGGCCATATCTTTGAGCCCATGACCTAAGTGATGTGAGTCTCTTATTCTGTCTAAGCCTTTACAATGAGAAGATTGTGATGTGTTGATGAGCCCAGCAATTAGGTAATGTGACTCTCATCATGTTGCCAAAAATTGCCTACAAACAGGACTTTTGCTGTAGTTCAGGGCCCCACACCTGGATTCTGTTACACTTATTCCTAGGTCGTGCATAAAGAGGGAATTTCAGCATATTTCTGGGCCTAGCACACTAATGATGTGACTCTCCAGCCTGTGCCAGAGCCAGAGCAGGTATTTTGATATACCTTTGGCCCATTTCCATAGGTGTTTTGAGTCTCCTTATTTTGCTGGGTTTCTTCTATGTGAAGTTGTGTTATATTGCTGGCTCCAGAGCCCAATTATTGTGACCCTCTTTCCTAAGACCTGCATAGACAAGGCATTGTGTCATACTTCTTGCCACAACACCTAAGTGATATCAACCTCCTGCCGATTTTTTTTGCCCACAAATTTGATTATAACATATACCTTTCTTCAGTTCAAAAGCATGATGATCATGCTTCTATTGGGATTCAGCCAGTACGAGACGTTTTGCCTTTCATGACTAGGTTTAAGTCAGTAGGTAAAGCCTTTAATTGCATATGTGAACAAGCTCACAGAATTTTACAACAATAACTCATCTCACAAAAACTTTTTAGGTGGTAGAGAATTTTATAACAGGGTCCAGAAAAATGTTAGTATCATGATTTTACACAACACGTTCATGTGAAAGTAAAAGTTATTACCATCCTGCGTTTACAACGTTCATTGTTGAGGTCCTCAATCTAATAAGTAAACACAGCACAAAGATGAAATTGTAATTTTTATCAAAGAATCTGGCCACAGGTGGGATGGTCACTCAGTTCTGGACCCAGCTCACAAACCCAATAATGCTGTCATCCTTGAAGCCAGCATATAAGAGAGATGTTGACTGTCATATCTGAGTTTAGTGCAATATGTAAGATCGTGAGTCCATATAAGCATGTAGGCCTCAGTGAGGTTTCAACTCTCATGCATGTTATATAAAGTTCTCAGATGTTGTATAGAGTGTCATACTATGGCCAGCACCCATGTGAGTTTGTGACTGACATATACACAACTAGGTAATAGTTAATGGTGTCACCCTTATAGTTGAGGAGACTGTGTCATATCCTTCACCTGGCACCCCAGTGTTGAGACTTTTTGGTTTAAATTCTTTTCCAGGGAGGAGCTTCCAAGATGGCAGAATAGGAACAGCTCCAGTCTGCAGCTACCAGTGTGAGGAATGCAGAAGGTGGGTGACTTCTGCATTTCCAACTGAGGTACTAAGTTCATCTCACTGGGGCTTGTCAGACAGTGGGTGCAGCCCACAGAGCAGGGAGGGGCATTGCCTCACCTGGGAAATGCAAGGGATTGGGGAATTCCCTTTCCCAGCAAAGGGAAGCCGTGACTGATGGTACCCAGAAAATTGGGTCATGCCCACCCTAAAACTACATTTTTCCACTGGCCTTAGCAAATGGCACACCAGGGGATTACATCCCGTGCCTGGCTCAGAGGGTCCCCTGCCCATGGAGCCTCACTCACTGCTAGCATAGCAGTCTGAGATTGAGCTGCAAGGTGGTAACAATGCTGGGGGAGGGTGATCTGCCATTACTGAGGATTCACTAGGTAAACAAAGTGGCAAGGAAGCTTGGACTGGGTGGATCCCACCTCACCTCAAGGAGGCCTGCCTGCCTATGTAGACTCCACCCCTGGGGGCAGGGCATAGATGAACAAAAGGTAGCAGAAACTTCTGCAGACTTAAACATTGTTGTCTGACAGCTTTGAAGAGAGTAGTGGTTCTCCCAGCACAGAGTTTGAGATTTGAGAATGGACAGACTGGTACCTGAACCCCGAGTAGCCTAAGTGGAAGACACCTCCCAGTAGGGGCCACCTGACACCTCACACAACTGGGTGCCCCTCTGAGTTGAAGCTTCCAGAGGAATGATCAGGCAGCAATACTTGCTGTTCGGCAATATTTGCTGTTCTGCAGCTTCTGCTGGTGATACCAAGGCAAACAGGGTGTGGAGTGGGCCTCCAGAAAACTCCAACAGTCCTGCAACTGAGGGTCCTAATTGTTAGAAGGAAAATTAACAAACAGAAAGGACATCCACACAAAAACCCCATCTATACATCAGCATCGAAGAACAAAAGTAGATAAAACCACAAAGATGGGGAGACACCAGAGCAGAATAGCTGAAAATTCTAGAAATCAGAGTGCCTGTTCTCCTCCAAAGGAATGCAGTTCCTCACCAGCAATGGAACAAAGCAGGATGGAGAATGACTTTGACGAGTCAAGAGAAGAAGGCTTCAGATGATTGGTAATAACAAATTTCTCTGAGCTAAAGGAGGATGTTCGAACCCATCGCAAAGAAGCTAAAAACTTTGAAAAAAAGATTAGATGTATGTCTACTAAAATAAACAGTGTAGAGACGTCCCTAAATGACCTGATGGAGCTGAAAACCATGACATGAAAACTATGTGATGCATGTACAAGCTTCAGTAGCCAATTCTGTCAAGTGGAAGAAAGGATATCAGTGATTGAAGATCAAATGAATGAAATAAAGCAAGAAGAGATGTTTAGAGAAAAAAGAGTAAAAAGAAATGAACAAAGCCTCCAAGAAATATGGCACTACATGAAAAGACCAAATATACATCTGATTGGTGTACCTGAAAGAGATGGGGAGAATGGAGCCAAGTTGGAAAACACTCTGCAGGATATTATCCAGGAGAATTTCCCCAATGTAGTGAGGCAGACCAACATTAAAATTCAAAAACATACAGAGAATGCCTAAAAGATACTCCTCGAGGAGAGCAACAACAAGACAAATAATTGTCAGATTCACCAGAGTTGAAATGAAGGAAAAAATGTTAAGGGAGCCAAAGGAAAGGTCAGGTTACCCAGAAAGGCAAGCCCATCCGACTAACAGTGGATCTATTGGCAGAAACTCTACAAGCCAGAAGATAGTGGGGGCTAATATTCAACATCCTTAAGGAAAATAATATTCAACCCAGAATTTCATATCCAGCCAAATAAAGCTTCATAAGTGAAGGAGAAATGAAATCCTTTACAGACAAACAAATGCTGAGAAATTTTGTCACCACCAGGTCTGCCTTACAAGAGTTCCTGAAGGAAGCACTAAACATGGAAAGGAACAACTGGTACAAGCCACTGCAAAAACATGTCAAATTGTAAAGACCATCAATGCTACAAAGAAACTGCATCAACTAATGAGCAAAATAACAAGCTAACATCATAATGACAGGATCAAATTCACACATAACAATATTAACCTTAAGTGTAAATGGGGTAAATGTTCCAATTAAAAGACACAGACTGGCAAATTGGATAAAGAGTCAAGACCCATCAGTGTGCTGTATTCAGGAGACCCATCTGACGTGCAGTGACACACATAGGCTCAAAATAAAGGGATGGAGAAAGATTTACCAAGCAAATGAAAAAAAAAGAAAAAGAAAACAAAAACAAAAACAGGGGTTGCAATCCTAGTTTCTGATAAAACAGACTTTAAACCAACAAAGATCAAAAGAGACAAAGACGACCAATACCTAACGGTAAAGGGATCAATTCAATAAGAAGAGCTAACTTTACTAAATATATATGCATCAAATACAGGAGCAGTCGGATTCATAAAGCAAGTCCTTAGAAACCTACAAACATACTTAGACTCCCACACAGTAATAATGGGAGACCTTAACACCCCACTATCAACATTAAACAGATCGAGACAGAAAGTTAAAAGGATATCTAGGAATAGAACTTAGCTCTGCACCAAGTGGACCTAATAGACATCTACAGAACTCTCCACTCCAAATCAACAGATATATATTCTTCTCAGCACCACATCAAACTTAATCCAAAATTGACCACACAGTTTTAAGTAAAGCACTCCTCAGCAAATGTAAAAGAACACAAATTATAACCAACTGTCTCTCAGACCACAGTGCAATCAAGCAAGAAGTCAAGATTAAGAAACTCACTCAAAACCGCTCAACTACATGGAAACTGAACAACCTGCTTATGAATGACTACTGGGTACATAACGAAATGAAGGCAGAAATGAAATGTTCTTTGAAAGCAGTGAGAACAAAGACACAACATACCAGAATCTTGGGGATACATTTAAGGCAGTGTGTAGAGGGAAATTTATAGCACTAAATGCCCACAAGAGAAAGCAGAAAAGATCAAAAATCGACAGCCTAACATCACAGTTAAAAGAACTAGAGAAGCAAAAGCAAACACATTCAAAAGTTAGCAGTAGGTAAGAAATAACTAAGATCAGAGCAGAACTGAAGGAGTTAGAGACACAAAAAAACCCTTCAAAAAATCAGTGAATCCAGGAGCTGGTTCTTTGGAAAGATCAACAAAATTGATAGACTGCTAGCAAAACTAATAACGAAGAAAAGAGAGAAGAATCAAAGAGACACAATAAAAATGACAAAGGGGAGATCATGACTGATCCCACAGAAATAGAAACTACCATCAGAGACTACTAGAAACACCTCTAGGCAAATAAACTAGAAAATCTAGAAAAAATGGATAAATTCCTTGACACACACTCCCTCCCAAGACTAAACCAGGAAGGAGTTGAATCTCTGAATAGAACAATAACAGACTCTGAAATTGAGGCAGCAATCAATAGCCTATCAACCAAAAAAAGTCCAGGACCAGATGGATTCACAGCCAAATTCTACCATAGGTACAAAGAAAAGCTGATACAATTCCTTCTGAAACTATTCCAATCAACAGAAAAAGAGGGAATCCTCCCTAATTCATTTTATGAGGCCAACAACATACTGATATCAAAGCCTGGCAAAGACAGAAAAACAAAAAATAATTTTAGACCAATATCCCTGATAAACATCGATGCAAAAATCCTCAATAAAATACTGCAGCACATCAAAAAGTTTATCCATCATGATCAAATCGGCTTCATCCTTTGGAAGTAAGGCTGGTTCAATATACACCAATAAATAAACATTATCCATCATATAAACAGAACAGCACTTCATGCTAAAAACTCTCAATAAATTAGGTATTGATGGGACATATCTCAAAATAATAAGAGCTATTTATGACAAACCCACAGCTAATATCATACTGAATGGGCAAAAAATGGATGCATTCCCTTTGAAAACTGGCACAAGACAGGGATGGCCTCTCTCACCACTCCCATTCAACATAATGTTGGAAGTTCTGGCCAGGGCAATCAGGCAAGAGAAATAAATAAAGGTATTCAATTAGTAAAAGAGGAACTCAAATTGTCCCTGTTTGCAAATGACATGATTGTATATTTAGAAAACCCCATCGTCTCAGCCCAAAATCTCCTTAAGCTGATAAGCAACTTCAGCAAAGTCTCAGGATACAAAAGCAATGTGCAAAAATCACAAGCAGACCTATACACCAATAACAAACAGAGAGCCAAATCATGAGTGAACTCCCATTCACAATTGCTTCAAAGAGAATAAAATGCCTAGGAATCCAACTTACAAGGGATGTGAAGGACCTCTTCAAGGAGAACTACAAACCACTGCTAAACAAAATGAAAGAGGACATGAACAAATGGAAGAATATTCCATGCTCATGGATAGGAAGAATCAATATTGTGGAAAATGGCCATACTGCCCAAGGTGACTCATAGATTCAATGCCATCTCCATCAAGCTACCAATGACTTTCTTCACAGAACTGGAAAAACCTACTTTAAAGTTCATATGGAACCAAAAAAGATCCTGCATTGCCAAGACAATTCTAAGCCAAAAGAACAAAGCTGGAAGCATCATGCTACCTGACTTCAAATTACACTACAAGGCTACAGCAACCAAAACAGCTTGGTATTGGTACAAAAACAGAGATATAGACCAATGGAACAGAATAGGGCCCTCAAAAATAATGCCACACATCAACAACCATCTGATCTGTGACAAACCTAACAAAAACAAGAAATGGGGAAAGGATTACCTATTTAATAAATGGTGCTGGGAAAACTGGCTAACCATATGTAGAAAGCTGAAACTGGATCTCTTCTTTACACCTTATACAAAAATTAATTCAAGATGGATTAAAGACTTAAATGTTAGACCTAAAACCATAAAAACCCTAGAAGAAAACTTAGGCAATACCATTCAAGCCATAGGCATGGGCAAGGATTCATGACTAAAACACCAACAGTAATGGCAACAAAAGCCAAAATTGACAAATAGGAGCTAATTAAATGAAAGAGCTTCTGCACAGCAAAAGAAGCTGTCATCAGAGTTTCTTACACTGTTGGTGGGACATAAACTAGTTCAGCCATTGTGGAAGACAGTTTGGCAGTACCTCAAGGATGTAGAACAAGAAATGCCATGTGACTCAGCCATTCCGTTACTGGGCATATACCCAAAGGATTATAAATCATGCTGCTATAAAGACACATGCACAGATATGTTTAGTGTGGCACTACCGATAATAGCAAAGACTTGGAACCAACCAAATGTCCATCAATGACAGGCTGGATTAAGAAAATGTAGCACATATATGCCATGGAATACTATGCTGACATTAAAAAGGATGAGTTCATGTCCTTTGTGGGGACATGGATGAAGCTGGAAACCATCATTCTCAGCAAACTATCACAAGGACAGAAAAGCAGACACAGCATATTTTCACTCATAGGTGGGAATTGAACAATGAGAACACTTGGACACAGGGTGGGGAACATCACACACTGGGGCCTGTCATAGAGTAGGGGGAGAGGGGAGGGATAGCATTAGGAGATATACCTAATGCAAATGATGAGTTAATGGGTGCAGCACACCAACATGGCACATGTAGACATATGTAACTAACCTGCACATTGTGCACATGTACCCTAGAACTTAAAGTATAATAATAAAAATAAAAACAATAAAAATAAATTCTTTTCCAGAAGGGCATTCTTACACGGTTCAGAAATGGTTCAGAATCATAATAATGTTACATGGTTCAGAAATGGTTCAGAGCCATAATGCTACATGGTTCAGAAATGGTTCAGAATCATAATAATGTGACTTTTCTGCCTGGGAACTGCAAACAGTGGATATTTTCACATATCTCTGGGCCTATTGACTAGGTAATATATCTCTCTTGCCAATGGCCTTCCCATATCCAGCTGTGTCATATTGTTAGATACAGCATCTAGGTAATGTGTCTCTGCTCTCCTGGCCAGATCCTGCCCACTGAAGAAATTGTGACATACCACTGAGTGCAAAACCTAGGTGACATTAATGTTCTCTTTGTCCTGAACTCTACCAAGAAAGGAAATTATTACATATTGCTGAGCCCAGCACCCAGGTGGTGTGATTTTCTTTTTTTACTGTAAACTGTCTACATTGGGCATAGTGACATATTACTTGAGGCTGTACCCAGGTGGTGTGGCTCTGCTGCCTGGTTTCTGCCCACATGTTAGATTGTGACATATAACTAGGGAAGCACCTAGTTGATATGACTTTTCTTTGTGGGCCCTTCATAATGAGGACACTGGGATGTATCTCTGAGCCCAAGACTGAAGTGAAGTGACTTTCAGCTTCTGCCTGGTCTTTACAAGAAGGGATTGTGACATATCGTAGAGGTCAGAAGTCAGGTTATTTGTCACTCCTTATTTTCTGGAACCATTCCCACCACCCGAATTTTTGGCCTATTGCAAGGTCCAGCACCCAGGCGATGTTTCTCTTTTGCCTGGGTCCTGCATACAGATAGAAGTATGGCATATTGCTGGGGCCAAAACTCTGATAATTTCCTGTTGAGAGCAGGACATTATCTCATGACTCATGACTGTCCTGGAGCCACAGAAGGTATTTTGACACATCCTGGGCCCATCATGTGGGTGTTCTGATATCTTTTGCCTGGGTTTCTTCCACAGGTAGGATGGTTTTGTTTTGCTCAGTCCAGCACCAATTTAATATGACTCTAATTCCTATACCCTGCCAAGCAAGGGAGGACATAGTGACAAGTTGCTTGGCACAGCACCAAAGAGATGTTACCCTCCTGCATACATTTTGCCCACAAATGGGACTCTGACATATACCTTGATCTCAACATATGCCTTAGTTGAGATCACAGGCCTGGTGATCAGACTTATATTGGAGTCAGCCAATAGGAGATATTTTGCCTCTCATCACTAGGCTTTGGGCAATGGGTAAGGCCCTGGGTTGCATATTTGTATGAAGCTCACAGAGCTTTACAGCACTAACTCATAGTGTATAACCTCCTTGGGTGGTACAGAGAGTTTCAAGACAAGAACCAGCAAAATGTTCAGATTGGGATTCTTGGTTATGCACCCAAGTGAAAGTAAATGTTTCCATCCCACATGGCCAAAGCCCACTGTTAAGGTCCTGAGTCTAAAAAGTAAATACAGTAGAAAGTTGGAATTTTGACCTTCCTATGTGGATCTGACCACAGATGGGATAGCGACTCATTTTTACATCTAGCTCACAGGCATGACAATGGATCTCATTCCTTAACCCAGCCTGCAGAAGAGATGTTGACTATAAAACTTGGGTTTAGGGCAATATGTTAAGATCGTGAATCTATACTACCATGTAGGGGTCAGAGTGGTTTGCCACTCTCACACGTGCTGTATAAACCCTTAAAATGTTGTAGAGTGTCATACAACAGCCCAGGAAACATGGAAAATTGTGACTCTCATATACAAACCCAGCTCACATTCAATGGTGTCAACATCAAAGACAAAAAGATTTGGCATATTACTAGGCCTAGTAACCAGGTGTTGTGAGTTTTTGGATTACATTTTTTTTCTGTTGGGTGCATTGTGACATATCACTGGGTTAGAATTATAATAATGTGACTGTTCTGCCTGAGCCCTGCCAACAGGGCAAATTATCTCATATCTCTGGGCCTATAAGCTAGGTGATTTTTCTCCCCTCCCTGTGCACTGCCATCAGAACACATTGTGAAATATTGTTTGGCTTAACATCTAGGTTATGTGATTTCCTCCCCTGCCTGTGTCCTGCTCACCAAAAAAGTTTTGATGTACTGCTTATTGCAGAAACTATGTGATGTGACTCTTCTTCATATGCTAGGCCCTGCCAAGAAAGTGGATTATTACACACTGCAGAGCACAGCACCTATGTGGAGTAACTCCTCTTTTTCTTATTCCCTTTCTATAGTGGGCTTGGGGACATATTATTTGAGGCTATATCCAGGTGATGTGACTCTTCTAAATAGGCCCACCCTATTAATGAGATTATAATGTATCAGCAGCTCAGCACCCAGGTGATGTCTCTCCTGCCTTTTTGTGGGGAAAAGCAAGAGAGATCAGATTGTTACTGTGTCTGTGTAGAAAGAAGTAGACATAGGAGACTCCATTTTGTTATGTACTAAGAAAAATTCTTCTGCCTTGAGATTCTGTTAATCTATGACCTTACCCCCAACCCCATGCTCTCTGAAACATGTGCTGTGTCAACTCAGAGTTGAATGGATTAAGGGCGGTGCAGGATGTGCTTTGTTAAACAGATGCTTGAAGGCAGCATGCTCCTTAAGAGTCATCACCACTCCCTAATCTCAAGTACCCAGGGACACAAAAACTGCGGAAGGCCGCAGGGACCTCTGCCTAGGAAAGCCAGGTATTGTCCAAGGTTTCTCCCCATGTGATAGTCTGAAATATGGCCTCGTGGGAAGGGAAAGACCTGACCGTCCCCCAGCCCGACACCCGTAAAGGGTCTGTGCTGAGGAGGATTAGTAAAAGAGGAAGGAATGCCTCTTGCAGTTGAGACAAGAGGAAGGCATCTGTCTCCTGCCTGTCCCTGGGCAATGGAATGTCTCGGTATAAAACCCGATTGTATGCTCCATCTACTGAGATAGGGAAAAACCGCCTTAGGGCTGGAGGTGGGACCTGCGGGCAGCAATACTGCTTTGTAAAGCACTGAGATGTTTATGTGTATGCATATCTAAAAGCACAGCACTTAATCCTTTACATTGTCTATGATGCCAAGACCTTTGTTCACGTGTTTGTCTGCTGACCCTCTCCCCACAATTGTCTTGTGACCCTGACACATCCCCCTCTTTGAGAAACACCCACAGATGATCAATAAATACTAAGGGAACTCAGAGGCTGGCGGGATCCTCCATATGCTGAACGCTGGTTCCCCGGGTCCCCTTATTTCTTTCTCTATACTTTGTCTCTGTGTCTTTTTCTTTTCCAAATCTCTCGTCCCACCTTACGAGAAACACCCACAGGTGTGTAGAGGCAACCCACCCCTACACCTTTTCCCTGCTCTCAGGTGAAATTTTAACATATATCTTAGTTAAGCACACGTGCACAAAATAATAACCCTCATACTTGGACTCACACAGTAGAAATATTTTGACTCTCAGAGCCATGGGTAAAGTCCTGGATTTTTCACTTTTATAAACTTCATGAAGGATTATAACACTCAGATATATCATATGAAGTCTTAATGACAAAAAGTGTCAAACAGAGAACAGAAACAAGGGGCAGATGGGACTCTTGTATGCACATCTAGCTGGCATGATTGTCATTCTCACACAGAACAGGGCCTAGGAATGAGGCACTAAATCTCACACATAAAAAGCAGTTGAAGGTTGAAATAATTACTCTAATTCAGGAATCTGATTCACTGGTGGTTTTGTAACATTTGAACCATGATTCAGCACACTGTGGTGCTCTGACTCCCCTGCTGGAACACAGTGTTCAAGTGGGATTGGGGATCTTATACATGGATCTGGTTCCAGGCTGAGACTGTGACTCTTCTACTTCAACCCAATGCATAGGAACAGTTGACTCACATAAACAAAACCAGGACTTGTGTGGGATGTGAAATTTATTTCTGAACCTTTCTGATAGTGTGATTGGAACAAGATAACTTTCCCAACACATGACTAATATGACTCTTTTCTAGGCCCAGACCATGGAAGAAATTGGGCCATATGTGGAACAAGCGACTAAGCAATAGATCCCTTGTTTCATGGCTCTGCCTACAATGGGAACTGTTATATATCATTGGGACCATCACCCAGGTGATGTGCATTATCTGCATAAAACTCATAAAACTACCTACAAAAAAATTGTGTTTTATATCTAGATCCATCACATAAGTGTTGTGGCTCCCTGCTACTGTTTTGGCCCTTCACTTACAGTGCATTGTGACACATAACCATGTACTGTACCCAGTTGATGTAATTCTTCTTTTTGGGTTCTGCTAACAGGAAGCATTGTAACATGTCACTTGGATCAGAACCTAGGTGGTGTTTCTTGGCTTTTGCCTGTACCTTGACCACAGGGAGATTGTGACATAAAGCTGGGCCCAGCACTAATGTGAGGCCACTCTCTGGCTTCTGTACTGCACTGAACAGACATTGTGACATATATCTAGGCCAATGGCCTTGGTGAAGTGAGGCTCCTCTCTTACCAAAGTTCCTGCCAAGAGAGGGGGTTTTGATATGTCCGTGAAATTAGCATCCAGGTGATGTGACTCTTCCACCAGGTCCTTCCCACAAGGTGGATTGTGACATCTCACTGGAACTGCACCCACGTAGGTGATGAAGCTTGCTTTTTTTTTTTCTCTTGCCACAAGTGGTATTGTGCCATAAAGCAATGATTATAACAGAAACCTAATAACAATTAATATGCCTGGAGCCTAGGACTTGTGCAGGATGGTGGCTGTTACTATTAAGCCTTTCCACAGGTGTAATTGTGACATATACCTTTGCCCAACTACTGACTTATTTAATAATTCTGCCAAAGTATAGCCCATAAATGGGATTTTGACAAACACATTGGCCAAGCACTTTGGTAGTTTGACTGAGGTACCTTAGAAATGTCCTCAGGGGAGATTGTAACTGATTCTTGGATGCTTCATCTACATGACTCTCCTCTTTTGCCTGTACCCTGCTTCCTTTGGTAATTGTAGCTCTTCTAAACACTGCATCCAAATGATATGACCCCTTGCCTGGGCCCTGTCAACAATAGGCATTTTGACATATTTTTGTGCCCATCATTTAGGTGATATTACTCTCCTCTCCTGCCTGGACACTGCCCACAAGGCACATTGTGCCACACAGCTGGATCTATCACACAAGTTTTGTGAGATTTCTGATAGGGCACAGAATACAAAAAAATTTTTTGAAATAATTCTAGCCCAGCATTTAGGTGATGTGGTTGTTCTGCCTGCTTCATAACCACAGAGGGAATTGTAACATATACCTAGGCATGGCTCACAGGCATGATAATGACTCTCATATGTGGACTCAGAAAATAGAGAATATTTTCACCCTTATAACTAAGTTTAGGGACACGTTTGATGTCCTGGATCTCCTCCTTGTACAAAGGTCACAAAATATTACAACACTCACATACATTTTACAAAGTCTTTGGACTATACAGTCAGAGTCAAATTGGAGCTAAGCACCCAGGTGAAATTTTGAGTCTTGTATACCCACCCAGCTGAAGGTAAGGACTGTTATCATCTCACATGGATGAAGGCAACTGTCACACATGAAAACAGGACATGTGTGGTATTGTAAATCTCATCTTTGGAATTTTATGACAGTGTGATTGTGATATAAATGTTTGCCAAGCACTTGTGTAATTTGACTCACCAGACTTGTTCCAGCCCATATATGGGATTATGATTCCTACCGAGGCCAACATCGAGGTGATATGACTCTCCTACCTGGTCATATCTCTCAGTAAAGATTGTGAGATATCACTGGATCTAGCACCCTGGTGATGTTACATAGTTGCCTGTGCCAGGCTCACTAAAATTATTGTGACATATTTCTCTGTGCACTTCATAGTTGATGTAAGTCTTCTCTCTGAAATGGGCACTGTACAACAGAAGGATAGTGACACACTGCAAGAACAGGCACACAGGCAAGGATATTCCTTTGCAGAGGATCCCCAAAGGAGGGCATTGTGACATATCTCTGGGCCTATCATCTAGGTTATGTGGCTTTACTGCTTGGGCCCTTCCAAACTTGAGAGTTACATATTTCTAGGCAAGGCACACAGGTGATGGTATTCTTTTGCCAGGGCTCTGCCTCATAGTGGACATGGTGACCTATCTCTGGGCCTATCACCTAGGTGAAATGATCCCCTCCTTGAGCCCTACACGTATGGAGCATTGTGGTATAATCAGAAAACATACACCTAGTATGATGTTTCTCTCTTGGCTGGGTGCTGCATTAAGAGAGCCTTTGATGTATCTCGGGACCCACCACCCAAGTGATGTGGCTATTCTGCCTGGTTTTTGCCCACAAGTCACAAAGTGACATATTCCTAGGGAAGCACGTAGGTGATGGGCCTCTCCTCTTCTACATGAGCCCTGCCTACTGGGGACATTAGGACATATCTCTGAACCCATGACCTAAGTGATGTGACTCTCCTTTTCTGCCCGATCATTCACAATAGGAGGATTTTGGCACATGGCTGAGCCCAGTACTTAGGATATGTGACTCTCTCCTTTTACCCAAACCATGCCCACAGGAAAGAAAGTTTGACTTATTGCATTGCCCAGCACCCAGATGATGTTAACCATCTACCTGGAATCTGCATAAAGAGCTAATTATGATATATTACATATTGCTGGTCCCAGTACCCTTATGATGTGACTTTCCTGCTTGTGCTGGAGCTACTAAGATATGTTGATGTATCTTGGGCATACTGTGCTGGTATTTTGGCTCTCATAACTTGGCTGAGTCTTTTCCCATATGCAGGATTGTATCATATTGCTGGGTCCAGCATTCAGCTAATGTGACTCAATTTCCTATACCCTGCCTAGAGAAGACATTGTGAAGTATTTCCTGGCACAGCATCAAAATGTCATTACCCTCCTGCCTAGTGTTTTTCACACGTATGTAATTATAATATATAACTGCTTCAGTTCACAGCCATGATGATCAAACTTATATTGGGATTCAGCCAATAGAAAATATTTTGCCTTTCATTGTTAGGCTTGTGGAAATAGGTAAGGTCCTGGGTTGCATGTTTATACCAAGCTCAAGGAAGCTTACACCACTAAATTACATTGTATAAACTCTTTTGTGGTAGAAATTTTCATAACATGAGCCAGCAAAAAGTTCAGATTGGAAGTCTCTACTACACCCCCGGGTGAAATTAGAAGTTGCAACCATCCCACATTTAGAAAACCCACTGTTGAGGTTCTGAGTTTAAAACCCTCACAGGCGGGTTTTTCATATGTCACTAAAAGGAACTTCCAGGTGATGTGACTCTTCTTCCAGGGTCCTGACCACCAGGTGGATTGTCACATCTCACTGGAACTGCACCCACATAGGTGGTGTGACTTTCTTGCCTTCTCTCTTACTACAGGAGATATGGTGTCATATACCTGAGACCATAATAAAAGACTAATAAAAACTCATATGTCTGGAGCCAGGACATGTATAGGATGGTGAGCCTTATTTTCAAACCTTTCCACAAGTGTAATTGTATGTACACCTTTGTCTAGTGCCTGTGAAATTTAACACTTCCACCTAGGTACGTCCCACAAATGAGATTTTGACAAAACTTGGGTCACGGACATTGGTGATTTGACGGTGCTACCTTACCAATGTTTTCAGGGGGACTAGCCACATATTTCTGGACCCATTATCTGGGGTATATGACTCTCCTTTTTGGCATGTACCCAGCTTACTTTAGTAATTGTAGCATTTCTAAACATTGCATCCAAATGACATGACACTCTCTTCTGAACCTTCTCAACAAGAGGAATTTTGACATATTTTTGGGTTTAGCTTTTAGGTCAACCACATTGGGTGATGTAACTCTCCTTTCTGGTATAGGTCTTGCACAAAGGAAGGATAGTGACATATTGCAAAGCCAGGCACACAGGTGGGGATATTTTTTTGCCAGAGCCATGCCCAAAGGAGGGTATTGTGACATATCTCTGGTAGTATCACTTAGGTTATGCCGCTCTTCTACTTGGTCCCTGCCAACCTGGAGAGTGACATATTTCTAGGCCAGGCACACAGATGATGGTACTCTTTCCCCAGGGCTATGCTTCAAAAAGGACATTGTGACATATCTCTGGCCCTATCACCTAGTTGATATGACTCAATGTTTGGGCCTCACCCACAGAGAGCATTGTGATACGAAAGTGAAACCTGCACCAAGGTGATGTAACTCTTTCACTTTGTTTCTCTTCTAAGGGGGACCTGTGACACATCTTAGCACCCAGCACCTAGGTAATGTGGCTCTTCTGCCTGGTTTCTGCCCATGTGTTAGATTGTGACTTATACATAAAGAAGCACATAGGAGATACTACTCTCCTTTTCTTTCTTAGTTCTGCCTACTGAGGACTTTGGGACCTATCTCTGACCCCATGACCTAAGTGATATGACTCTCTTCTCCTGTCACCCTTCAAAATGGTGGGGGTGGTGGTGGTTGTGAACATATTGCTGAGACCAGCATTTAGGTCATATGATTCTACTCTTTATTCTGAACCATGCACACAAAGAGCAATTTTGACCTATTGCACTCAGGTGATGTTACTCTTCTGCTACTGTCCTGAATAAAATGAGAATTATTGCAGAATGGTGGCCCCAGAACCCTGATGATGCTACTGTCCTGCTGGTTCCAGAGCCACAGACACAATTTTTACAGGTCTTCAGCTTATTCTCTAGGTGTTTTGGCTCTCATCCCTTGGTTAATCTTTTTCTCAAGAAAAATTGTGTAATATTGTTGGGCCCAGCTCCCAGTTAATATGACCCTCCCCCTATATTCTTCCTAGGGAAGGCATTGTGACAAGTTGCTTACCACATAACCTAAGTGATGTTATTATTTTTCCTAATTTTTTTGTCCACAAATGAGATTATGACATATACTTTGCTCCACTTCGCAGGCATGATGGTCAAACTTATATTGGGATTCAACCAATAGAAGATATTTTGCCTCTAATCACAAGGCTTAGAGCAATAGGTAAAATCCTGGTTTGCATATTTGTACCAAACTCAGAGTAGTTTACAACACTAATTAGTATTGTACAAACTCCTTTGGTGGTACAGAGAGTTTCATAACAAGGCCTAGCAAAAAGTTAAGATTGTAACTCTCAATTAGACACCCAGGTGAAAGTAAAAGTTGTCACCATCCCACTTTTACAAAGCCCATTGTTGAGGAACTGAGTTCAACAGGTAAAAACACTTCAAATATGGAATTGTGACTCTTATTTGTGGATCTGGCCACAGGTTCGATCGTGTCTCATTTTCAGAGCCAGCTCAAAGCATAAAAATAAGTCTCATTCCTGAGCTCAGCCTAAATGAGAGATGTTGACTATCACACCTGAGTTTAAGGCACTATATAAGTTTGAGAGTCTATATGAGTGTGTGGGCCTCAGTGTAGTTTGCAACTCTCATGCATACTATGTAAGGCCCTCCGATGTTGTAGAGGGCATCATAAAATGATGCAGCACACACATGACAATGTGACTCATATACACACCAAGATCACTGTTCAAGGTGTCACCCTAAAATATGAGGAGATTTTGTCATATCATTAGGCCTAGTACCCAGGTGTTAAAACTTTGGCTCCAATTGTTTTCCATGTGTGCATTGTGACATATCATTGGGACAGAATCATAATAATGTGACTCTTCTGCTGGGGTCCTGCCAAGTAGGGATAATATCACATATCTCTGAGCCTATCTGATAGGTGATTTTTCTATTTTGCCTCTGATTTGCCCCCAGGGAACATTGTGACATCATCGGGGTAACATCTAGGAAATGTCACTCTTCTCTCCTGCCTACGTCCTACCCACTAAAGGAATTGTGACATACCGATGAGTGGAAAACCTAGGCAGTGCAACTCTTCTCTGTATTCTGAAGTTGGCCAAAACAGGGGATTGTTACATATTGCTGAGCCCAGCACCAAGATGGTGTTACTATCCTCTTTTTCTTCAACCCTGTCTACAGTGGACATGGGACCATATTACTTGTGGCTGTACCCAGGTGATGTGACTTTTCTGACTTGGCCCTGCTTGCAAAGGAGATTATAATGTTTCCTGAGCTTGGCATCCATGTGTTGAGACTCTCCTGTGATATTTCTGCCCACAGGTGAAATTGTGACATATAGCTGCATTCAGCTACCATGCACAAATATAACTATCATACCTCGACCCAGAAAGGGAGACATTTTGATTCTCATAGCCAGTCTTATGGCCATAAGTAAAGTAATCAGTCTCCTAATTGTGTACATTTCACAGAGGATTATGACACTCAGGCATATCATGTAAAGCGTGAGTGGTACAAAGAGTGTCATAACAGGGAACAACAATCAGATGCTATTGTCACTATTGGATGCACACCCAGATGACCTGATTGTCATTCTCTCACAAGAATAGGGCCTACAAATAACGTACTAGATCTCATGAAAAAAAGCAGTCGAAGTTTGAAATTTTTTCTCTCATAAATAAATCTGACCCAAGGATCCTTTTGTGATGCATGAATCAGCAGACCTGTGAAGCTGTGACTCTCCTCTTAGAACACAATCTTCAAGTGGAATTGGCATCTTATACATGGATCTTGTGCATTGTTGAGATTGTGACTCCTCTGTTTTGATCCAAGCCACTGGATGTGTTGACTCACACACGCAAAGCCAAGACTTGTGTGGGACTGGGAAATGTATTTCTGAATATTTCCTAGTGTGTGATTAGGACATAAAAGTTATCCCCACTCCTGAATAATTTAACTCTCCTTTTTTGGCCATGAGGACGGATGAACTTGTGACATATGTGGAACATACAACTAAGCAAAGGTGCCTGGACCTGCCTACAAATTGCACATTTACTTATCACTGGGACCAGCACCCAGGTGAGGTAAATTATTTGCCTTATCTCTGCCTATAAAAGGCATTGTGGCTCATATCTAGGTCTATCATGTAAGTGATGTCACTTCTACTTCCTTGGCCCTCCACTTATGGTGCATTGTGACACAAAACTGGGTACTGTACCCAGGTGATGTGACTCTCCATTTTGGGTTCTGTCAACAGGAAGCTTTGTAAAGTATCACTTGGCTCAGCACATAGGTCATGTTTCTCCTCTCTTGCCTCACCCTGACAGCAGGGGAGATTGTGACATATTAATAAACCCAGCACCAAAGTGAGGTCAGTTTCATACCTTGGTTTTGCACCAGCAGCCATTGAGACACATATATATAGCCAATTGCCTAGGTGAAATAAGTCTCCTCAACTTCTTAAGGCCTGCTCACACAAGGAATTTTGATATATCACTAAAACCAGTAGCCAGGTGAAGTGACTCTTCTTCCAGAGTCCTGGACACAAGAAAGATTGTGACATCTCACTGGATCAGCACCCACCCAGGTGATGCGATATTTTTGCTTGCTCTCTGCCCACAGATGATATTGTGCCATATACCTGAGGCCAAATAAGAGTACTAATCATGACTCTTAAACCTTAAGCCAGGTCATATACAAGACGGTGATTCTCATTCCTGAAACTTTCCACCTGTGTCATTGTGACATAAACTATTTCCCAGTTCCCAAGAGACTAAATAATCCTGCCTACGTGTGGCCCACAAATTAGATTTGGATATATACCTTGGCTGAGCACCTTGGTGATTTGACTCTCCTATATTTACGGTATCCTCAAGAAGGATTGTAACATGGCTCTGGACCCATCATCTAGTTATCTAATTCTCCTTTCCTGCCTGGATACTGCTTCCAATGGGGATTGTACCATTTCTAAGCACTGCATCCAAGTGATCTGACTCTTTTGTCTGGTCCTTTCAACATGCGACATTGTGTCATATCTCTGGGCCTAGCATTTAAGTGATATGAGTCTCTTTTTGTGTCTGGACACTGCCAACAAGGGGCATTGTGCCATACATCTGGGTGTAACTCCCAAGTTATGCAACTTTGCTGACAGAAACTTGCCAACAAGGAGAATATTGGAATATTTCTGGCTCAGCATTTGTTGTACTTGACTGTTGTGCCTATTTCATTGCCACTGATTAAATTGTTACACATACCTAGGCACAACTCACAGGCATGATAATAACCCTCATATGTGGACCCCAGAAATTGGAGTAATTTTAAGTTTCATAACTTCGTTCAGAAACAGGAGTGAATAAATCACTTTCTTTTAAGAAAGGACAAAGAAGACTTTAACAGCCCTTGGCTTGTGCTGAGAGTGTATATATAATGGAACCCAGTAGGAAGGTGAAAGTGTGAGTCTCATATGCACACCCAGCTGACAGTAAGGACTGTCACTGTCTCACATATCTGAAGTCAAATGTCACTCATGAAAATAGGACATGTGTGGTATTTTAAATCTCATCCTGGTAATTTTCTGCCACTGTGTCTGTGATATAAATCTTGTGCTTGCTGGCCAAGCACTTGTGTGATTTGACTCTTCAGACTTGTTCCAGATCAATATGTTATTGTGAAATCTACCTGGGCCAACCTCTAGGTGATGCGATGTTTTTGCTCAATCCCTGCTCTCAGTAAGAATTGTGACGTATCACTGGATCCAGCACTCAGGTCATGTTACATTTTTGCCTGAGTCATGTGCACAGATATCACTGGCACTTATCACTGTGTCAACCACTTAGGTGACATAACTCTACACACTAGAATGGACCCTGCACACAGTGGGGGATAGTAACATATGGCTGTGTCAGGCAAAGAGGTGACAGCACTCTTTTGCGAGGGCCCTGTCCTTAAGATGACATTTGACAAATCTCTGGACCTATCACCTAGGTGAATTTGCTCTCCTGCTTGGGTCCTGCTTACTCAAATAGTGACATATTGCTAGGCCAGTCACACAGGTGATGGTGCCCTTTCACTAGGACCATAACTTAAGGAGGACATTGTGACATAGCTCTGCACCTATCAGCTAGATAATGTGACTCCCTGCTTGGGTTCTGCCCACATTGAACATAAGGGTAGAACCTGAACTCATTTGTTGTAATTCTCTAGCTAGGGTCCTGTCTTAAGGGAGGCTTGTGACATATCTCTAGACCAGCATCAAAGTGATGTGACTCTTCTGCATGGTTTCACCTAACACGTTAGATTATTTCATAAACCTAGGGAAGCATCTACGTGATATGACTCTTCTCTTATGCCTGAGTCCTACCTACCTGGGACATTGGACCATATATCTGAGCCTGTGTCTTATGTAATGTGACTCTTTTCTTCTGCAGGTTTTATTTTTTTTATTTTTATTTTTTTTTACAATTGGTCAATGTGACCTATTGCTAAGCCCAATAATTATGTAATATGACTCTTCTTTTTTTTCCCGAACCATGACCGTAAAAAGGAATTTTGACCTATTGCTGGGCCCAGCACTGAGATGGTGTTCCTTTTCTGACTGGGTTCTGCATAAAGATATAATTATGGCATATTGCTAGGACACACACTCTGATGATGTAACTCTCCTGCCTCTGCTGGAGCAACAGAAAGTATTTTTACATATCTTGGGCCAATTCTGTAGGTGATTTGCTCTCATCATTTGTCTGGGTTTGATTTATCCACGTTTGGGATTGTGTCATGTTGCTGGGTTCAGCACCCAGATATTGTAACCCGCATTTCAGACCCTGTGTAGAGAGGGCAATGTGACTTATTGCTTGGCACAGAATGTAAGTTGTGCTACTCTGCTGCTAATTTTTTTCTACAAATGAGATTATGAAATTTACATTGCTTCAATTCAGAAGTGTGACTATCAAACTGAAATTGGAATTCCACCAATAGCAGATATTTTGCCTCTCATTTCTACACTTAGAGTAATAGGTAAATTACTATTTACCTATTAAATTACAATTAAGAGTTGCAAATCTGAACAAAGCTAACAGAAGTGTAAAACACTGACTCATATTCTATAAAATCCTTGCGTGGTACACAGAGCTTTATAAAAGGGCCCAGGAGATGGTTAAAATCATGATTCTTGATTACACATGCAGGTGGAGCCAATGTTGTCCCCATCTCATGTTTACAAATCCCACTGCTGAAGCCCTGAGTTTAAAATGTAAATAAAGTAAAAAGATGGAATCGTGAGTTTCATATGTGGATGTTGTTACAGGTGAGATGGTGACTTATTTCTGGACCCAGATCAGGGGCATAATAATGGGTCCCCTGTCTAAATCCAGCTAATAAGAGAGATGTGGACTATCATAACTGGATTTAAAGCAATATGTAAAATTGTGAGTTAATATCAGCATGTAGTTCTCATAGTAGATTGCAAGTCTCATGCATACCAAGCCTTCAGATATGATAGAGTGTGTCATATGATGACCCGGAACACACGTGACATTGTGACTCTTATATACACACACCTAGCTAACAGTCAAAGGTGTCACCCTAACACATGAAGAGATTGTGTCATATCACTAGGCCTAGTACCTCTAGGTGTTGAGAACTTTTGGCTTACATTCTTTTCCATGGGTGCATTGTGAAATATCTCTGGGTTAGATTTATAATAATGTCACTCTTCTGCTTGGACCCTGCCAAACAGCAGATATTGTCACATATCTTTAGTTCTATCAGCTAGGTCATGTGTCTCTCCTGCCAGTTCCCTGTCCACTGGGAATACTGGGACATAGCTCTTGATATTGCATTAGGTAATGTGAATCTCCTCTCCTGTCTGGATCCTGCTCTCTGAAGAAATTGTGACGTACCACTGAGTCCCTGGATCAGAACCCAGATGATGAGACTCTTCTGTCTTGTCTCTGTCCAAAGGTGAAATTGGGACATACACCTGGATTCAGCTCATATGCCCAATAATAACTCTTATAACTAGACACAGCCATGGGAGGTGTTTCAACTCTCATAGCCAGTCTTATCAACAAAGGTAAAGTCCAAGATCACCCACCTGTAATAATTCACAGGAAAGTATGTTATTTAGGCATATCACATAAAGCCTGAGTGGTACAAAGGGTGTGATAACAGTCCCCAGAAACCAGGTGTTACTGTGACTCTTGGATTCACACCCAGCTGACATGATTGTTATTCTCACACATTAACAGCATCTACATATGAGGTACTAAATCTCACACATATAATCAATGGAAGCTTGAAATTGTTACTTCCATACATGAATCTGATCCACAGGTTGTTTGGTGACTTTTGAACCATGATTCAGTGAACTGTGGTGCTGTGAGTCTCCTACTGGAACACCATCTTCAAGTGGGACTGGGGCTCTTATACATGGATCTTGCTCATTGTTGAGATTATGACTCTTGTACTTAGACCCAACTGATAAGAAGGGTGGACTTTTGTCAATATCTGAGTGTTCTGACTTTCTACATCCAGGGCACGGTTGAAATTGTGACACACATGCAGCACACACTTATGCAATGGATGACACTTTCTTTGGCCATGTGACAAAGGCACTTTTACATGTCACTGCGACCATCACACAGCTGATGTGAGATCTTATCCTGACCCCTGCCTAAGAAGAGTACTGTGGCTTTTTTGTTTTCTTTTATGTTTTGCTTATTTTTTTTTGAGATGGAGTCTCACTCTGCTGCCCAGGCTGGAGCACGGTGGAGCGATCTCAGCTCACTGAAAGCTCTGCCTCCCAGGTTCACGTCATTCTCCTGCCTCAGCCTCCCAAGTAGCTGGGACTACAGGTGCCCACAACCACACCTGGCTATTTTTTTGTTTTGTTTTGTATTTTAATGGAGATGGGGTTTCACTGTGTTAGCCAGGATGGCCTCGATTTCCTGACCTCGTGATCTGCCTGCCTAGGTGCATTGCATAAGTGATGTAACTTCCTTCTACTACCTTGGCCCTGAACTCGCAATGCATTGTGAAACATAACTGGGCACTGCACCCAGGTGATGTGACTCTTTTTTGTGGGGGCTTTTTAACATATCCCATGGCTCAGCACCTGGGTAATGTTTCTTCTCTCTTGCCTGGGCCCTGAACACCAAAGAGATTGTGACATATTGCTGAATGCAGCACCAAGATTAGGTGACACTTCTGCCTTGGTTCTTCACATAGTGGCCACTGTGACACATATTCATGCCAATTACCAAGGTGAAGTTTGTCTACTGTTCTTCCTAAGCCTTGCCCACAAGGGGGATTTGCATATATCACTGAAACCAGCATCCAGGTGAAGAGACTCTTCTCCCACAGTCCTGCCCACAGGTAGGATTGTGACATTTCACTGGACCAGCACCCACACAGATGATGTGACTTTCCTTTCTTCTCCCTGCCAGAGGTGATACTGTTCCATATACCTGAGACCAGACCGAAACCCTAATAATGACAATTGTACCTGGAGCCAGGACACATGCAAGGTGGTGACTTTCATTTCTTAACCTTTCCACAGTTGTTTTTGTGACATATGCCATTGTCCAGCTCCTATGTGATTTAATAACCATGCCTACTTATAGCCCACAGATTACATTTTGACGTAAACCTATGCCAAGAACCTTGGTGATTTGATTCCCCTGTCTAAAAGTGACCTCAGAGGGGATTGTAACATATATCTGTACCCATCATCCAGGTTATGTGACTCTCCTCTCCTGCCTGAACCCTGCATCCAGTGAAGACTGTAGAATTTCTAAACATGGCATCCAAATGACATGACTCTCTGGCCTGGGCCTTTCAACAGGAGGCATTGTGACATATCATTGGGTCAATCATTTGTTATATGACTCTCCTCTCCTGCCTGGACTTTTTCCTCAAGGGCCATTTTGCCATAGAACTTTGCCTAGCACCCAAGTTTTGTGAAGTTTCTGTTAGGGTCTTACCTTTAAAGAAAATATTGAAATATTTCTGGCTCAGGATTTAGGTGAGGTGTTTGTCCTGCCAGTTTAATAACCAGAGAGAGGATTGTGACCTATACCTAGGCACAGCTAACAGGCATGATAATGACTCTCATATGTGAACGGAAACAATAGGAGAAATTTTGACTCTAATAACTATTTTTGGGACATGAGTGTTGTTCAGGTTTACCTTCTGGTAAAAAGGTCACAGATCATGACAACACCCACACATGATATCCCACCTTTGGTTTGTATAAAGAGTGTCATAACAGGTCCTAGCCCACAGAGAAAATTGTGAATCTTGTATGCACCCTCAGTTGACAGTAAGGACTATCATCATAACAGATGGATGAAAGCAGCTCTCCTACAGGTAAACAGGACACGTGTGTTATTTTACATCTCATCCCTAGAATTTAATTCCATCGTTATTCTGGCATAAAATCTTGCCAAGCACCTGTGTGATTTCACTCTTCAGACAGTTTCCAGCCTACATATGGAATTTTAATATCTACCTGAGTCAAACTTGAAGTAATGTGACTATTGTACACACTATTGTACTGAGGCCCTGCTCTCAGTAAGATTGTGACATCACTGAATCCCCACCCAGGTGATGTCATATTCTTGTGACATATCTCTGTGCCTATCACTTAGAAGACAATACTCTCCTCTTTTTTATGGACCCTGCACACAGGGCAGAATAGTGACTTATTCCTAGGCCAGGCACAGAAGTGATGAGTTTTTTTCCAGGGCCATGCCCAAAAGAGGGAATTTTGACATACCATAAAGGCCTATTATGGAGATGATATGGCTCCTCTCCCGGGATCCGCCCACTTGAATAATAACATATTGTAACATATTTCTGTGTCCATCTCATAAGTTATGTAACTCTCTTCTCTAAAATGAGCCCTGAACAAAGGAAAGATAGTGACACATTGCAAGGCCATGGACACAGGGAAGGGTACTCTTTTGTCTGAGACATGTCCACAAAAGGATATTGTGACATGTCTCTGGGTCTATCTTTGGGTTATGTGGCTTTTCTGCTTGGGCCCTGCCAACCTTGACAATGATATATTTTAGGCCATACACACAGGTGATGGTACACTTTTGCCAGGGCTATGCTTCATAGAGGTCATTGTGACATATCTCTGGGCCTATCATCTAGGTGAAGTGACTCCCTCCTTGGGCCCTGTGTACATGGAGGCCACACGGAGCATTGTGGCATAAACAGAGAACCCGCACCTAACTATCTTTGCTGGGTGCTGCCCTAAGAGAACCTTGTGAAATATCTCAGAACCCAGCACTCTGGGGTTGTGGCTCTTCTGCATAAGTTCTGCCCATATTTTACCCTGTGACATATTTCTAGGGAAGCACATAGGTGATATGACTCTCCTTGTTTGCCTAAGCCCTGACTACTGGGGACATTGGGACGTATCTCTGAGCCCATGACCTAAATGATGTGACTCTCTTTTTCAGCCTGGACCTTCACAATAGGAGGATTTTGGCACATTACTGAGCCCAGCACTCAGGTTATGTGACTCTCCTCATTTTCCCAAGCCATTCCTGCAAAACAGGAATTTTGGCCTACAGCAGGGCCCGGCACCCAGATGATGTTACTCTTCTGCCTTGCTTCTGCATATAGAG
The DNA here is from genome assembly GCF_000001405.40 of Homo sapiens. Taxonomy (NCBI): domain Eukaryota; kingdom Metazoa; phylum Chordata; class Mammalia; order Primates; family Hominidae; genus Homo; species Homo sapiens. The sequence continues at coordinate 25,158,451 of NC_000024.10, forward strand.
GAACTTATGGAATATTGCATATTGCTCGGCCCAGGACCATTGTTATGTGACTTTCCTCCTGTGCTGCAGCCACCTAACGTATTTTGACATATCTTGGTCTCTTCATGCAGGTGTTTTGGTTCTCATAACTTGGCTGGGTTTTTTCCACATGTGGGATGTTGTCATATTGCTGGGTCCAGCATGCAGTTAATATGACCAAATTCCCTATGCCCTGCCTAGAGAAGACATTGTGAAATATTGCTTGGCACAACATCTAAGTGATGTTACCCTCCTGCCTAGCTTTTTGTCCACATATGGGATTATAACATATACCCTGCTTCAGTTCACAGACATGATGTTCAAACTTATATTGGGATTCAGCCAATAGAAGATATTTTGCCTTTCACTGTTAGGCTTGGGGCAATAGACAATGTCCTCGGTTGCAAATATGTAACAACCTCACAGAAGCTTCCAACACTAACCTGTAGTATATAAACTCTTTGTTGATATAAAATTTCATAACAGGGCCCAGCCAAACCTTCAGATTGGGACTCTATGTTACATACCCAGGTGAAATTAAAAGTTATCACCATCCCACATTTACAATGCCACTGTCGAGATCATGAGTCTAATAAGGGAATGCAGCACAAAGTTGGAATTGTGACATTTATATGTGGTCCTGGCCACAAGTGGGATGGTCACTCATTTCTAGACCCAGCCCACAGGAATAATAATGGGTCTTCTTCCTTAACCCTGCCTAAAGGAGAGATCTTGACTATCAAACCTGGGTTTAGGTTAATATGTAAGATTGTGAGCCCATACCACCACATAGGCCTCACACAGCTTTGCAACTCTTATGCAGGTTTTATAAATCACTTGGATGTTGCAGAGGGTCATGCATTGTCCCAGCAAACATGTGAGATTGTCACTCTAATATACAAGTTTAGCTAAAAGTTAAAGTTGTCACCCTCAAAGATGATGAGATTGTGTCGTATCCCTGGGTCTAGTACCCAGGTGTTGAGACTTTTTGGCTCAAATTTCTTTCCATGGGTGCATTGCTACTTATCACTGGGTTAGAATCAAAATAATGTGATTTTTCTGCTTGAGCTCTATCAAGAGGGTATAATATCACATATCTCTTGGCCTATCAGCTAGGTTATGTGTCTCTCCAGATTGTTCTCTGCATCCAGAAAAAATTTGAAATATCACAGAAATTAGCATCTAAATGGTGTAACTCTCCTCTCCTGCGTGGGTCCTGCTTACCAAAGGAATTATGACATATAGTTGAATGAAAAATCTAGGTGGTATGTCTCTCCTCTCTATTCAAAAGTTTATTTCTGTGCTGCATTCAGCTTCATTAATTTCTTTTTCTACTTTTATACTGGTACCAAAGTGCTTTGATTACTTTAGGTTTATTTTGTATTTGGAAATTGTTAAGTGTAATGCTTCCAAAATTTTTCTTTTTTTTATTATTTATTTTTTTCTCTTTTTTTTCTTTTTTCCCTCCCCCCTCCCGCCTCCCCCCAACCCACAACAGTCTCAAGAGTGTGATGTTCCCCTTCCTGCGTCCATGTGTTCTCATTGTTCAATTCCCACCTATGAGTGAGAACATGTGGTGTTTGTTTTTTTGTCCTTGTGATAGTTTGCTGAGACTGATGGTTTCCAGTTTCATCCATGTCCCCACAACGGACATGAACTCATCATTTTTTATGGCTGCATAGTATTCCATGGTGTATATGCGCCACATTTTCTTAATCCAGTCTATCATTGTTGGACATTTGGGTTGGTTCCAAGTCTGTGCTATTGTGAATAGTGCCTGAATAAACATACGTGTGCATGAATCTTTATAGCAGCATGATTCATAATCCTTTGGGTATATACCCAGTAATGGGATGGCTGGGTCAAATGGTATTTCCAGTTCTAGATCCCTGAGGAATCACCACACTGACTTCCACAATGGTTGAACTAGTTTACAGTCCCGCCAACAGTGTAAAAGTGTGCCTATTTCTCCACATCCTCTCCAGCACCTGTTGTTTCCTGACTTTTTAATGATCGCCATTCTAATTGGTGTGAGATGGTGTCTCATTGTGGTTTTGATTTGCATTTCTCTGATGGCCAGTGATGATGAGCATTTTTTCATGTGTTTTTTGGCTGCGTAAATGTCTTCTTTTGAGAAGTGTCTGTTCATATCCTTTGCCCACTTTTTGATTCAGGTTGTTTGTTTTTTTCTTGTAAATTTTGTTTGAGTTCATTATAGATTCTGGATATTAGCCCTTTGTCAGATGAGTAGGTTGTGAACATTTGCTTCCATTTTGTAGGTTGCCTGTTCACTCTGACGGTAGTTTCTTTTGCTGTGCAGAAGCTCTTTAGTTTAATGAGATCCCATTTGTCAATTTTGGCTTTTATTGTCATTGCTTTTGGTGTTTTAGACATGATGTCCTTGCCCATGCCTATGTTCTGATGGTATTGCCTAGGTTTTCTTGTAGGATTTTTATGGTTCTAGGTCTAACGTTTAAGTCTTTAATCCATCTTGAATTAATTTTTGTATAAAGTGTAAAGAAGTGATCCAGTTTCAGCTGTCTACATATGGCTAGCCAGTTTTCCCAGCACCATTTATTAAATAGGGAACCCTTTACTCATTGCTTGTTTTTGTCAGATTTGTCAAAGATCAGATGGTTGTAGATATGCTGCATTATTTCTGAGGGCTCTGTTCTGTTCCATTGATCTATGTCTCTGTTTTGGTACCGGTACCATGCTTTTTTGTAGTATAGTTTGAAGTCAGGTAGCACGATGCCTCTGGCTTTGTTCTTTTGGCTTAGGATTGACTTGGCGATGCAGGCTCTTTTTTGGTTCTGTATGAACTTTAAAGTCGTTTTTTTCCAATTCTGTGAAGAAAGTCATTGGTGGCTTGATGGGGATAGCATTGAATCTATAAATTACCTTTGGCAGTATGACCATTTTCATGATATTGATTCTTCCTACCCATGAGCATGGAAGGTTTTTCTATTTGTTTGTGTCCTCTTTTCATTCATTGAACAGTGGTTTGTGGTTCTACTTGAAGAGGTCCTTCACATCCCTTGTAAGTTGGATTCCTAGATATTTTATTCTCTTTGAAGCAATTGTGAATGGGAGTTCACTCATGATTTGGCTGTCTGTTTGTCTGTTATTGGTGTATAAGAATGCTTGTGATTTTTGTACACTGATTTTGTGTCCTGAGACTTTGCTGAAGTTGCTTATCAGCTTAAGGAGATTTTGGGCTCAGACAATGGGTTTTCTAAATATACAATCATGTCATCTGCAAACAGGGACAATTTGACTTCGTTTTGTCCTAATTGAATACCCTTTATTTCCTTCTCCTGCCTAATTGCCCTGGCCAGAACTTCCAACACTATGTTGAATAGGAGTGGTGATAGAGGGCATCCCTTTCTTGTGCCAGTTTTCAAAGGGAATGCTTCCAGTTTTTGCCCATTCAGTATGATATTGGCTGTGGGTTTGTCATAGATAGCTATTATTATTTTGAGATACATCCCATCAATACCTAATGTATTGAGAATTTTTAGCATGAAGGGTTGTTGAATTTTGTCAAAGGCCTTTTCTTCATCTATTGAGATAATCAGGTGGTTTTTGTCTTTGGTTCTGTTTATATGCTGGATTACATTCATTCATTTACATATGTTCAACCAGGCTTGCATCCCAGGGATGAAGCCCACTTGATCATGGTGGATAAGCTTTTTGATGTACTGCTGGATTCGTTTTGCCATTATTTTATTGAGGATTTTTGCATCAGTGTTCATCTAGGGTATTGGTCTAAAATTCTCTTTTTTGTTGTATCTCTACCAGGCTTTGGTATCAGGATGATGCTGGCCTCATAAAATGAGTTAGGGAGGATTCCCTCTTTTTCTATTGATTGGAATAGTTTCAGATGGAATGGTACTAGCTTATCCTTGTACCTCTGGTAGAATTCAGCTGTGAATCCATCTGGTCCTGGAATTTTTTTGGTCAGTAAGCTACTGATTATTGCCACAATTTCAGATCCTGTTATTGGTCTATTCAGAGATTCAATTTCTTCCTGGTTTAGTCTTGGGAGAGTGTATGTGTCAAGGAATTTATCCATTTCTTCTAGGTTTTCTAGTTTATTTGCATAGAGGTGTTTGTAGTCTTCTCTGATGGTAGTTTGTATTTCTGTGGGATCGGTGTTGATAACCCCTTTATCATTTTTTTATTGCGTCTATTTGATTCGTCTCTCTTTTCTTCTTTATTAGTCTTGCTAGCAGTCTATCAATTTTGTTGATCATTTCAAAAAACCAGCTCCTGGATTCATTAATTTTTTGAAGGGTTTTTTTGTGTCTCTATTTCCTTCAGTTCCGCTCAGATTTTAGTTATTTCTTGCCTTCTGCTAGCTTTTGAATGTGTTTGCTCTTGCTTTTCTAGTTCTTTTAATTGTGATGTTAGGGTGTCAATTTCAGATCTTTCCAGCTTTCTCCTGTGGGCATTTAGTGCTATAAATTTCCCTCTACACACTGCTTTGAATGTGTCCCAGAGATTATGGTGTGTTGTGTCTTTATTCCCATTGGTTTCAAAGAACATCTTTATATCTGCCTTCATTTTGTTATGTACTGAGTAGTCATTCAGGACCAGGTTGTCCAGTTTCCATGTAGTTGAGAGGTTTTGAGTGAGTTTCTCAATCCTGAGTTCTAGTGTGACCGCACTGTGGTCTGAGAGACAGTTTGTTGTAATTTCTTTTCTTTTACACTTGCTGAGGAGTGCTTTACTTCCAACTATGTGGTCAATTTTGGAATAGGTGTGGTGTGGTGCTGAAAAAAATGTATATCCTGTTGATTTGGGGTGGAGAGTTCTGTAGATGTCTATTAGGTCCGCTTGGTGCAGAGCTGAGTTCAATTCCTGGGTATCCTTTTTAACTTTCTGTCTTGTTGATCTGTCTAATGTTGACAGTGCGGTGTTAAAGTGTCCCATTATTATTGTGTGGGAGTCTAAGTCTCTTTGTAGGTCACTCAGGACTTGCTTTATGAATCTTGGTGCTCCTGTATTGGGTGCATATATATTTAGGATAGTTAGCTCTTCTTGTTGAATTGATCCCTTTACCATTATGTAATGCCATTCTTTGTGTCTTTTGATCTTTGTTGGTTTAACGTCTGTTTTATCAGAGACTAGGATTGCAACCCTTGCCTTTTTTTGGTGTTCTATTTGCTTGGTAGATCTTCCTCCATCCCTTTATTTTGAGCCTATGTGTGTCTCTGCACTTGAGATGGGTTTCCTGAATACAGCACACTGATGGGTCTTGACTCTTTATCCAATTTGCCAGTCTGTGTCTGTTAATTGGAGCATTTAGCCCGTTTACATTTAAAGTTAATATTGTTATTTGTGAATTTGGTCCTGTCATCATGATGTTAGCTGGTTATTTTGCTCGTTAGATGATGCAGTTTCTTTCTAGGCTTGATGGTCTTTACATTTTGGCGTGTTTTTGGAGTGGCTGGTACTGGTTGTTCCTCTCCATGTTTAGTGCTTCCTTCGGGAGCTCTTTTACGGCAGGCCTGGTGGTGACAAAATCTCTCAGCATTTGCTTGTCTGTAAAGTATTTTATTTCTCCTTCACTTATGGATATGAAATTCTGAGTTGAAAATTCTTTTCTTTAAGAACATTGAATATTGGCCCCCAATGTCTTCTGACTTGCAGAGTTTCTGCCAAGAGGTCTGCTGTTAGTTAGTCTGATGAGCTTCCCTTTGTGGGTAACCCGAACTTTCTCTGGCTGCCCTTAACAATTTTCCCTTCATTTCAACTTTGGTGAATCTGACAATTAAGTGTCTTGGAGTTGCTCTTCTCGAGGAGTATCTTTGTGAAGTTCTCTGTATTTTCTGAATCTGAATGTTGGCCTGCCTTACTAGATTGGGGAAGTTCTCCTGAATAATATCCTGCAGAGTGTTTTCCAACTTGGTTCCATTCTCTCTGTCACTTTCAGGTACACCAATCAGACGTAGATTTTGTCTTTTCACAAAGTCCCATATTTCTTGGAGGCTTTGTTCATTTCTTTTTATTCTTTTTTCTCTAAACTTCCCTTCTCACTTCATTTCATTCATTTCATTTTCCATCACTGATACCCTTTCTTCCAGTTGATTGCGTTGGCTCCTGAGGCTTCTGCATTCTTCACGTTGTTCTCGAGCCTTGGCTTTCAGCTCCATCAGCTCCTTTAAGGACTTCTCTGCATTGTTTATTCTAATTATCCATTCATCTAATTTTTTTCAAAGTTTCCAGCAATGGAACAAACTGGACCAAGAATGACTTTGACGAGTTGAGAGAAGACTTCAGATGATCAAACTACTCTGAGCTACAGGAGGAAATTCAAACCAATGGGAAAGAAGTTAAAAACTTGGAAAAATGCTTCTAATATTTTTCTTGTTTTTAAAGATTGCCAGGATTTTCATGTAATTTGTGGGTTTTGTAATTTCTATTTTTGGGAAAGTTTAATTTAAAATTGAAAATTGGTGGCTGGGCACGGTGGTTCAAGCCTGTAATCCCAGCACTTTGGGAGGCTGAGGCAGGTGGATCACGAGGCCAGGTGATTGAGACCAACCTAGCTAACACGGTGAAACCCCATCTCTTCAAAAATACAAAAAAATTAGCCTGGCATTGTGGTGGGCGCCTGTAGTCCCAGCTACTCGGGATGCTGAGGCAGGAGAATGGCATGAACCTGGGAGGTAGAGCTTGCAGTGAGCCAAGATTGTGCCACTGCATTCCAGCCTGGGTGACACAGCGATACTCCATCTCAAGAAATAATAATAATAATAAAAGAGAAATAAAATTGGTTTGTCAAATGTGTGGATCACTTCAAGCAGCATGGACAACTTTACAATACTATGTCTTCCAACCCTTGATAAACAGCATGCTCAAAAGTGTGTTACTGGCCAGGCATGGTGACTCATACCTGTAATCCCAGCACTTTGGAAGGCTGAGGAGGGTACATAGCCAGATCAGGAGATCAAGACCATTTTGGCCAACATGATGAAATCCCATCTCTACTAAAATGCACAAAATTAGCTAAGTGTGGTTGGGCATGCCTGTAATGCCAGCTACTGGAGAAGCTGAGTCAGGGGAATTGCTTGTACGTGGAAGTTAAGGTTACAGTGAGCCGAGATTGTGCCACTGTATTTCCTCCTAGTGACAGAGTGAGGCTGTATCTAAAAAAAAAGGAAAGAAAAAAAGTAAAACTATGTTAACAGTTAATTTTCATATATTTTTTCAGCTTTTCTCCCATTACTGATTTCTAGTTTCATTTCATTTGTGCTATAAAAAATTGTCTGCTAAATTTCAATTAAAAAAACTATTAAGACTTCTTTCATGGCATCACAGGTAATCCACCTAGGAAAATGTTTTATGAGCTATTGCAAAAAAAAAAAAAAAAGTGTATTCTTTTACCGGTATACATTTGTTAGGTAAATATATTGTATAGTGTATTCAAACTTTTTGTTCCCTTGTTGATATTCTGTCTTTATTTATTACTGAAAGTGGGATACAAATGTATCCTTCCATTATTGTATTGCTATCTATTTTTGCTTCAATTCTGTCAATGTTTGTTTTATGTGTTTGGGAAAACTCTCACATATTCACGGAATTTCAGTGAATGAACTCTCTTAATATAATTGAATGTCCTACTTTGTCTCTTGTGAATTTTGACTTAAAGCAAACTTCATAAAATATGACAGTTTTCAACTTAATAAATTGTTGCCTTTTCTCTTATGATTTGGTTAACACTTGCATGGCATGTATTTTTTATCCTGCCATTTTCAGTCTATTTTTTTAAATTAGGTCTGAAGTGAGTCTCTTGAAGACATGACATCGATACATCTTGATACAGGTCATAATATAGTTAGTTTTATTCTTTTTCCTGTTGAAGGATACTTTTGCTGGATATTGTATTCTCACTTAGACTTTGTAAAATGTTTCTCATCAAGTTTCCCTTCTTTTAAAGAAAAATACTAAATGTTAGAAATAAGATTTTCTTTTAAAGATAAAATTTCTTCAAAGCCTTCTTGTTTTGTGCTAATAACTCTTTGTTAAGCCCTACTCTATGTAGCTGTTATACATAAGGGAATAAGTACATTCTATGGCCTTGTACTTTCACCAGAACATTTCTTCTGTACATGCTCAGGCATGTCCCAGGTTGCAGCTTATGTCCCCTTTCTTATTTGGAAATCTTATTACTTCTCTAAGTATTTTTGCAAAAACTTTCCCTTTTTCTTTGTTCTCCATTGCCTTTACCTATTTAGGGAAGTTTCAGGTTGTTAGCCAATCAGGTTTAGCTTAGACTGTGATGCCTAGTTCCAACTAATGGAGATAGGACACAGAAGTAAGGACTCAATGCATACGGGTAAATATTCCTGCCTTTCTTTTTCATTGTGCTCTCAGGGTAGGATTGCTGATGAGCAGCACCCTTTCTGCAGAAAGTAAAATTGCCTTGCTGAGAAGATTCCTTGTCTGAGTATTAGTTCTATTTTTTGGCTCTGAGGAATAGGATTTTCTAACATAATTTTTTTTTCGGTGTTTTAAGTATGTTATCCTACTCCTTTTTTCCTGAAAGGTTTATGTTCATAAACTTACTGGTAATCTTACAGAAGCATGCATATAAATAACATAACTCTTTTTTCTTCCTGCATTCCAGATTCTCTTTTTGTGTGTGACTTTCAAAACATTGCTTATTTGGGGTCTTGTTAGAAATTTATTTGTGTTAGTTGAAATTTACTGAGCTTCTTGATTTTCTCATATTTTTAAATAATATTGAAGTGCGTATGAGACTTTTTTGTACTTCTACACTTTTTTGTGCTTTTTATCGTTTTCTTAATTTCATTTTTGTTATTTCATTTTGTTTTATTTATTTCCATTTAACTCATTAAGCATCATTCAGATGGTAAGTTAATTTCTCAGGTCAATTTATTTTTTCTTTCAAAAATAAATGCAGACTTTAATTGAAATTTTCTTAGGTAAGTTTTACATCTCTGTTTTGTATCATTGATTTCTGAATATTTATTTTTATCTTTGAGTGAGACATATTATCTTAATGTTTTGTATATGTTGTAGTCTTATGTTGCAATTTGTATAATAAATCACCACATGTGAAAATGCTTATTAAGTGATTTTTTCTTGGGAAATATGAACCAACTTTTGGGCTAGAGATTCTTGACGTCTCTCACTTCTGTTCTATACAAGTTTTATCTGGGCTTGTGTTTTTTCATTAAAAAATATTTCCAATTATTTATTATATTTTATTTTATTTTATATTTATTTTATTTTATTTTATTTTGAGTGAACATTTTACTCTTGTTGTCCATGCTGCAATGTGATGGCATGGTCTTGGCTCACTGCAAGAATCAACTCCTACTTTCCAGTGATTCTCCTGGCTCAGTCACCAGAGTAGCTGAGATTAGAGGTGCCCGCCACCATGCCTGTGTAATTGTTGTATTTTTAGTAGAGATGGGGTTTCACCATGTTGACCCGGCTGGTGTTGAACTTTTGACCACAGGTGAACAGCCTGCCTCAGACTCCCAAAGTGCTGGGATTACAGGTGTGGGCCACCACTCATGGACATTCCCTATGTTTCCTATTGAGATTCTGACTACAGTCAATTGCTATACCCATTTTCTGTCTATGACACTGAAGTCTTTTTTTGTAACAGTCATTTACCTTTGGTCTCACCAGCCCCAAACTGTCAAAGAATACCACTTTTCCTTTAAACACTGTCATATAATATAGAAATTAGTCTTTAGTAAGGTCTCACAAAACAAGAAGCCTGAACACAGGTGCCACTATTTTATTTATTTTTGAAGGGGGAAGACATGAGTTGGGAGTCTATATTTGAAGTCATCATAGGATGAAGAATGGCTGCGGTGGGTAAATATAAAACACTTTTATTACACTTCTATGTAGTTCTTGACATTTTGCTCCCTTGAAGTGCTATAAATTCTTAACTGATTCTTAGTCTTCTCACACAGGAATTTTGTTCATTATAATTGTGTTAAGTTTACATGTCTATAAAGGAATTACAGCCTGTGGTATTTTATTGTCACCTTGTTAATGTGCTTTGTGTAACTAATATTTGTAAAATGTATTCACATGAGCCTAATGTGGGAGAAATTTTGTTGTTCCTTTTGTTTTTGTTTTTCAGCTGGCTCTTTTCATATTACTGCAGACATATGGTGGGAACATATTATAAAACATTCATTTCAAAAAGTGATTCTGAGAAAATATGGAACCTGTGACCTTAACCATTTACATTTAAAAAAGACTAGCAAAGTGTGAATTACTACAAGGGACAGAAAGAAAAGCAGTTATAATTTCTTTCTTCAATGTTTATCAACTACCCAGAGAAAAACTTGTCAATGTTATAAATTTGGAAAGCTTTCCAGGTGTACCCAATCTTCAGTGAACAGAAGAAAACCTTTAGCAGAGAGAAATACTACAAATGCAAAGAATATGGCAGAAACTGTAGGTAGTTCTCAGATTTTACTATAAAAAATGGAATACTTACTGCAGAGAGATGCTACAGATATGAAGAATGTGGCAAAGCCTTTAAAAAGTTCTCAAACCTTACTGAACATAAGAGAGTTCATACTGGAGGAAAAACCTACAAATGTGAAGAATGTGACAAAATTTTAACCTGCTCCTCAACCCTTATTAAACACAAGATAAATCATTTTGGAAATAGATCCTACAATTGCAAAGAATGTGTAAAAGCCTTTAAATGTTTCTCAGACCTTACTAATTCTAAGAGAATTCTCAGAACTTGCTAAAAATAAAATAATTTATACTGGAGAGAAACCATCATACAAATGTGAAGAATGTCACAGAGCCTATGGGGGGTTCTCAGACCTTAATAAACATAAGATAACTCATACTGAAGAGAAACCCTACATATATAACTAATGTGGAGAAGCTTTTAAGTGGTTCTCAGCCGTTAGTAAACATAAGAGAATTTATACTGGAGGGAAACCCTACACCTGTAGAAAAAAAAAAGTCAAAGCCTTTACCTGCTTTTCAATCCTTATTAACCACAAGATAATTCATATAGAAGACAGCCCTTACAAATCTGAAGCATGTGGCAAAACCTTTAAGTGCTTTTCAGACTTTGCTAATCATAAGAGAATTCACACTGCAGGAAAAGCCTACAAATGTGAAGAATGTGGTGAAACATTAAGTTCATTCTCACACTTCATTAGAAATAATAGAACTCATAGTAGAGAGAAGCTTCACAAGTGTTAAAAATGTGGAAAAGCTTTTAAAGCATCCTGATTTTATGTCCAACATCAGAGACTTAATACTGAACAAATGCCACATAAAGGTAATGACTGTTGAAGAAGATTTAACTTAACATCTTGCAGCATCTCTAAGAACTCGCTTTATACTCAGTGCTTTTGGGTTGGGTTTGTCTATTGCATTTTACTATTATGGAATGCCTTCTTTCTCTTAAAAAAAAACTACGTGGATTTTAAGTTTGCTTTGCTAGAAACTAGGATTGCATCACCTCCTTTTTTCTGTTTTCCATCTATTTGGTAGATTTCTCTTTTTTCTTTATATTTAGCTTAATTGAGATGAGTGTCTAGATTACAGAATACCATTAGATCTTGATTCTTTACTCAACTTGCCACACTGTTTTTTAATTGGGGCATTTAGCCCATTTACAGTTATGGTTAGTATTCATATGTGTTGATTTGATTCTGCCACCACGATTTTAGCTGGCTATTTTGCACATTTGTTTTGTGGTCGCTTTAGAGTGTCAGCAGTTTATTTACTTTGGTGTGTTTTTGAAGTGACTAATTACAGGGTTTTTTTTTATTTAGTGTTTTCTTCAGAAGCCCTTGTAAGACAGGTCTTGGGTAACAGATTTCTTCAGCGTTTGCTTATGTGAATAGGATCATATTAATTTTTTTCACTTCTGAAGCTCCCTTTGGTTGGATATAAGCTTACTTTGGTCTCGTGGGAAGCTGCAGTATGGGGAAGAAACATGTGGACTGGTGGAGTCATAGGGGCTGTATTGCTGAAGCTCTTCAGGGATCAGGCATGGCCCACCAGTACCGATGCTATGGTATGGGATCCCAGGGTAACTGAGACTGCCCTGTAAGAACCTGTGGCCAGAATAGGTCCCTATAAGAGGCCAGGAGACCAAGGGGTATTCAATTGGAACAATTTCTTCTGATTTGCAAGACCATCCTGCAAAAATTAGGTCCAACAATTTTTCTAGGGCTAAAGCCTCTTATGGGAGAAAGTTGAACCTAGAGAAGTGGCCATCACTGGCAACATATTACTACAGATGCTCTTGCACCAACACTCTTGACACCACATGAGGTGGCTTGCTGCCCCTTCTTTGCTTGGCTTCTAGGGGCTGCATCTCAGAGAGATGTAGGTCAGCAATCCCTTACTACAGACAGCCCAGGATGGAGGATCTCTGCTTTTGGCCAAGTTTGGTGTTTACTGTCTTGTGAGGAGCAATAGGTAGCTTGTGGAACCCATGGAGGGTGGACTGGCCCTCACTCTTTGGGTAAAATGCAGCTTGTTTGAGGTGTAAATAAGGTACCTGGGTTTTGAATTTTTCATTAGTCTGAGAAGCATAGCAAGGACAGTTCTAACACAGAGATAGTGGCAGAAATATTTTCAGTTACTCCTAGAGGCTGTGTCCAGGAAGTTGCTAGGTTGCTGCAGGCTCAATATCCCTGCCAATGATTGGCTAATGGCCGAGACCTGGAGAGTCTGCACAGTGAGAATGTGTGAGAACAGGTGCTCATGTAACAGTATGGCCACTTTTCTAAAGGGCTGCTGCAGTATGTTTTGTGTCCACTGCAGTTTCTGGTCACCTCAGGTTTTACAGAATCTGAAGCTGTCCCACTGAATGCTGAAAAACAGCAACAAAGGCAGTATGCCCCATTCTCTGGAAGCTCCATCCCAGGCAGGTATAGACCTGTTTCCAGCCCAAAAGCACCTGAAGGAGATAGCTGGAACCCCTCTTCAAATGTCTTACCCAGTGAGGAAAACATAATTCGGGACCCACTTAAGATAGCAGTCTAGCCACATTTTTGTAGGAGAGCTCTGCTGTGCAGAGGTATCACTTTCATCCCTTGTTTATTTGGATTCTCCAAAGCCAGAAAGCTGGAACAGCTAAGTCACAAAAACAGCAAAAGTGGCAGCTCACTCTTCACTCTAGGAACTATACCCCGAAGAGGTTTCAAAATTCCATAAATCAAATAACACTGGTGGTGGTAGCTGGACACCCTGTTTGGGAAGTTCTTTTCAGTGAGGAGGAAGAGTTTGGGGACGTGCTTTACCAGGCAGACTGGTGGTGTCATTTTAGAGCACCTGTACGGTGCTATAGATCCTTGCTGCCCCAGTCAGCTTAGGCTTTTCAAAGCCTGAAGGCTGGGATGGCTATGTTGTTGAAACAGCAAAGATGGAGGTCCACTCCTGTTTCTGGTAGCTCCAATTCAGAGAGATACAGCGCTGCTGCCAATGATTGGCTGGAATTCTAAGCCAGTAGATCTTACTCTATGAGGCACTGTGGAAGTGGGTCCTACAGACTGTCACTGCTCAGGTCCCTGGATTCTGCCTATTTCCTATAGGTATGTATATGGGTATAACCTCCTGCTTTGCTGGCGTTGCAGCTACTTTTTCTGGGAATCCTGGAAAGCCAGAGTATCTGTGGCTCTGCAACACGCCAGTGCAGTTGCTATGCTGAGACCCCAAGTAGCTCTATGTGTTAGACTAAAGGCCTTGGTAAAGTAGGTTCCTCAGGGAGTCTCCCCATCTGAGGATTAAAAAGATGTGTGGGAGAATTGTAGGTTCCCAGGGTCACACATGCACTTACTGCTTTACTGGATGGGGAGGTTCTCTTGGCTCTATGTCTTTTCTGGGTGGCCCATTGTTCGGCCTTGCTCTACTCTCCACAAGTTGTTTATTTGATTATTCTGAAGGCAAATACCTGGATATTTCATTTGAAGGTGCTGTATTTATGCACGCCTTGCATTTTTCTCTGTGAGAACTACAGGGTCTAGCTGCTCCTAATCTGCAATGTTGGTCTCTTTCCTCTAAAAGAAACCTACTTTTTTATATGAAAATAATTTAAGCTGGGCACAGAGGCTCATGTGTGTAATCCCAGGATTTGGGGAGGTCAAGGTGGATAGATCATGAGGTCAAGAAATCAAAACCATTCTGGCCAACATGGTGAAACCCCATATCTACAAAAAACAAACAAAAACAAAACAAAACAAAAAAAACTTTTGAGCATGGTGGTGCACACCTGTAGTTCCAGGTACTCAGGAGTCTAAGGCAGGAGGATTGCTTGAATGCAGGAAGTGGAGGTTGCAGTGAGCCAAGATCACACACTGCAGTCCAGCATGGCAACAGGGTGAAACTTTCTCTCATAACAAACAAATAAAAATTTAATATTTTTTCAAAAGCAACTATTGATGGAATTTAAGTCTTATATTTGAAGCTGTGTGTTCATTTCTAGAATTTATGTGAAAGAGCATGGTCAATGGTCCCTGCACTAGATTTAAGAGAGGTTCTTCTATATTAGATTGACAGATTTATATATTTTCATATGGAAGATTAAGAAAACTGAAATCTAAGATACATGAAGAAATTCTAAGTGGAAAGTCTACTTAGTGGTTGGGTATCATAAGTGCAGTATCATAAGTGACAGGATGATAGGAGTGTGAAAAGTAACCAGAATAATATTCTGCATAGTAAGAGAAACAATTTGGATTTTAGAAGGAAATTGCTTTACCATTTGCAGATTAAGATAATTAAAATACAGTGAATTTCAAAATGCCTTTTTAATGGCAATGTGTAAACTTAATTTTTTTAATTGAAGAAAATATTTGTGAATGTAATAATGCTACTTTACATTGAATTTTTATCTTGCCACTGATGTTACTTATCCCATTTTACCCATGGTTGTAGGTAACAGATGGTAACTATATTCTATAGAATTACACTGAAATAATATCTCTCATGATTCCTTTGTCAGTGGTCTTTAACTTAAAATAATTTGAAGAATATGGTTCCTACAATTTATATTTTTGTTTTTCTTGTAACTACAGATTATTGTGATGGTTGTTATGAAGATTTGGAATATAATAGACCTATATGCTTTAATTCTGAATTCTGAACAACTATTTGCAAAATTTTATCCTACTTCTTTTTTTTAACTGATGACTTCTCTGGTCTGCTAAACATATTCATACCTTTATTTTTTATTTAAATGGATGTAAATATACAGACAAATCACTGTAAAATAAACTTTGTATGTAACAGCTTTATAGAGAATACTCATATTTGTTTGTGATTGTGTACCTACTTTGAGAAGCAAAGAAAAATATTAGAATAAAACACATAATTTTACATGTCTTGATAACTTACCAGCAAACCGGAAACTTCAAAGATTTTGAAAGCAAATCTATTTTCTCTGCCTTGTATTAATCCCGTTTACCAAAAATGTTATTGCTCTTGTCTTAGAAACATCTTGTGCACATTCTCCTTTTTTTGTCTGTTTGCTTGTTGCTCACTATAGACATAATATATACATTTATTTTAGTCTAATTTCATAAAGCATTCCTTGTATAATTTTCTCAGAGATGATGAATGTGACTTTGATAAAATTTAATGATCTTCACAAAATAATTTTTACATGTAATTTCATGGTGTGTGTATTATTGTATGCTATTTATTTAGTACATTTTTTATTTTATTTCAATTTGAGAATGCTATTTAATCCAATTTTTATTTATTGTTCATTTTACATTATGAACTTGATATAATTGAGTTTATTAAACTTATTAGGCCAATTTATTCAAATTAATAGTTGAACATTTATTAAGTCATGAGGTCCTTTTGGCATATACATGAAGTAAACAAGATAATACTAGCTATATAATAGAAGCTACATAATTGGAAATAAATATTCTTCTTGAAATTAGCCAGTAGACTCAGATGAAAATAAAAATGTCTATAGTATGACATGAATTCTGCATATGAAGTGAACAAAATTGTACCACTGCTGCACAGTTGACTCTCACAATTGAAACAAATTATAGAGTTGGACATACTATAAAAACTAAGTTAAAATCTTGTAAAATTTTTAAATTGCATTTCTACCTTTAAACATCTACTGAGTGAGGTAGAGGGCATGTCTATTTAATCAAACCTGGAATGGCTAATACATGTCAATACTGTGCACCACAGGTATCAAAACCTAAAATTCCCGAAACCCTTTCCCTTTAGATTAGCAAAATATGATTTTAATCTCCCAACTCTATATTGTGTCTTAGACAAAATTACTAGGCCATTTTTTTTACATTTGATTCTGGATTTTTTTTTTTAATGGAGTCTTGCTCTGCCACCCACACTGGAGTACAGTGGTGTGATCTCAGTGCACTACAACCTCCACCTCCTGGGTTAAATTGATTCTTCTGCATCAGCCTCCTAAGTAGATGGGACTACATGTGCCCACTGCCATGCCTGGCTAATTTTTTTGTGTTTTTAGTAGAGACGGGGTTTCACCATTGTTAGACAAAATGGTTGATCTCCTGACCTTCTGATTTGCCCATCTCAGCCTCCCAAACTGCTGGGATTACACGTGTCAGCCACCACGCCAAGCCTTGATTCTAGATCTTGACACATCCTATCCTCAACTTAATTTCTCTGAGGATAGAAAAACTGTGTGATATGGAATAATAATACCAAACATTTGTTATAAACAAAGGATATTTTATTTCTGCCCTGCTGTCCTGGCCTCTTAGAATCATAGCTCTTCTTAGAAACTGGCAGAATCAGCCTTCTGTTCAGGGTAAATTTTGGGCAATTATGTGACATATGAAGGCTGGTTTCATTGCACCAGGTACTAAGAAAACCTGCTTCTGCCAGAAGTAAAATCCAGTAAGTTTTTTTTTTTTTTTAATATAAATTGGTGATTTTTTTTTATTATACTTTAAGTTTTAGGGTCCATGTGCACATTGTGCAGGTTAGTTACATATGTATACATATGCCATGCTGGTGCACTGCACCCACTAACTCGTCATCTAGCATTAGGTATATCTCCCAATGCTATCCCTCCCCCCTCCCCCCACCCCACCACAGTCCCCAGACTGTGATATTCCCCTTCCTGTGTCCATGTGATCTCATTGTTCAATTCCCACCTATGAGTGAGAATATGCGGTGTTTGGTTTTTTGTTCTTGAGATAGTTTACTGAGAATGATGATTTCCAATTTCACCCATGTCCCTACAAAGGACATGAACTCATCATTTTTAATGGCTGCATAGTATTCCATGGTGTATATGTGCCACATTTTCTTAATCCAGTCTATCATTGTTGGACATTTGGGTTGGTTCCAAGTCTTTGCTATTGTGAATAATGCTGCAATAAACATACGTGTGCATGTGTCTTTATAGCAGAATGATTTATAGTCCTTTGGGTATATACCCAGTAATGGGATGGCTGGGTCAAATGCTATTTCCAGTTCTAGATCCCTGAGGAATCGCCACACTGACTTCTACAATGGTTGAACTAGTTTACAGTCCCGCCAACAGTGTAAAAGTGTTCCTGTTTCTCCACATCCTCTCCAGCACCTGTTGTTTCCTGACTTTTTAATGATTGCCATTCTAACTGGTGTGAGATGATATCTCATTGTGGTTTTAATTTGCATTTCTCTGATGGCCAGTGATGATGAGCATTTTTTCATGTGTTTTTTGGCTGCATAAATGTTTTCTTTTGAGAAGTGTCTGTTCATGTCCTTCACCCACTTTTTGATGGGGTTGTTTGTTTTTTTCTTGTAAATTTGTTTTAGCTCATTGTAGATTCTGGATATTAGCCCTTTGTCAGATGAGTAGGTTGTGAAAATTTTCTCCCATTTTGTAGGTTGCCTGTTCACTCTGACAGTAGTTTCTTTTGCTGTGCAGAAGCTCTTTAGTTAAATTAGATCCCGTTTGTCAATTTTGTCTTTTGTTGCCATTGCTTTTGGTGTTTTAGACATGAAGTCCTTGCCTATGCCTATGTCCTGAAGGGTAAAGCCTAGGTTTTCTTCTAGGGTTTTTATGGTTTTAGGCCTAACGTTTAAGTCTTTAATCCATCTTGAATTGATTTTTGTATAAGGTGTAAGGAAGGGATCCAGTTTCAGCTTTCTACATATGGCTACCAGTTTTCCCAGCACCATTTATTAAATAGGGAATCCTTTCCCCATTGCTTGTTTTTCTCAGGTTTGTCAAAGATCAGATAGTTGTAGATATGCGGCGTTATTTCTGAGGGCTCTGTTCTGTTCCATTGATCTATATCTCTGTTTTGGTAACAGTACCATGCTGTTTTGGTTACTGTAGACTTGTAGTATAGTTTGAAGTCAGGTAGTGTGACGCCTCCAGCTTTGTTCTTTTGGTTTAGGATTGACTTGGCAATGTGGGCTCTTTTTTGGATCCATATGAACTTTAAAGTTTTTTTTTCCAATTCTGTGAAGAAAGGCATTGGTAGCTTGATGGGGATGGCATTGAATCTGTAACTGACCTTGGGCAGTATGGCCATTTACACGATATTAATTCTTCCTATCCATGAGCATGGAATGTTCTTCCATTTGTTTGTATCCTCTTTTATTTCCTTGAGCAGTGGTTTGTAGTTCTCCTTGAAGAGGTCATTCACATCCCTTGTAAGTTGGATTCCTAGGTTTTTTATTCTCTTTGAAGCAATTGTGAATGAGAGTTCACTCATGATTTGGCTCTCCGTTTGTTTGTTGTTGGTGTATAAGAATGCTTGTGTATTTTGTACATCGATTTTGTATCCTGAGACTTTGCTAAAGTTGCTTATCAGCTTAAGGAGATTTTGAGCTGAGACGATGGGGTTTTCTAGATATACAATCATGTCGTCTGCAAACAGGGACAATTTGACTTCCTCTTCTCCTAATTGAATACATTTTATTTCCTTCTCCTGCCTAATTGCCCTGGCCAGAACTTCCAACACTATGTTGAATAGGAGTGGTGAGAGAGGGCATCCCTGTCTTGTGCCAGTTTTCAAAGGGAATGCTTCCAGTTTTTGCCCATTCAGTATGATATTGGCTGTGGGTTTGTCATAGATAGCTCTTATTATTTTGAAATACGTCCCATCAATACCTAATTTATTGAGAGTTTTTAGCAGAAGGGTTGTTGAATTTTGTCAAGGGCTTTTACTGCATCTATTGAGAGAATCGTGTGGTTTTTGTCTTTGGCTCTGTTTATATGCTGGATTACATTTATTGATTTGCATATATTCAACCAGCCTTGCATCTCAGGAATGAAGCCCAGTTGATCATGGTGAATAAGCTTTTTGATGTGTTGCTGGATTCGTTTTGCCATTATTTTATTGAGGATTTTTGCATCAGTGTTCATCTAGGGTATTGGTCTAAAATTCTCTTTTTTTGTTGTGTCTCTGCCTGGCTTTGGTATCGGAATGACGCTGGCCTCGGGAAAAGAGTTAGGGAGGATTCCCTCTTTTTCTATTAATTGGAATAGTTTCAGAAGGAATGGTACCAGTTCCTCCTTGTACCTCTGGTAGAATTTGGCTGTGATTCCATCTGGTCCTGGACTCTTTTTGGTTGGTAAGCTATTGATTATTGCCACAATTTCAGATCCTGTTATTGGTCTATTCAGAGATTCAACTTCTTCCTGGTTTAGTCTTGGGAGAGTGTATGTGTCCAGGAATTTATCCATTTCTTCTAGATTTTCTAGTTTATTTGCATAGAGGTGTTTTTAGTATTCTCTGATGGTAGTTTGTATTTCTGTGGGATCGGTGGTGATATCCCCTTTATCATTTTTTATTGCATCTATTTGATTCTTCTCTCTTTTTTTCTTTATTAGTCTTGCTAGCGGTCTATCATTTTGTTGATCCTTTCAAAAAACCAGCTCCTGGATTCATTAATTTTTTGAAGGGTTTTTTGTGTCTCTATTTCCTTCAGTTCTGCTCTGATTTTAGTTATTTATTGCCTTCTGCTAGCTTTTGACTGTGTTTGCTCTTGCTTTTCTAGTTCTTTTAATTGTGATGTTACGGTGTCAATTTTGGATCTTTCCTGCTTTCTCTTGTGGGCATTTAGTGCTATAAATTTCCCTCTACACACTGCTTTGAATGCGTCCCAGAGATTCTGGTATGTTGTGTCTTTGTTCTCGTTGGTTTCAAAGAACATCTTTATTTCTGCCTTCATTTCGTTATGTACCCAGTAGTCCTTCAGGAGCAGGTTGTTCAGTTTCCATGTAGTTGAGTGGTTTTGAGTGCGATTCTTAATCCTGAGTTCTAGTTTGATTGCACTGTGGTCTGAGACATAGTTTGTTATAATTTCTGTTCTTTTACATTTGCTGAGGAGAGCTTTACTTCCAAGTATGTGGTCAATTTTGGAATAAGTGTGGTTTGGTGCTGAAAAAAAATGTATATTCTGTTGATTTGGGGTGGAGAGTTCTGCAGATGTCTATTAGGTCCGCTTGGTGCAGAGCTGAGTTCAATTCCTGGGTATCCTTGTTAACCTTCTGTCTCTTTGATCTGTCTAATGTTGACAGTGGGGTGTTAAAGTCTCCCATTATTATTGTGTGGGAGTCTAAGTCTCTTTGTAGGTCACTCAGGACTTGCTTTATGAATCTTGGTGCTCCTGTATTGGGTGCATATATATTTAAGATAGTTAGCTCTTCTTGTTGAATTGATCCCTTTACCATTATGTAGTGGCCTTCTTTGTCTCTTTTGGTCTTTGTTGGTTTAACGTCTGTTTTATCAGAGACTAGGATTGCAACCCCTGCCTTTTTTTGTTTTCCATTTGCTTGGTAGATCTTCCTCCATCCTTTTATTTTGAGCCTATGTGTGTCTCTGCACGTGAGATGGGTTTCCTGAATACTGCACACTGATGGGTGTTGACTCTTTATCCAATTTGCCAGTCTGTGTCTTTTAATTGGAACATTTAGTCCATTTACTTTTAAAGTTAATATTGTTATGTGTGAATTTGATCCTGTCATTATGATGTTAGCTGGTTATTTTGCTCGTTAGTCGATACAGTTTCTTCCTAGTCTTGATGGTCTTTACATTTTGACATGATTTTCCAGTGGCTGGTTCTTGTTGTTCCTTTGAATGTTTAGCGCTTCCTTCAGGAGCTCTTTTAGGGCAGGTCTAGTGGTGACAAAATCTTTCAGCATTTGCTTGTCTGTAAAGTATTTTATTTCTCCTTCGCTTATGAAGCTTAGTTTGGCTGGATATGAAATTCTGGTTTGTAAATTCTTTTCTTTAAGAATGTTGAATATTGGCCCTCACTATCTTCTGGCTTGTAGGGTTTCTGCCGAGAGATCCACTCTTGGTCTGATGGGCTTCCCTTTGAGGGTAACCCGACCTTTCTCTCTGGCTGCCCTTAACATTTTTTCCTTTGTTTCAACTTTGGTGAATCTGACAATTATGTGTCTTGCTCTTCTTGAGGAGTATCTTTGTGGTGTTCTCTGTATTTCCTGAATCTGAACATTGGCCTGCCTTGCTAGATTGGGGAAGTTCTCCTGGATAATATCCTGCAGAGTGTTTTCCAGCTTGGTTCCATTCTCCCTGTCACTTTCAGGTACACCAATCAGACATAGATTTGGTCTTTTCATATAGTCGCATATTTCTTGGAGGCTTTGTTCATTTCTTTTTATTCTTTTTTCTCTAAACTTCCCTTCTCACTTCATTTCAGTCATTTCATCTTCCATCGCTGATACCCTTTCTTTCAGTTGATCGCACCGGCTCCTGAGGCTTCTGCATTCTTCATGTAGTTCTTGAGCCTTGGTTTTCAGCTCCATCAGCTCCTTTAAGCACTTCTCTGTATTGGTTATTCTAGTTATACATTCTCCTAATTTTTTTTCAAGTTTTCAACTTCTTTGCCTTTGGTTTGAATGTCCTCCTGTAGCTCAGATTAATTTGATCGTCTGAAGCCTTCTTCTCTCAGCTCGTCAAAGTCATTCTCCATCCAGCTTTGTTCCGTTGCTGGTGAGGAACTGCGTTCCTTTGGAGGAGGAGAGGCGCTCTGCTTTTTAGAGTTTCCAGTTTTTCTGTTCTGTTTTTTCCCCATCTTTGTGGTTTTATCTACTTTTGGTCTTTGATGATGGTGATGTACAGATGGGTTTTTGGTGTGGATGTCCTTTCTGTTTGTTAGTTTTCCTTCTAACAGACAGGACCCTCAGCTGCAGTTCTGTTGGAATACGCTGCCGTGTGAGGTGTCAGTGTGCCCCTGCTGGGGGGTGCCTCCCAGTTAGGCTGCTCAGGGGTCAGGGGTCAGGGACCCACTTGAGGAGGCAGTCTGCCCCTTCTCAGATCTCCAGCTGCTTGCTGGGAGAACCACTGCTCTCTTCAAAGCTGTCAGACAGGGACATTTAAGTCTGCAGAGGTTACTGCTGTCTTTTTGTTTGTCTGTGCCCTGCCCCCAGAGGTGGAGCCTACAGAGGCAGGCAGGCCTCCTTGAGCTGTGGTGGGCTCCACCCAGTTCGAGCTTCCCTGCTGCTTTGTTTACCTAAGCAAGCCTGGGCAATGTCGGGCGCCCCTCCTCCAGCCTTGCTGCCACCTTGCAGTTTGATCTCAGACTGCTGTGCTAGCAATCAGCAAGACTCCGTGGGCATAGGACCCTCTGAGCCAGGTGTGGGATATAATCTCGTGGTGTGCCGTTTCTTAAGCCGGTCAGAAAAGAGCAGTATTCTGGTGGGAGTAACCCGAGTTTTCAGGTGCGTCCATCACCCCTTTCTTTGACTCAGAAAGAGAACTCCCTGACCCCTTGTACTTCCCAAGTGAGGCAATGCCTGGCCCTGCTTCGGCTTGCACATGGTGCGCGCACCCACTGACCTGCGCCCACTGTCTGGCACTCCCTAGTGAGATGAACTGGGTACCTCAGATGGAAATGCAGAAATCACCATCTTCTGCTTCACTCACCCTGGGAGCTGTAGACCGGAGCTGTTCCTATTCGGCCATCTTGGCTCCTCCAGTGATTTTTAAAATAATATAAATGATAGGTTTCTTCTGTTTAATTGTAATGATTCTTTCAAAGAGATGTTTGGCTTTATTTCTATAATGAAGCAAATTCTGAACATCTTATAATCTGTTCATTATCATATAGTAAATAATAAAGAACAAGTTAATGAATCTCAGTTTTTGTAAGTATTTTAGTGAATAAATTTAATCTCATTTCCATAATCTTTAAGTTTTACTACTGAAGACCAGAATAGACTTTTTTCTTCTTTTGGGAAACTATAAAAGCATGTTCATAATGTTACTTTCATAGATAATATGAATATCAACTGTCAAGTGTGTTGGTTTCTAAAATAAAATATTTTAGAATTGTATTACCAAACATATTCAATGAAATGTTTTAAAGTTGCCTATTTAAAAAATCTGCCAATTTTGAATTGCATATGCAGCTAAAATTTTCTTAAGATAGAGGATAAGATGTAAAATAATTCATACAAATAATATAAACTCAGTTTTCTGAAATTATTTACTTAAGAAATCTAATTACAGTTTAAATAAGTTGTGATCACCTATTAGCCTTTATGCAGCATATTATATTACTAAAATTTTGCATCTAAAATGGTAGCAATTAGAACAAAGTAGAGAAAATACAATAATTGGCATAAAAAATTTCAAGAAAATGAAATGTTTGTATGATGACCTAAATAAAGTAATATGAAGAATGAAAGGATAGTATTAGTTTTACACATTATTGGTCAAAAGTAAACCTGAGATATTGTGTAGAAAGTGCTATTAATTATATCTTTGAGACCGTCTTACTGATTTTGGCACTTAGAGAAGCTCCAGCACAGACCCAGCATTCCTTAGGCATTTTTTTCCAGGAGAACATTTAATAGAAATGAAGCAGAAGGTGACTTACACAAAGGTAAATGAATACTTGTCTCCTAGAGACCAGTGGGTGCAGCTTGCTAAAAGAGTAGACCTTTCCTGGAAGTCACGGAAGGGGCTATGGGCAAGCATCTTAGAATAGGGGCCTGGAGCTCCATGAAACACTCCTGCCAGCAGTGATCTCAGAGGGCCACGTGGTAGGTCAGCCTAGGTGCTCTGTCATGTTCCCGGTCCTTGAGTCCTTCCTCACCCACTAGGTATTTCCACAAAGAAATCAGGATGGCAACCACAAGTGCAGCCCCCCTAGAAGGAGATCAAGAGTGTCAAGGATCACATTCTTCTTGGAAAATTCAGTGATTTAGTAACTCGTCAATAAGCTGTAGCAGAATGTGCTGCTCTAACCCACAGAGATCACACTCTAGGAGGAAATTTGGGTGACACCTGCCTGAAGATGTGCATTGGAGGAAGGACGGACAGGTCACCTGGGACTTAGTGAGCAAGTGCCCCTAGCCAATCCGGGGAGACATGGGCTTGGCCAGAGCAGAAAGTAAGGGTGGCATACAGCAGACATGCTGAGCTGTCAGATGGGCACACAAGGGTAGGTATGAGTGGTCCCTGAGTGGGAGAACCCCCTCAAAGCCCTCAACTCACCCAAGAGATCCCCCAGCCTTTTGAACCACAAGCTGTACCTGGAACTCCAGGGTGCGCACTGGGTAGTGGCCTGGTAAAACTTGGGTGAGCAGCCAGTCACTGAGTGACTTCCATTGCCCATGTCTCTAATGAGAAAATTGAATCCCCAAAGTCACAAGCCAGGAGCAGCAAAAGCACTAGGCTGAGGCATCACATTTTTTCTTCACTGGCACCCATAATCCTCAGAACCCCTGGGCTTCCCTTGAGGAAAAATATTCCTCTTCATTGTGAGTGTAGGCCCAAATCAGAGAACTGGCTTGACTGTTCAACTGCACTCAGGCAGTGTGTGTACCATTCCAAGCAGGTCCCATTTACTTCGTGCCTCCAGTTATTTCATCTGCAACATATCACTTGTAACAGCTCTTTCTCTACCCTCCAAATTCTATGGTTTTTGAAATTCCTCTGAAGACCACATGAGCCAAGCATCAAGGATCATTGTTCTTTAGGCTACTCAGGCTATTCCAGGAAGAGAGATCTCTCAAACTACGTTGACACTTAAGAGTCATGTATAGATAGTACCAGATCTAGGAGGAGGGCTGTCAAATATCCAGATTCTTTTCTGGTCTCCATTCCAAAAGATATGTTAAAATGACAAGGAAAATAAGACACAAACCTGACATTTCTCCCTTTAAAAGGGCAGCCTCAGCCTGGCCACACTGAACCAAAATTTCAGGCTCTGGTTCACCTTGACTCACATTGGAAAATACTTGAACTGGGACCCCAGAATGTCCAGTGAAAATCTTGAGAATGGGCACCTCAGCAGCCTGAACACACCTGTAACAGGAACAAACCCTACCAAGTAAGAAGCCATCTCATTTACTTAGAAAACCATACCAGCAATGTGCACACACATCAGGCTTTTTAGATAAACTCCTGTTAATCCAAGGATTCAAGAAAAAGGAAAAAAAAAGTTTGAATCTAGATTCTCAGGAAGAAGAACCTCCACTGCCTGGACCAGCCTGTATGATGGATGCAACTGACAGTGGTAACTTGTCTTGCACATACCTGAAGACTGATCTTATATAAAAAATGTTTCTGAGTGTTCAGAGTTTCAAGCTAAAAATCTACTAGTGGCCTGGCCAGCTGCAGTGGGTCAGGCCTGTACTCCCAGCAGTTTGGGAGGCCAAATCAGATGGATCATCTGAGGTCAGGAGTTCAAGAACCACCTTATCAACATGAAGAATCCTGGTCTCTACTAAAAATACAAAATTAGCCAGGTATCATGGCAAATGCTTGTCATCCTAGCTACTCAGAAGGCTGAGGCAGAGGAATCACTTGAACCTGTGAGGCGGAGGTTTCGGTGAGCTGAGATTGTGCAAACACCCTCCAGCCTGGGCAACAAGAGTGAAACTTCATTTCAAAAAAAAAAAAAAAAAAATCTAGTAGTGGCCAACCTGGAGATTACTCTTTATCTATGAGGAAAGTCTGAGCCTTTGCTCTCTCCCATGCTGTGGTATGGAGTAGGCCACACAGGGGACTGAGGCCCTTATTTTTTGTTAAATGAAGGACAACAGATAAAAGATTGTTCAGAAAAAATGTGCTTAATAAATATGCTATGCACACTGCATGCTTTTTCCAAGTGGACGTGGTTATCCTGCTAAGCCCACTGACACTGGACTTTCTCCCCTCTATGTAAGTCGCCAGTAAAACTCCATATCCTATTTACTGATTCTGAGTTTCTTCTTTGACATCGTGAACCTGCTGCCATTTACATGGGAGTCAAATTTGACACAACTTACCCCATAATGAGGAAGGATTTCAGATTCTTCTCAATGTGCTTCAAAGCTCAACAAGGCATCAGCTACAGAAGGATGCAGTTGTTCTCTTTACCACTATCACACAGGGCTCGTTTCCTTAGATGCACCTTCAGTGGAATACCAAGAAAGATGAACAAGAAACACGTCATGGTCAGAAGCAACATTAATGACCAAATAAGCAGTGACCACTTGTAAAGCAAAAGGGAGCATTTTGCTTTCTACTCTGGGCAGCCCTCAATGTCTGCCATCACTTTCTGGTTTCAGTAATGGTTTTTAAGCTCCATCGTGGCTCTGGAGAAACCTTAGGCACTAGGTGGTAAACACCTTCACTTAGTCCTGGAGCAACAAAGCTTTCTCTTGTCAAATATGACCTCTGTGATCATGAGCTACTAAGCCATCTAGACAATACACCACCAGAAAACCTATGAAAGGGAGATGAGTAGACATGAGGGAAACAATTTCCCACTTTTTTCAGTGGCAAGTTCAAACAACTGTGACAGTAGATCACAGAGCAAAAGAAAACAGCATAGTAGAACTCCTCATCATGTAAGATTACAACCAAGACTTTTCTATCCTCAGTGTGAGAGCACCAAATGAAAACCAGAAATTACTTCACTGTGTATCTATCAGTAATTAATTGCACAATATTTTCTCTATCATACTGAAAAGTATTCACTGAGGATTTTCTAATTGAACATGTAGAGATAAAGACAGGAGAATGTAAAATAGCAATTCCATAAAATCATTAAAGAAATTGAAGGTATCTTTGTTAACTTTCTGTCTCATTGATCTGCCTAATGTTGACAGTGGGGTGTTAAAGTCTCCTGTTATTATTGTAGGAATTGAATTCAGCTCTGCACCAGGCGGACCTAATAGATGTCTACAGAACTCTCCACCCCAAATCAACAGAATATACGTTCTTCTCAGAACCACACCCCAACCATTCCAAAATCAACCATATAGTTGGAAGTAAAGCACACCTCAGCAAATGTAAAAAAACAGAAATTATAACAAAATGTCTCTCAGACCACAGTGCAATCAAACTAGAACTCAGGATTAAGAAACTCACTCAAAACCTCTCAATTACATGGAAACTGAACAACCTGCTCCTGAATGACTACTGGGTACCTAACGAAATGAAGTCAGAAATAAAGTTGTACCTTGAGACTAATAAGAACAAACACACAACATACCAGAATCTCTGGGACACATTTAAAGCAGTGTGTAGATGGATATTTATAGCACTATATGCCCACAAGAGAAAGCAGGAAAGATCTAAAATTGACACCCTAACATCACAATTAAAAGAACTAGAGAAGCAAGAGCAAACACATTCAAAAGCTAGCAGAAGGCAAGAAATAACTAAGGTCAGAGCAGAATTGAAGGAGATAGAGACATAAAAAGCCTTTCAAAAAACCAATGATTCCAGGAGCTGGTTTTCTGAAAAGATCAACAAAACTGATAGACCACTAGCAAGACTAATAAAGAAGAAAAGAGAGAAGAATCAAATAGATGCAATAAAAAATGATAAAGGGGATATCACAACTGATCCCACAGAAATACAAACTACCTTCAGAGAATACTACAAACACCTCTAGGCAAATAAACTAGAAAATCTAGAAGAAATTGATAAATTCCTTGACACATACACCCTCCCAAGACTAAACCGGGAAGAAGTTGAATCTCTGAATAGACCAATAATAGGCTCTGAATTTGAGGCAATAATTAACAGCTTACCAACAAAAAAAAGTCCAGGACCAGATGGATTCACAGCCGAATTCTACCAGAGGTGCAAGGAGGAGCTGGTACCATTCCTTCTGAAACTAGTCCAATCAATAGAAAAAGAGGAAATCCTCCCTAACTCATTTTATGAGGCCAACATCACCCTAACACCAAAGCCTGGCAGAGACACAACCAAAAAAGAGAATTTTAGAACAATATCCCTGATGAATATCTATGCAAAAATCCTCAATAAAATACTGGCAAACCATATCCAACAGCACATCAAAAAGCTTATCCACAATGATCAAGTGGGCTTCATCCCTGGGATGCAAGGCTGTTTCAACATATGAAAATCAATACACGTAATCCGGCATATAAACAGAAAAGAAACAAAGGCAAAAACCACATGATTATCTCAATAGATGCAGAAAAGGTCTTTGACAAAATTCAACAGCACTTCATGCTAAAAACTCTCAATAAATTAGGTATTGACAGGACGTATCTAAAAATAATAAGAGCTAATTATGAAAAACCCACAGCCAATCTTATACTCAATGGGCAAAAACTGGAAGCATTCCCTTTGAAAACTGGCACAAGAAAGGGATGCCCTCTCTCACCACTCCTATTCAACATGGTGTTGGAAGTTCTGGCCAGGGCAATTAGGCAGGAGAAGGAAATAAAGGATTTTCAATTAGGAAAAGAGGAAGTCAAATTGTCCCTGTGTGCAGATGACATGATTGTATATCTAGAAAACCCCATTATCTCAGCCCAAAATCTCCTTAAGCTGATCAGCAACTTCAGCAAAGTCTCAGGACACAAAAGAAATGTGCAAAAATCACAAGCATTCTTATACACCAATAAGAGACAAACAGAGAGCCAAATCATGAGTGAACTGTCATTCACAATTGCTTCAAAGAGAATAAAATACCTAGGAATCCAACTTACAAGGGATGTGAAGGACGTCTTCAAGTAGAACTACAAACCACTGCTCAGTGAAATAAAAGAGGACACAAACAAATGGAAGAACATTCCATGCTCATGGATAGGAAGAATCAATATCGTGACAATGGCCATACTGCCCAAGGTAATTTGTAGATTCAATGCCATCCCCATGAAGCTACCAATGACTTCCTGCACAGAATTGGAAAAAACTACTTTAAAGTTCATATGGAACCATAAAAGAGACTGCATTGCCCAGTCAATCCTAAGCCAAAAGAACAAAGCTGGAGACATCATGCTACCTGTCTTCAAACTATACTACAAGGCTACAGTAACCAAAGCAGCATGGTACTGGTACCAAAACAGAGATCTAGGCCATTGGAACAGATCAGAGCCCTCAGAAATAATACCACACATCCACAACTATCTGATCTTTGACAAACCTGACAAAGACAAGAAATGGGGAAAGGATTCCGCATTCAATAAATGGTGCTGGGAAAACTGGCTAGCCATATGTAGAAAGCTGAAACTGGATTCCTTCCTTACACCTTATACAAAAATTAAGTTAAGATGGATTAAAGACTTAAATGTTAGACCAAAAACCATAAAATCCCTAGAAGAAAACCTAGGCAATACCATTCAGGACCTAGGCAAGGGCAAGGACTTCATGTCTAAAACACCAAAAGCAATGGCAACAAAAGACAAAATTGACAAATGGGATCTAATTAAACTGAAGAGCTTCTGCACAGCAAAAGAAACTACCATCAGAGAGAACAGGCAACCTACAGAATGGGAGAAAATTTTTGCAATCTACTCATCTGAAAAAGGACTAATATCCAGAATCTACAATGAGCTCAAACAAATTTACAAGAAAAAAACAAACAACCCCATCAAAATGTGGGCGAAGAATATGAACAGACACTTCTCAAAAGAAGACATTTACGCAGCCAAAAAACCATGAAAAAATGCTCATCATCACTGGCCATCAGAGAAATGCAAATCAAAACCACAATGAGATACCATCTCACACCAGTTAGAATGGCGATCATTAAAAAGTCAGGAAACAACAGATGCTGGAGAGGTTGTGGAGAATAGGAACACTTTTACACTGTTGGTGGGACATAATGTAGTTCAACCATTGTGGAAGTCAGTGTGGTGATTCCTCAGGGAACTAGAACTAGAAATACCATTTGACCCAGCCATCCCATTACTGCGTATATACCCAAAGGACTATAAATCATGCTGCTATAAAGACACATGCACACATATGCTTATTGAGGCACTATGCACAATAGCAAAGACTGGGAACCAACCCAAATGTCCAACAATGATAGACTGGATTAAGAAAATGTGGCACATATATCCCATGGAATACTACGCAGCCATAAAACAGGATGAGTTCATGTCCTTTGCAGGGACATGGATGAAACTGGAAACCATCATTCTCAGCAAACTATCTCAAGTTCTCACTCATAGATGGGAACTGAACCAAACACCGCAAGTTCTCACTCATAGGTGGGAATTGAACAATGAGAACACATGGACGCAGGAAGAGGAACATCACACACCATGGCCTGTTGTGGCGTGGGGCGAGGGGGGAGGGATAGCATTAGGAGATAGATATACCTAATGTTAAATGACGAGATAATGGATGCAGCACACCAACATGGCACACATATACATATATAACTAACCTGCATGTTGTACACATGTACCCTAAAACTTAAAGTGTAATTAAAAAAAGAGAAAAATACTGTTGTATTATAAAATAAATAAATAAATAAATATAAAAAATTTTAAAAGAAAAAACGTAGGGAAACTTTTTTAACTAAAAAACACTCAAGCACAGAGAAAACATTCATAGAACAGACTGAGAGACTCCAAGAATCTCTAGTCTAAAAAATTGGCAACATGTTTTTAAGACAAAGGACACTTAGTAAAGATTTTGACATATAGCTTTTTGTTATACAAATTGTAACCTAAGATTACAAGACATACAAATCGTCAGATAATATGATTAAACCAAAACTAAAAATAAACATTCAGGAATCAATTATTATGAAATGAAGATGGAAAAATTACCCGAGAAAATTTGATTTAAATTCTAGATCTATTTTTGAAAAGAAAAAATAAATTACCTTAACAATCAAAATTATCATCTCAAAGATGCTCAGTGAGTAAAGTGGAAATAAAGAAAACAAAATAAAAGAACAAAAATGAAGCCAACAAAAAATGGAAAGCACAGAAAGAAATAAAAATTTTGGCATATAAGTCCAAAAAGTAATATGCACTTCGACATTAGTAAAAAAATAAGAAAATCAAGAATCTTAGAAAATTTTAACTAAGTTTAACAAAAAGAGATTTCTAACAAGACAAAACATAACCAGTTTTTGTAAGTCAAAGACTTGAAGATAATCTGAAATGCACGAAGCAAAGAGATGTGTTATTTGTATGCATGGTTCTGCAAGATTACCAGAAAATTTATGAACATAAATATTTCAGGCAAGAAGAGAGGAGAATGACATAGTCAAAACATAGGAAAAAGAGTCTAAGCAAGAATACTGTATCCTTCAAAATAAAAAAAAATCTAACTACATCAAGATCTATATCAAGATCTCTGTCACGGCTTCAAGAGACTCACTTCAGAGCCAATAAAAACATAAACTGAAAATGCCAGGATGAAAAATACATTCCATGCAAATGTTCACCAAATGAGAGGAGAAGAGGCAAAAATATATTAAGTTGACAACTGTAATATTTAACAAAAGTTACTTTTAGTCAAATTTCACAAGAAACAAAGTAGTACATTCAATTATAGTAAAAGGTTTCATTAACAGACAACCTGCAAATATATGAAACTTTTCCCAAACACATGAAGCAAACATTGACAGAATTGATGCAAAAATAGACAGCAATATAATAATGGATGCATACATCAATATCTCACTTTCAGTAAAAAATAAACAAGACAGAATATCAATAAGGAAACAAAATAATTGAATGCACTATACAATCATTACACTTAATAAATGTATACAGACAACAGAATACACATTCTTTTCAATAGCTTATAAAACATTTTTCTACACAGACAACCTGTAACACCAGAAAAGAAGCCTTTACGATTTTTTAATTGAAATTTTACAATTATTTACAGCCCAAATGGAATGAAACTAGAAATTAGTAAAAGAAGAAAAGCTGAACAATTCAAAAAATAAAAATATTAAAATACACAGTTTTTTTTTTCTTTTTTAAATTTCTTTTTTGATGGAGTATCACTCTGTCACTAGGCTGGAGTGCAGTGGCACAATCTTGGTTCACTGCAACCTCCAGTTTCTGGGGACAAAGGATTCTTCTGCTTCAGCCTCTCAAGTAGCTGCAACTACAGACATGTACCACCAGGCCCAGCTAAGTTTTTTGTATTTTAGTAGAGATTGGGTTTTGCCATTTTGCCAAGAATTTTCTCACTCTGCTGACTTCTCCATGCACCCTCTTCGGACTCCCAAAGTACTGGGATTACAGGCACAAGCCACCATCCTCAGCCAACAACACAACTTTGAGTAGGCTTTATTTCAAGGGTTGGAAGACATAATATTGTGAAGATGTCCATGCTGCTTAGTGACCCAATACTCAACACACCTCTTTTTAATTTTAATTATATTTTTCAAAAATAGAAAAAAAAAACCTGTAAGATCTCAAAGGACTATAAAAAGCCTGACAATCTTGAAAAAGAAGAAAAATATTCGAAGCCTTACATTTAACAATTTTCAAACACGCACAAAAACCTACAGTAACCAAAGAATTTTGGTACTGGTATAAAAGTAGAACACTAAAGTAATGAAACAGAATGCAGCACGGAAATAAACCCTTGAATGGAGAAGAGAGAAATACCACCTAGGTTTTGTAATCAATCATATGTCACAATTCCTTTGACAAGCAATACTCAGGCAGGGGAAGAGAATTACACTTCCTAGATGCTAGTTTCAGCGATATTTCTAAATGTCCTCAGGGGGTTGAGCACGGGCTGGAGAGGCATATCACCTAGCTGATAGGCCCAGCGATATGTGATAATATCCCCTGTTGACAAGGCTCCTGCAAAAGAGTAACATTATTATTATTCTGACCAAGTGATATGTAAGAATGCGCCCATGGAAAAAAAAATTAAGCCACAATCTCACAACACCTCGATATTAGGCCCAGTGACATGACACAATCTCATGATTTTTGAGGTTGACACTTTTAACTTTTAGGTGAGGGTGTATATTAGAAACATGTGAGCTGGGTCAATATATGAAACTCTGTACAACATCTCAGGGCTTTATAAAACCTGCAGGAAGAGGCAAGGTATGGTGGCTCATGCCTGTAATCCCAGCACTTTGGGAGGCTGAGGTGGGTAGATCACGAGGTCAGGAGTTCAAGACCCATCTGACCAAGATGGTGAAACCCCGTATCTACTAAAAATACAAAAAATTGGCCAGATGTGGTGGCAGGCACCTTTAATCCCAGCTACTTTGGAAGCTGAGGCAAAAGAATCGCTTGAACTCATAGGAAAGATGTCACAGTAAGCTGAGATCACATCACTGCACTCCAGCCTGGGTGACAGAGTGAGAGTTCATCTCAAGAAAAAAAAAAAAAAGAAAAAAAAAAGAAAAAAAAGAAAAAAACCTCCATGAAGATTGTAAACCTCTCTGAGGCCTAGGTGCTCATATGGACTTACAATCTTACATATTGTCCTAAGCCTAAGTTTGATAGTCAACATCTCTCCTATAGTCAGGGTTAAGGGAGAAGACCCATTATTATGTCTGTGGGCTGGGTCCAGAAATGAGTCATCTTTCCACATGTGGCCAGATCAACATATAAAAGTCACAATTCCACCTCTGCTGTATTTCCTTGTTACACTCAGGACTTCAAAAGTGGGCTTTGTAAATGTGGGATGGTGAAAACTTGTAATTTCACCTGGGTGCATAACTGAAAGTCCCAATCTAATCTTTTTGTGGGGTCCTGTTGTGAAACTCCCTACCAACAAAGAGGTTATACAATATAAGTTAGTGTTGTAAGCTTCTGTCAGCTTTGAATATATATGCAACCCCAGAGTTTATCTATTGCCCTAAGCTTAGCAATGAGAGGCAAAATATCTCCTATTGGCTGAATCCAAATATAAGTTTGATCATCATGCCTGTGAATTGAAGCAAGGTATATGTCATAATCCTATTTGTGGGCATAAAACTAGGCAGGAGGGTAACATCACTTAGATACTGTGTCACAGTGCCTTGTGATGCTGTGTCACAATGCCTTCTCTAGGCAGGGTATGATAAATTGGGTCACATTAGCTGGGTACTCAACCCAGCAATATGATACCGTCCCACTTGTGGAAAAAATCCAGCCAAGTTATGAGAGCCAAAACACCTACATAGTGGGCCCAAGATATGTCAAAACAAACAAACAAACAAACAAACAAACAAAAACCTTCGGTGGCTCCAGTATAGGCAGGAGAGACACATTGTAAGGGTGCTGGGCCCAGCAATATGCAATATGCCATCAATTTTTCTTTATGCAGAACCCACACTAAAGAGTAACATCATCTGGGTGCTGGGCCATGCAATAAGTCAAAATTTGTTATTTTGTGGGCATGGATTAGGAAAAAGAGGTGAGTCACCTATCCTGAGTGCTGGGCTCAGCAATGTGCCAAAATCCTTCTATTGTGAAGGTCCAGGCAGACAAAGAACATCATATCACTTAGGTCATGGGCTCAGAGATATGTCCAATATCTCCAGTAGGCGAGGCTCAGGTAGATGAGGAGAGTCATATCATCTACGTGCTTCCCTAGAAATATGTCACAATGTAACACATAGACAGAAACCAGGTAGGGGAGCCACATCACTTGGGTGCTGGGTCCTGAGATATGTCACAAGGCTCTCTTAGGACAGCACCCAGCAAAGAGTTACATCATCTAGGTGTAGATTTTCTGCTTATTCCACAATGTTTTATTTGGGTAGGTCTAAAGGAGGGAGCCACTTCATCTAGGCGGTAGACCCCAAGGTATGTCACAATGTCCTCTATGAAGTATAGTCCTGGCAAAAGAGTACCATCAACTGTGTGCCTGGCCTAGAAATATATTACTCCAGGTTGGCAAGGCCCAAGCAGGAGAGCCATATAACCCAGGTGACAGGCCTGGATATAAATCACAGTGCCCTCCCTTGAACATGGCTTTGGCAAAATAGTACCTTCAACTGTGTGCCTGGCCTTGCAATATGTCATTATCCATCCTTTGTGTATGGCCCATTCCAGAGAGCAGAGATACATCACCTATAATGGGGGCATAGAAATATATGCAATAATTTTGGTGGACATGGCACAGGCAAGAATGTAACATCAGCTGGGTGCTAGATTCAGTTGTATGTCACCATCCTTACTTAGAGAAGGGCCCAGGCAGGAGAATAACATCACCTTGAGGTTGGCCTAGCTAGATAGCACAATACCATATTTGGGCCGGAATAAGTCTGCAGAGTCAAATTATACAGGTGCTTGGCAAAGATTTATATCACAATCACAGTGTCAGATAATTGCAAAGGTGAGATTTACAGTACCCCACATATCCTTTTTTTCATGTGTGACATTTGGCTTTATCCGTGTGAGATGATGACAGCCTTTACTGTCAGCTGGGTGTGCATGCAAGACTCACAATTTAACCTGTGTTCTGAGCCCTGCTACAACTCTGTCTCTATAACCCAAAGACTTTGTAAAATATATGCGAATGTTGTAATCTTTTGTGGCATTTGTATAAGAACGTTATTCAGGATATCATGCATGTACCTAAACTTGGTTATAAGAGTCAAAATAACCTCTGTTAGCTGAATCCCCATATGACAATCATCATCATTCCTTTGAACCATGCCTAGGTACATATTACAATCCTCTGTATGGCTATGAAGCAGGTGGAACAGCCATATTATTGAAATGCCGGGCCAGAATTATTCCAATATTCTCTTTGTAGGCAAAGCTTTGTCAGAAATGCCACCAAACTTTTGTGCTAGGTCCAAATATGTTGCACAGTGTCCTTTGTGTGAGGTGTCAGAGCAGGAGAGTAGAGACATTTCACCTAAATGGTGGGCCCAAAAATTTGTAACAATGCCTCCTGTTAACAGGGCCCAAGCACAGTAGTCATATCACTTGGGTGCAGTGTTTAGAAATGCTACAATTACCAAAGGAAGCAGAATACAGGCAGTAGAGGGTAGAGGAGAGTCCCGTAACCTAGTTGATGGGTCCAGAAATCTATCACAATCCCCGCTGAGGATTGTACTAGCACAGTCAAATCACCAAGGTGCTTGGCCCAGGTATATGTCAAAATCTCTTTTGTGGGCTATACCTGGCAAATTATTAAATCATTCTGGAGCTGGGAAAAGGTTTATGTCACAATTATACTTGTGGGGAGGTTTAGAAATAAGAGTCATTATCTTGCACATGTTCTGGCTCCAGGTATATGAGTTGTTATAAGGCTTTTATTATGGTGTCAGATATATGGCACAATATCACCTGTGGACACAGAGAAGGCAAGAAAGTCAAATCACCTACTTGGGTGTGGGTCCTGCGAGATGTCACAATACCCCTTGTGTGAAGGTCTTTGTGGGAAAGTCACATCACCTGGCTGCTGGTTTCAGTGACATATCAAAAACTCCTCTGTGGGCAGGACTTTGGAAAAAGAGGAGACACAATTCACTTAGGCAACTGGCCTAGGTATATTTCATAGTGTCTTTTCTGTACAGTACCAAACCTGGAGCATGATCACACATTGGTGCTGGACCCAACAATATGTCACAATCTCCCTGTAATCAAGACAAAGGCTAAAGCAAAAAAGAAACACAACTTAGGTGTTGAGCCAAGTGATACATTACAATGCTTCCTGTTGGCAGATCCCAGGAAGGAGAATCACATCACCTGGGTGCATTGCACACTTATGTGTCACAATGTACTGTAAGTGCTTGTCCAAGGCAGTATAAGGTTGTCACATCACATACATGATGGACCGAGATACGAGACACAATTCTATTTTCAGGCAGGTTTCAGGCAGATAATTCACTTTACCCAGGTGATGGTCCAGGAATATATAAAAGTGTCATTTTGTAGGCATAGCCAAAGAAGGTGTTATACATGGCTTACGTGTCTGTTCCACGTATGGCACAATTTCATTCTAGGCTTTGGCCTAGAAGAGACTGTCAAATTATTCATATGCTGGGCAAATTTACCTGTCTCAATCATACTCTTAGAAACATTGAGAAATATGTTTTTTATCGCACATGAATCCTGGTTTTGTGTATTTGAGTTAACTCTTTCTATGAGTTGGGTCGAAGTAGAGGAGTCACAATCCCAACCATGGGCAAGATCCATGTATAGTAGCCTCAATCCTACTTGAATATCATGTTCCAGTAGGAGAGTCAGAGCATCACAAGTGTGCTGAATCATGTTTCAAATATTACCAAACTACCTGTGAATCAGATCCATGTACTATAGTAATTATTTCAAGCTTTGACTGCTTTTTATGAGTGAGATTTAGTATCACATTCCTAGGCCCTGTTTATGTGTCAGAATGACTACCGTGTCAGCTAGGTGTGCATACAAGAGTCACGTTCTCACCTGGTTGCTGTTCTCTGTTATGACACTGTTATGACGCTGTTATGTACCAATAAGGCTTTATATGATATACCACAGCGTTATAATCCTTCATGAATATTATGCAAGTGAAAAACCCAGGACCTTACCCATGGCAGTGCAACTGGCTATGAGAGTCACACCATCCCTACTGGCTGGGTCCAGGAATGAGAGTCATTATTGCACATGTGTGCTTATCCCAGTTATATGTCACACTTTCACCTATGAGCTGGGACAATGTGGGAGAGTCACATAACCTGGGTACTGAGCCACTGACACAATATGGTCTCATTTGTAGGCTGGGCCTAGTCAGAAGGGTCAAATCAGTAGATGTTGGGCTCTGCAAAATGTAATAATTCCCTCTCTTGACAGAGTTTAGGATATGAAGGAGAGTCACATCACCTATGTTTTGTAATCAGTGGTATGTCACCACATCTGTGGTAAGCAGGACCCCGTCAGGAGAAGAGAGTCACATGACCTAGATGTTTGGTCAAATGATATTTCACCATGTACTCTGGGGGTGGGTACAGGCAGGAGAGACAAATCACCTATCTCTTAGGCCCAGAGATATGTGATAATATCCCTTGTTTGCAGGGTCCAGGCAGAAGTAACAAGATTATGATTCTAACCCTGCAATATGTCAAAATGCATCTATGGGGAAAAAATTAAGCCAAAAAGTCTCAACACCTGGGTACTAGGCCTAGTAATAGGTCAAATCTTTTGTTTTTGTGGGTGATATCATTAAATTGAGCTGGGTGTGTATATGAGATTCACAATATCATGTGTTCTTTGGGCTATTGTATGACACTCTACAACATTTGAAGGCTTTATACAGCATGCATCAGGGTTGCAAACTACTCTGAAGCCTATGTGCTCAGAGGGATTCATGAGCTTACCTATATCCCTAAACCCATGGATAATAGTAAACATCTTTTATGTGGGATGGTTTTAGGTATGAGACCCATTATTATGCCTATGAGCTGGAAACAGAAATAAGTCACCATCCCACCTGTGGCCAGATCCACATATGAAGGTCAAAATTCCAACCTGGTACTGTATTCACTTGTTAGACTCACGATGTTAACAGTGGGCTTTGGACATGTGGGATGGTGACAACATTTGCTTTTACCTGGGCATGTAATTGAAGGTCCCAATCTGAATTTTCTGCTGGTCCCTGTCATGAAACTCTCTGTACCAATCAAGCAACTTATACATTATGAGTTAGTGTTGTAAAGTTCTGTGAGCGTTCTACAAATATGCAACCAAGGACCTTACTTATTGCCCTATGCCTAGTGATGAAAGGCAAAATATCTCCTATTGTCTGTATCCAAGTTTAAGTTTGACCATTATGCCTGTAAACTGAAATAAGGTATATGTCATAGTCCCATTTGTGGGCAAAAAACTAGGCAGGAGGGTAACGTTACTTAGGTGCTGTGCCAAGTAACATGTCCCAATGTCCTCTCTAGGGAGTGTATAGGAATTAGAGTCACATTAACTAGATGCTGGACTCAGCAATATGCCCCCATCTCAAATGTGGGAAAAAATCCAGGCTGGGCACCATGCCACACGCCTGTAATCCCAGCACTTTGGGTGGCCAAGGCAGGCAAATCACGAGGACAAGAGTTCTAGACCAGCCTGACCAACATAATGAAACCCCGTCTCTACTAAAAATACAAAGATGAGCCGAGCATGGTGGCACATGCCTGTAATCCCAGCCACTCAGGAGGCTGAGGCAGGAGAACAGCTTGAACCTAGGAGGCGGAGGTTGCACTGAGCCGAGATCACACCATTGTACTCCAGAGCTCCAGGCTGGGTGACAGAGCAAGATTCCATCCCCCCACCAAAAACAAACAAACAAACAAATAAAATAAAAATAAAAAAATAAAAAAGCCAAGTTACGACAGACAAAACACATACATAATGGGCCCAGGAGAGGTCAAAATACTTTCTTTGGCTCTGGGACAAGCATGAAAGTCACATTAACAGGGTGCTGGGCCCAGAAATCTGCAATAATTATCTCTATATGCAGGACCCAGGTAAAAGACTAACATCATCTGTGTGTTGGGGTCCTGCAATAGGTCAAAATTTATTGTGTGATCATGGTTCAAGAAAAAAGAAAAAAGTAAAATAACCTGAGGGCTGGGCTCAGCAATATGGCATAAACCACTGTTATAAAAGCCAGGGAGAAGAAGCAGTCTCTTCACTTAGGCCAAGGGCTCATAGATGTTCCCCACTGCAGACAAATATCTGCAGGGCCCAGGCAGAAAAGGAGAGTCATATCACCTAGGTACTTCCCTAGTTATACATCACAATCCAACATTTGGGCAGAAATTAGACAGAAGAGACATATCACTTGGGTACAGCCTGTAATAATATGCCAGATCCCCAATGTAGACAGTTTTGAAGAAGAAAAAGAGAATCACACTGGCTGGGTGCTAAGCTCAGAATTATGAAATAAAGCCTGGCAGAGTTTAGGAAAAAAAGGAAAGTCACGTCACCAAGGTATTTCACTCAGTAATATGTCACAATTTCTTCAGCCGGCAGAATCCAGGCAGGAGGGGAGAGTCACATTACCTAGATGCTATATCTCACGATATGTCATAGTGCCCCTGTGGGCAGGACACTGGCAGGGAGACATATCAGGTAGCCAATAGGCCCAGAGATATCTAAAAATATTCCCTGATTAAAAGGTCCAGCCAGAAGAATCACATTATCATGATTCTGAACCAGTGATATGTAACAAAGTGCTTATAGAAAGGAATTTAAACCAAAAAGTCTCAACACCTGGGTACTAAGCAAATGGATATGACACATCTTTTCATTTTTAAGGGCGAAAATATTAACTGTTAGCTAGTTGTGTATATGAGAGCCACAGTCTCACATATGTACTGGCCATTGTATGGCACTCTCTATAACATCAGGGAACTTTGTTCAGCATGCATCAGAGTTGCTAAACTTTCTGAGGCTTACATGTTTATATGGACTCATGATCTTATATATAGCCATAAACCCAGGCATGACAGAATACAGATTTCCTATACACTGGACTCAGGAATGAGACCACAATTATGCCTGTTACCTGGAGCCAAAAATGAATCACCATCCTATATGTGGCCACATTCACTTATGAATGTCACAATTCCAACTTTCTGCTGTATTTACTTGTTAGACTGAGGACCTCAACAATGGGCTTTGTAAATTGAGAATATGTAGTCAAGAGTCACAATCTTAACTTTTTGCTGGGCCCTATTATCAAACTCTCTATACCAGCCAAGAAGTTTCTCTGATATGATTTAGTATTGTAAATTTCAGTGAGTTCTGCACAAGTATGCAATGAAGGACCTTAACTATTGACATAAACATAGTTGCTTGAGGCAAGATATCCCCTGTTGGCTGAATCCCAATATAAGCTTGATCATCTTACCTTTGAACTGAAGCAAGGTATATATCCTAATCCCATTTGTGGGCAAGAAAATTAGGCAAAAAGTTAAAATCACTTAACTGATGTGCCACACAACATGTCACAGTGTCATCTCTAGGCAGGGCCTAGAAAAGAGGGTCACATGAACTGGGGGCTGGAGCCACCAATATGATACAAACTCATGTTGAAGAAACCCAGAAAAGTGATGAGGTCAAAACACCTAAAGAATGGGCCAATAATATGTCAAAATACCTTCTGGAGCTCTGGCAGAAGGAGGAGAGTTACATCATTGGAGTACTGGGCTGAGCAATATGCTATAATGTTTCCATTTATGCATGACCTAGGCAGAAGAGTGACATAATCTGGGTGCTGGGCCCTGAAGCACAGGAAAAGTCCTGTTTGTGGGCATTGTTCAGCAAGAAAACAAAAGACACATTACCTAAGTGCTGGACTCATTAATATGTCAGAATATTCCCATCAGAGAAGCACAGACAGAGGAAGAGTCAAATGACTTAGGTCATGGGCTCAGAGATGTGTCTCAGTGTCACCAGTAAGCTGGGCTCAAGCAGAAAAAGAGAGTCATATAACCCAGTTGTTTCCTTAGGTATATGTCATAATTTAATATGTGGGCAGAAACCAGGCTGAGGAAACACATCACCTGATTCTTGGTCCTGATGTATTCACATCACTTGTCACCCTTAGAAAAGGACCCAGGCAAGGGAGATACATCACCTAGGTCCAGATTCCACCCTTATGTCACAATGCCCCATGTGGGCAGGACCAAGCAGGAAGTCACATTAATTAGGTGATAGCCACAGAGATATGTCAAAAAGTCTTCCCTAAAGCATGGCTCTGGCAAAAGAGCATCATCACCTTTGTGCCTGGCCTAGCAGTATGTCACTCTTCAAGTGGGCAGGTCCTATAACCTACATGATAGGCCCTGTGATATGGCAAAATGTCCTCTTTGAGGAATGGCCCTGGAAAAATAGTATCATCAGTGATGTGCCTGGCCTAGGAATGTGTCATCATCCATCCCTGTGTGCAGGGCTCATTCCAGAGAGGAGAGTTACATCTCCTAAGTGATGGACACAGTGATGTTGTTAAGATGTTTCTGGGCATGGTGCAGACACTAATGTAAAGTAACCTGGGAGCTGGATCCAGCGATGTCACCATTCTTACTGAGCATGATCCAGGCAGAAGAGTCACAGCACTTTAAAATTGGCTTAGGTAGATGTCAAAATCCCATATGTTGGCTGGAACGAGTCAGAAGAGTAAAATCACACAGATACCTGACAAAGATTTATATCACAATTATGATGGAATAAAATACCACACATGTGCTGTTTTCATGTAGGACAGTTGCCTCCATCCATCTGTAATAGTGAAAGTCCTTACTGTCAGCTGGGTCTCAGCATTGGAGACCCAGAATCCCTTTTGTGTGCTAGGCCCTGTTATGACACTCTCTATACAACCCAAGGGTGTTATAAGATATGTGTGAGTTTTGTAATCTTCTGTGACATTTTACAGAAGAAGATCCTGGAAATCACTCAGGTACATGAACCTAGAAGAGTCAAAATTTCTCCTATTGGCTTGGTCCACCTATGAGAGTCATTATTATGCCTTTTAGCTGTGCCTAAGTATATGTCACCATCCCCTTTGTGGTTATTAAACAGGCAGGAAAACCATGTCACCTAAATCCTAAGCCAGAAATATTCCAATATTCTCTTTGTAGGCAAAACACGAACAGAAATCTCACAAATATGGGGTGTTAACCCAACTCTATGGCATAATGCCTCCTATGGAGATTGTCCAGGCAGGAAAGGAGAGTCATACCACCTAAATGATGGCACAGAAATATGTCACAATACCTACTATTGAAAAGGTTAGGCAAGAGGGTTATGTCATTTGGATGCAGTGCTTAAAAATGCTACACTCTTCACAGGAAGCAGGGTTCAGACAGGAGAGGAGAGTCACATAAGCTAGACGATAAGTCTAGAAATATGTTATGATTTCTTCTGAGGATAGTGTTAAGACACAAAATTCAAATCACTGTTGTGGGAAGTCAGGGAACCCGAACAGAGGGGCTGGCTGAAGCCATGGCAGAAGAACATAAATTGTGAAGATTTCATGGACATTTATCACTTCCCCAATCAATACTCTTATAATTTCCTATACCTGTCTTTACCTTAATCTCTTAATCCCAGTATCTTCATAAGCTGAGGATGTGTGTCACCCCAGGACCCTGTGATGATTGTGTTAACTGAAAAACTTGTTCATAAAGCATGTGTGTTTGAACAATACGAAATCTTGGCACCTTGAAAAAAGAACAGGATAACACCAATGTTCAGGGAACAATGGAGATAATCATTAGGTCTGACTGCCTGGGAACCAGGCAGGACAGAGTCATATTTCTCTTATTACTGAAAATGGGTAAGAGAAATATTGCTGAATTCTTTCCTCAGTAAGGAATACTAATAATTAACAGCCCTGGGAAAAGAATACACTCCTCGGGGGAGGGGAGCCTCTAAAACGGCCACTCTGGGAGTGTCTGCCTTATGCAGTTGTAGATAGGGATGAAACATGCCCTAGTCTCTGGCAGTGTCCACAGGCTTGCTAGGATTAGGAAATTCCAGCCTGGTGAATTCTAGTCAGACTGGTTCTCTGCTCTTGAACCCTGTTTCTGTTAAGACATTTGTCAATGACAATGCATGCACAGTGGGACATGAAACTCCATCAGCAATTCTAGTTTCACCCTGGCCTTGTGACCCTGCCCCACCCATTCGCCTTGTGATGTTTTATTGCCTTTGAAGCATGTGATCTCTGTGACCCACACCCAATGTGTACACTCCCACCCCTTTGAAATTTGCTAATTAAAAACTTTCTGGTTTTGCAGCTCAGGGGGCATCATGGAACCTGCTGACATGTGATGTCTTCCCCAGACAACCAGCTTTAAAATTTCTCTCTTTTGTACTCTTTCCCTTTATTTCTCAGACATGCCTGCACTTAGGGAAAATAGAAAAGAGTCTATATTGAAA
This sequence comes from Homo sapiens, assembly GCF_000001405.40. Lineage (NCBI taxonomy): Eukaryota > Metazoa > Chordata > Mammalia > Primates > Hominidae > Homo > Homo sapiens. The sequence goes on from NC_000024.10 coordinate 25,202,495, forward strand.
TATTGGGGGCTGGTTCCCCTGATATCTGGTGCACCAATGTGTTTTTTTCTTTTTCCTAAGTGCATGTGGGAATCCAATTCCCTTTGGTAGGTAGGTGTGGAGAAACATCATCGGTTTGGTCCACAGAAACACTTGTTCAACTCCCTGATGATTTGTGAGTAGTCTGTGAATTTGTCTGGGTTAACTATGGGTCATACAGAGTCTAAAAATTATACTTATCTCTTCTATATTAAACTCCAGTTAAAAGAGGAAAGGGTTTGAGTGCCCATGGAAAAATATGATCACTCTATTCAAGAGAGTGGGAAAATACTGTCCTTGGTTTCCTGAAAAAGGAAACTTAGATGTAGACCTGTTAAAACGGGGAAGGGTCTAAGTAACCATGGAAAATATGGTGACTGTATTCAGGGCAGTGGAAAAATACTGTCCTTGGTTTCCTGAAAAAGGAAACTTATATGTAAAATTATGGGATCATGTTGGTTCAATATTCTGGGAACTGGTCTCGACAGGGAATTATGTTCCCATCGCTGTGTGGGGTGATTGGGCCTTGGTACATGCTGTCCTAATACCTCCTCAACTTTCCTTTCCCATACCGCCTTTGTTATCTGCTCAGCCTCTCCCTTCACCTACTCCTCCCCCCACCTAACGATGCTGAAAATTCAGTGTCTAACTCCAGTAACTTTGGCTTAATGTTACCCCCTGCTGACCTTATTTCTTTTCATGAAAAGCCAGTACTTGTAACTCCCGTGGCCCCAACTCCTACAGCCCATTTCCATATATGTGGTAATTCTTCTCTCTTCAAACCTCTGGTGTCAGCTAATGGCTCTGGAACCAAACTACAATTTACCTTTAATTCTCCAAGCACTCCCCCATCCATCGCATCCCCGCACCCTCCTGTCATTTCAGTTCCTCAACCGGTCTGCATCATTGTGTACCTCTCAATCTTACCTTTTTAAAAGAATTTAAGGATGCTTGTACTCAGTATGACCCTACTTCTCCTTATGTTAAAATGGTATTACAAACTTTTGTACAGAGGTCATTTTCCTTCCTTTAGACTGGGACCTTTTGGCAATAGCTGTTCTAACCCATCTCAGCATTTACAGTTTTGTACCTGGTGGTCAGAGAAGGCCTATTTGCAGGCTCAGCTAAATTTGACTAATGGCATTCTAACTACTCAGGCTCAGCTCACAGGGTCTGATAATTTCTCTGATACTTATGCCCAATTAAACTTTGATGCTCTTACCACAGAACAAGTAGCAAAGGTGTGTATGAGAGCTTGGGATAAATTACGCACCCTAGGCCAAGCTCCTGCTTCTTTTACTACTGTTAAACAAGGTCACACTGAATTATACCCTGATTTTTTAGCTAAATTACAAGATGCTGTTGAAAAATCTGTCTCTAATTATCATGTTCAAGGTGTTCTCCTTTGTATGTTAGCTTTTGAAAATGTGAACCATGAGTGTAAGATGGCCATGCATTCCATCCAATGACAAAATTTACTGGATCACGAGATGTTGCCTGCATACATTAAAGTTTAATCTGACACACCTGTGAGGATTAAACACCTGCAGTGGCTTCTAAAGAAAACTGGAGGGTTTAACTCAATTAGTTTCTGAACAGTTACAACTTGGTAATGCAGAATTTTCCCTTTTCCCCTGGAATTCTACTGTGTTTCTAGTAAAAAAAGAAATCAGGAAAGTTGCAGATGGTAACTCATTTAAGGGCCACTAATACTGTAATTAAACCTATGGGAGTCATCCAACCTGGCATGCCTGCCCCTGCTTTAATATCTAAGTTTTGACCTCTCATTTGATCTTAAAGATCATTTTTTATATTGCTTTACATGAATTGAATTGTGAAAAATTTGCTTGTACTTTACCATCTATCAATAATCAGGAGCCTGCAGCTCGTTATCAATGAAAGCACTTCCTCAGGGAATGCTGAATAGCCCTACAATCTGCCAGCTTTATGTTAGACAAGTGCTTTCACCAGTTTGAGCCCAATTCCCCAGGCCTATATTCTTCATTATATTGATGATATTTTAGTTGCCACCCCCCTTCATAAAGAATTAATTGACTGTTATCAAATTTTGAGCCATTGTGTTACAGAGGCTGGATTGCACATCACTCAGAATAAAATTCAGCAGACCACTCCTGTTTGATATTTAGGAATGGTGGTTGATAAACAACGTATTCAACCTCAAAAAGTTCAAATTAGGAGAGATTCTTTGAAAACTTTAAAGACTTCTGAAACCTTTGGGTAACATTAATTATTTAAGACCTACTTTAGGCATTCTGACCTATGCACTGTCTAACTTGTTTTCTACACTGTGGGGAGATTCCAATCTCTGCAGTTCCAGGAGTTTGACACATGAGGCTTCACCAGGACTGGAATTCATAGAGGGAAGAATCCAGACTGCCCAGCTATCTAGAGTACAGCCATTTCAGCCTTTTCAGCTTCTAGTTTTTGCTTCCTTGCACTCCTCTACTGGGCTAATAGTTCAACATAATGATTTAATAGAGTGGTGTTTTCTTCCCCATTCTGTGTCAAAAGCTTTGTCTGTTTATCTGGCCCAACTGGCCATCTTAATTGAACAAGCTTGGTGTAAAATACTTGAAATTTCTGGATTTGATCCAAATTTAATTGTAGTTCCTTTAAATTGGCTCAAAATTCAAGCCACCTTTCAACATTCTGTACTGTGGCAAATTCACTTGGCTGATTTTATTGGCGTTATTGACAATCATTATCCAAAAAACAAATTGTTTAATTTTATAAAAATGACATCTTCGGTGGTCTCTTGCTTAACCAAAGACCAGCCCATTCCTGAGGCCATTACAGTGTTCACTGATGGCTCCAGTAATGGAAATGCTGGCTATGTGGGTCCTACAGACAAGCTTATTTCTACCCTTTATACCTCTGCTCAAAAGGCAGATTTAATTGCTGTAATTACTGTCTTACAGGATTTCCCTAAACCTTTAAATATTGTCTCTGATTCTACTTAATGTGGAAATGAGGATATGCTTGCATTTCACCAGGAGATCATCAATCCCCTCTCTGAATATCCACTAGGAGAATCAAGCTTCATGTGAATATTGATGACAAAAACCACAGGGAACAGAGGTCCGCATCAGAGACGGACCTCAGCCATGGTGAGATCTGTGCCAACTCCTCAGAAGCTGGCCCACCAAATCAAGATGGGTCTGGTTCAATCGTCCTTGATGGCAATGGAGACCCATCTAACCAATCCCACTTCACCTAATTACCTTTCTTTTTCCCCTTACAGACCTAAAAATCTCACCGTTCATATTAACCTGAAAATAACATCCCTCTGTTCTTCTCTTCCTCCCTGAATCTCAGCACTGAATCTTACTTACAATAGGTTTTGTTTAATGATTCTCCTCCTTATACATTCTGTCTCACCAGTTTCCTCTCACACTGATTTACCTGCTACACAAAATTATTCTTAGTGGGCTTATGTGTCTTTTCCTCCACTTATTTGACCTCTCACCTGGATGGATGCTCCTGTGGAAATCTACACTAATGACAGTGCATGGATGCCTGGACCTACAGATGACTGTTGCCCCACTCAACCAGGAGAAGAAGCCACTGCATTTAATGTTACTATGGGTTGTAGTTATAGATGCCCATCTCTGTGCCTCAGACAGGCAGCTGGTTGTATACATCTAGAAACTCTAGTCTGGGCTGCTTATCTTCTGGAGAGATCAGCTACAGAGGAACCGGGGCATTTGGTCTCTGGCCTCTCCCTTTCTCCTTTAAAACAAATGAAAGGGGGAGTAATGGGAGATGCCTCATACTTTCAATATAAACCTGCAGGAAAAGCATGCCCTAAAAATTTTGAGGGCCCATCTAAAACTTTAGTTTGGGATGATTGTGTTAACTCACATGCAGTAATATGAAAAAAAGGCTCATATGGTTTAGTAATAGACTGGGCACCAAAGGGCTATTTAAAAAACAACTGCTCCTCTGGTGGAAGGGAATGTCTGGAGGCTACTTATTTTGTTTCTTATCAGGAGAATGAGAATCATCATTCTACTTTGAATAAGAGGTTCAGCTTTTTCTTTCCCTTAAAATGGGAAGCATGTGATCTCTGTGACCGACACCCTATTTGTACATTCCCTCCCCTTTGAAAATTGCTAATTAAATCTTGCTGGTTTTGCAGCTCAGGGGGCATCACAGAACCTGCTGACATGACCAACAAGACACTCAGCTTTAAAATTTATCTCTTTTGTACTCTTTCTCTTTATTTCTCAGACCCACTGACACTTAGGGAAAATAGAAAAGAACCTATGTTAAAATATTGGGGGTTGGTTCCCCTGATAAATCACCAAGGTTCGTGTCTCAGGTATATGTCAAAATGTCATCAGTGAGCTATAACCAGGCAAGATTATTAAATCACTCAGGGGCTGGGCAAAGGAATATGTCACAATAACACTGGTGGAAAAGTTTAGGGATACGAGTCACCATCCTGCACATGTCCTGGCTCCAGGTACAAAAGTCACTGATAGACCTTTCATCTAGTCTCAGGTATATTCCACAACATCACCTGTGGACAGGGAGAAGAAAGGAAAGTCACACCACCTGAGTGGGATCTGCTCCACTGAAATGTCACAATCCTCCTTGTGGGCAGGATTCTGGAAGAAGAGTCACATCACATAAATGCTGGTTTCAGTGAGATATCTGAACCCCTCTCCTCACCATGGGCAGGGCCTGCCGGGGCTTAGGCAGTATAGGAGACAAACTTCACCTAGGAAATTAGCCTGGATATTTGTCATAATTTCCCCCGTGTGCAGGACCATGCAGGAGAGGGACCTGACTTGGTGCTGGGTTCAGCAATATTTCACAATCTTTCTGGTGGTCAGGGCCCAGGCAAAAGAGTAGAAACCTCACCTAGATACTGAGACAAGTGATATGTTCCAAAGTTTCCTATTGGCAAACCTCTCCCCAAAAAAGAGTCACAACACCTGAGTGCAGTACACAGTGATGTGTCACAATGCACTGTAAGTGCAGGGCCAAGGCAGTAGAAGAAAATCACATAACTTATGTGACAGGCCTAGATAAAAGCCACAATGCTCTTCACAGGCAGAGTTCAGGCCAAGAGTTCATATCAACTTGGTGCTGGTCCCAGGGATATGAAAAAGTGCCCTTTGTCACATTGCCAAAGGTGCTTGGTGCATGTATTTTACAATTTCAACTGTGCTCTGGGACCAGAAAGGAGGGTCAAAACACTCAGATGCTGAACAAAGTCATACTTCTCAATCACAAACTTGAAAATGTTCAGAAATAAGTTTCACAGTCCCACAAAATTCCTGGCTTCAGGTATGAGAGTCAGCACCCCCTATGAAGTACAGGCATTACAGTCTCAACAAGGGGACAGATCCATGTATAAAAGCCCCAATCCCAGTTAATAATTGTGTTCCAGTAAGAGAGTCAAAGCACCACAGTTCTACTGAATAATGGTTCAAACGTCATCAAATCACCTGTGGAGCAGATTCATGTATGAGAGTAACAATATCAACTACTCAGGTGTGAGAGATTTAGCACCTCATTTGTAGGCTCTGTTAATGTGTGAGAATGACAATTACGTCAGCTGGGTGTGGATCTGAGAATCACAATGACTGGCTATGAGAGTTGAAATATCTCTCCTGGCTAGGTCTAGGTATGAGGGTTATTATTGTGCATATGAGCTGAATCCAGGTATATGTCACCGTTTCAACTTTGGACAGAGACAAGAGAGAAGTGTTATGTAATCAGGGTGTCGAGCCAGGGATATATTATAATCTCCTTTGTAGGCAGGACAACGTCAGAAGAGTCATATCACCTGGGTACAATCTCAAATATGTCATCATGCTCAGTGTATACGGGGTTGAAAAAATAGTGAATAGTCACATTCCCTAAATGCTGTGTGCAGTAATATCTGATAACTCCCTCTCTTGGCAGAGTCCAGGAGAAAGAGGAGAGTCACATCACCCAGGTTTTGCACTCAGTGGTATGTCACAATTTCTTCAGTGGGCAGGATCCAGGGAAGAGAGGAGAGTTACGTTACCTATATGCTATATTTAGCAATATGTCAGAGTGTCTTCTGTGGTCAGAAAACCAGGAGGAGAAACCCATCACCTAGCTGATTAGCCCAAAAATATGTGACAGTGTTTGACAGTGTCCCCTGTTGGTTGGGTCCAAGCTGAAAAGTTACATTGCTATAATTTTTTTTGTTTTTGTTTTTAAGACAGAGTCTCCCCCGTCACACAGGCTGGAGTTCAGTGACATGATCTAGGCTTACCAGGCTCACTGCAAGTTTTGCCTCCCATGTGGACGCCATTCTCCTACCTCAGCCTCCTGAGTAGCTGGGAACAGAGGTGCCTGCCACCAGGCCCGGCTAACTTTTTTTGTATTTTTAGTAGAGACAGGATTTCCCCATGTTAGCCAGGATGGTCTTGATCTCCAGACCTCCTAATCTGCCCACCTCAGCCTCCCAAAGCGTTAGGATTATAGGCGTGAGCCACCACACCTGGCCACATTATTACGACTCTAACTCAGCCATATTTTACAATGCACCCATGGTAAAGAATTTAAGTCAAAAACTTTCAACACCAGGGTACTAGGCCTAGTGATATGACACAATCTTCTCATCATTTGATATAACACCTTTAACAGTTAGCTTGGTGTGTATATAAGGGTCACAATCTCTCACGTGTTTTGGTTCATTGCATGACACACTCTGCAACATCTGGAGGCTTTATGCAATATGCATGAGAGTTGCAAATGTCTCTGAGGGCTACATACTCGTATTGACTCAGAATCTTATATATTGCCCTAAACCCCGTCTGGGTTCAGACAAGAGACCCATTATTATGCCTGTAATCTGGGTCCAGAAATGATTCACCATCTCACCTATAGCAAGATCCACATATGAAACTCACAACTCCATCTTTGTACTTTATTTACTTTTTAAAATCAGGACTTCCACACTGGGCTTTGTAATGTGGTGTGGTGACAACATTTGCTCTCACCTACACATGTAATCAAGAGTCACGATCTTACCCTTTTGCTGGGCCCTGTTATAAAACTCTGTGTATCACCCAAGGAGCTTATAGAATATGAGTTGGTGTTGAAAACTTATGTGAGTTTTGTAAAAATATGCAACTCATAACCTTACTTATTGCTTGAAATGTAGTGATGAAAAGCAAAATATCACTATTAGTGGAATCTCAATTTGTTTGATCATCTTGCCTGTGAAATGAAGCAAGGTAAATTTCATAATCCCATTTGTAGGAAAAAAACTTGGCAGGAGGATAGCACAACGAAGATGCTGTGCCAAGCAATATGTCGCTGTGCCAAGCAATATGTCACAATGACATTTTTAGGCATGGTCTAGAAATGAGGGTTACATTAACTGGATGCTAGACCCAGCAATATAACACAATCCCAAATGCGAAAAAACAAAAATGAAAAATAACGGAAACAAAAACACCTAGAGAATAGCTCCAAGATAAATAAAAATACTTTCTGTTGCTCTGGCACAAGCAGGAAGGTTACATCATCAGGATGGGGGTCCCAGCAATATACCATAATTCTTTCTTTATGCAGGACCCAGACAGAAGAGGAACATCATCTGGGAGCTGAGCCCCTGAATCCGTCCAAATTCCTTTTCACGTGCATAGTTTTGGATAAAAAGTGGAATAAAATTTGGACAGGGCCCGGCAATCTGTCCAAATTCCTTTTCATGTGCATAGTTTGGGATAAAAAGTAGAATCATATTGCTAAGTATTGGGCTCAGCAATATGTCACATCACCACACTTTAAAGGAGCAAGCAGAAGAAAAGGGTCATATCACTTGGGACCCAGGCTCAGATAATTGGCCAAATATCAAAAGTAGGCAGGGGTCAGGTAGAAGAGTAGAGTCACGTCACCTAGGTGATTCCCTAGGTATATGACACGATCTAGTATATGAGGTGAAGCCAAGCAGAATAGCCACATCACCTTGATGCTGGGTCCTGAAATATGTCACATGGCTCCCTTAAGACAGGACCCAGACAAGAGAGTTACAACAAATAGGTGCAGGTTCTACCCTTATGTCACAATATTCTATGTGGTCAGCATGCAAGCCAGGAGTCACATCACCTAGATGATAGACCCAGAGATATGTCACAAAGTCCTCCTTGAAGTCTGGCCCTGTAGAAAGTGTACCATCACCTGCATGCCTAGCCTAGCAATATGTCACTATCCAGGAAAGTAGGAACCATGCTGGAGATCAACATCACCTAAATGATAGGCCCAGAGATTTGTCACAATGTCCTCTTTAGGACAAGGCTCTAGCAAAAGACGACCATCACTTGTGTGCCTCATCCAGCCATATGTCACTATCTTCCACTGTGTGCATTCTAATGAGAAGAGTTATGTCACCCAAGTGGTTGACACAGTGATATGTCACAATGATTTATGTGGGTATGGCTCAGAAATAAATGTAACATGACCTGGTTGTGGGATCTAGTGATAAGTCACAATTCTTACTGAGAGCAAAGCCCAGGCAGGAGAGTCACATCACCTAGAGGATGGCCCAGGTAGATAACACAACAACATATGGGGGTGGGAGCCAGTATGCAGAGTCAGATCACACAGGTTCTCAGGAAAATTTACATCACAGTCACACTGGCAGAAATTTCTTGAGATGAGATTTACAATTCCATGCATGTCCTATTTTCATGAGTGACTGTTGGCTTCATATATGTGAGACAGTGATAGTCGTTACTGACTGCTGGGTGTGCATGTAACACTACAATTTTACCTTTCTGCTGGGTTCTCTTATGACACTCTGTGTACAAGCCAAAGGCTTTATAAAATATCTGAGGTTGTTATAACCTGTGACTTTGTCCTTAGCGAGACATAATCACTCCTGTTTCTAAAAAAAAAAAAAAGCTATGAGCGTCAAAAGTACTCCTGTTTTGGGGGTCCACATATGAGAGTCATTACCATGCCTGTGGACAGAGCACAGTTTTATGTCAAAGTTTACTTTGTGGTAATGAAACCATCACGACAGCCAAATAACCTGAATGTCAAGCCAGAAATATTCCAATATTTTCTTTGTAGGTAGAATACTTTGTGAAATGTGACATAAATTGTGTGCCAGATCCAGCTCTGTGTCGCAATGTCGCTTGCGGGCCATGTTCAGGCAGAAGAGGAGAGTCACATCACCTAAATGTTTGGAGATATGACTCAGCTAGATTTTGCTTCCAGCGGCATGTCACAATTTCTTCTGTGGGCAGGATCCAGGCAGGAGAGGAGAGTCACATTACATAGATTCTATATCTAGCAATAAGTCACAATGTTTCCTGTGGGCAGGGCACTGTCAGGGGAGAAACATCACCTAGCTAATAGGCTCAGAAATATGTGATAATATCCCCTGTTGACAGGGCCCGGGCAAAAGAGTCACATTATTATGATTTTGACCCAGCAACATGTAACAATGACCCCATGGAAAGGCATATGAGCCCCAAAGTCTCAAAACCTGGGTACTAGGCCCAATGATATGACACAATCTCCTCATCTTTGAGGGTGACAGCTAACTTTTAGCTGAGCATGTATATTAGTGTCACAGTCTCATGCGTGTGCTGGACCAATGTATGACTCTCTCCACAACATCTGAGGAACTTACAAAACCTTCATGAGGGATGCAAACCTCTCTGAGGTCTGCATGCTTGTATGGACTCACAATCTTATATATTGCCCTAAATCCAGGTTTTTTAGTTAACATCTCTCCTACAGGCAGGGTTAAGGAGGAAGACCTATTATGCCTGTGGGCTGGGTGCAGAAATGAGTCACCATCCAACCTTTGGCCAGACGCATATATAAAATAACAATTCCAACTTTGTACTATATTCGCTGGTTACACTGAGAATCTCAACAGTGGGATTTGTAAGTGTGGGATAATGACAACTTTTAATTTCTCCTTGTTGTGTAATTGAGAGTCCCAATCTGAACTTTTTGCTGGCTCCTGTTAATAAACTCTCTACCACGAATGTGTTTATACAATATAAGATAGTGGTGTAAGCTTCTGTGAGCATGGTACAAATATGCAACCTGGGGCTTCCCTATTGCCCTAAACCTAAGTATGAGAGGCAAAATATCCCCTATTAGGTCAATCCCAATGTAAGTTTGATCATCATGCCTTTGAACTGAAGCAAGGTATCTGTCATAATTCCATCTGTGGACAAAAAACTAGGCAGGAGGGTAACATCACTTAGGTACTGTGCAAACCAATATGCCACAATGCCTTCTCTAGGCAGGGTATAGAAAATTGGGTCACATAAACTGGGTGCTGGACCTAGCAATATGACACCATCTCACATGTGGAAAAAATCCAGCCAGGTAATGAGACAAAACACCTAATAATAGGCCCAAGATATGTCAATATACCTTCAGTGGCTCCAGCACAGGCAGGAGTCACATCACGAGGGTGCTGGGCCCAGCAATATGCAATATGTCATAATTTCCTCTTTAGGCTGAACCCAGGCAGAAGAGTAACATCACCTGGTGATGCATCCTGCAATATGTCAAAATTCCCTTTTTGTAGTCATTTTCTGAAAAAGGAGGAGAGTTATGTATCTTGAGTGCTGGCCTCAGCAATGTGTCAAAATCCTCCTGTTGTGAAGGCCCAGGCAGAAAAAGAGAGTCACATCACTTAGGTCATGGGCTCAGAGATACGTCCCAATGCGAGGTCCATCCGGGAAACCCTGACTCAGTGACAAATGAATAACATACACTGATGCACATATTATGATTATCAGTCTGGCTGAGAGACCAGGCCACTTACATGCTTCAAGTAGAGTGCTGTCAGCTGTGGCCTCAAGTCTCTGGCTCTTCTGGAATTTATTCAGCACACACTAAATGACAAAAAATCTCAAGTAAACACCACTAGAAGGTAATTACCATTGCCGACCCCCTCAGTACAGAACACTCATTCACTCGCAAATGGTCAAAGGTTAGTTTCAGAACCACATGAGTAAATAAGCTATTTAAATAGTCTTCTCTACATTGCTTTGTTAAATACCCTTGCTATAGCTCAAAAAGAATAAGGCTGCCTTCAACCAAACACATTATGGAAACCTGCAGGCCTTCCAAGAGATTCTGTGTTTACATTTTATAACTTTATCTTAAAGTTTTTCCCACCAGGCTGACTGAACCCCTGCATCCCAATGTCCACAGCAGGCGTGGCTCAGGGAGATGAGGAGAGTCACATCCCCTAGGTGATTTCATAGGAATGTGTCACAATGTAACCTGTGGGCAGAAAGCAGGCAAAAGAGCACATCACTTGGGTGCTGGGTCCTGAGATATTTAACAAGACTCTTAACACAGCACTCAGCAAACAGAGTTACATCACCTAGGTGCAGATTCTCTGCTTATGCCACAATGCACCGTGTAGGTAGGGCCAAAGCAGGGAGTCACTTCACAATGGTGATAGGCCCACATATATGTCACAATGTTCTCTATGAAGCATAGTCCTGGCAAAAGAATATCATCACCTGTGTGCCTGGCCTGGAAATATATCACTCTCCAGGTTGGCAAGACCCAAGCAGCAGAGCCACATGAAATCTGTGATAAGCCCAGAGATATGTCACAATGCCCTCCTTTGGGCATGGCTCTGGCCTAAGTGTACCCTCACCTGTGTGCCTGGCCTAGCAATATATCACTATTCTTCCTTTGTGCAGGGCCCATTACAGAGAGAAGAGTTACATCCCCTAAGAGGTGGACACAATGGTATGTAACAGCAATTTTGGTGGGCATGGGGCAGGCAAGAATGTAGCATCGCCTGGATGCTAGATCCAGTGATATGTCACAATCCTTACTGAGAAAAGGTCCCAGGCAGGAGAGTCACATCAACTCCAGGTTGGCCTAGGTAGATATCACAATCTCATATACAGGCTGAAACAATTCTGGTGAGTCAAATTACACAGGTGCTTGGCAAAGATTTACACCACAAGCTCACTGTCAGAAAATTCCAAAGATGAGATTTACAGTAGCACCCATGTCCTGTTTTCATGGGTGACAGTTGGCTTCATACATGTTAGATGATGACAGTCATTACGATGAGCTAGGTGTGCATACAAGGCTCACAATTTCACCTGTGTGCTGTGCCCTGCTTAGATTCTGTGTGTGTAACCCAAAGACTTTGTAAATATGTGTGAGTGTTACAGTCTTTTGTGAACTTTGAACGAGAAGGTGATCCGGGACATCACACATGTCCCTAAACCTAGTTATAAGACTCAATGTATCCTTTATTGGATAAGTCCACATAAGAGAGTCATTATCATGCCTGTGATCCATGCTTAGGTATATGTTACAATTCCCTCTGTGGTTATGAAGCAGGCAGAAGAGCCACATCACCTAAATGCTGGGCCAGAAATATTCCAATATCTTGATTGTGGGTAGGTTCCAGTCAGAAATGTCACATAACTTGTGTGCTAATTTCAGCTTTCTGCACACTGTTCCTCGTGGGAAGTGTCCAGGAAGGATAGGAGATTCGTGTCACGTAACAGCAGAGCCCAAAACTGCGTCACAATGTCTCACGTTGGCAGGGCCCACGAAAGAGAATCATGTCATTAGGATGCTGTGTTTAGAAATGCTAAAATTACTAAAGGAAGCAGGGTACAGGCCAAAGAGGAGAGCAATGTAACCTAGATGATGGGTCAAGAAATATGTGACCATTTCCCCTGAGGACATTGTTAAGACAGCACAATCTATTCGCCAAGGTTCTTGGCCCAAGTGTTTGTCAAAATCTCATTCGTGGACTATATCAAGGCAGAATTACTAAATCATTCAAGAGTTGGGCAAAAATATACGTCACATTACACTTGAGAAAAGGTTTACGAATATGACCCACCATCCTGCACAAGTTCTGACTTCAGACATATGAGTTGCTATTAGGCTTTTCTTGTGGTCTCAGATATATGGCACAATATTATTTGTGGCAAGAGAGAAGGCAGGAAAGTCACATCACTTATGTGGGTATGGGTCTAGTGAGATGTCACAATCCATCTTGTGGGCAAGATCCTGGCAGAAGAGTCACATCACTGGAATGATCATTTCAGTGACATATCAAAACTCCTTCTTTGGGCACAAATTTAGCCAGAGAGGAGACACAGTTCACCTAACAACTGGCCTTGCTATATGTCAAAATGTCTGTAACGTTCAGTACCAAAGCTGGAGAGTGACCTCACATTATTGCTGAAATCAGGAATATGCGCAATCTCCCTGTGGTCAGGGCACAGACAAAAGCAAAGAAACATCATCTAGGTGCTTAGCCAAATGATATGTTACACTGCTTCCTGTTGGCAGAACCCAAAAGAGAGAATCACATCTCCCGGGTGCGGTACCAAGTTGTGTGTTACAATGCACTGTACGTGCAGGGCCAAGGCAGTAGAAAGGAGTCACATCACTTACGTGATGGACCTTGATATAAAACACAATACTCATTGTAGACAGGCTTTAGGCAGATAATTCACCTCACCAGGGTGGTGGTCCCAGTGATATACAAAAGTGCCCTTTGTAGGCAGAGCCAACGAAGGTGTTACATATTGCTTAGGTGCTTCTTCCATATATGGCACAATTTCATCTGTGGTGTGGGCCTAGAAAAGAAATTCAAATTATTCATGTGCTGGGGAAATTTACCTGTCCCAATCACACTCTCAGAAATGCTTAGAAATAAGTTTCATGTCCTACACAAGTCCTGGTTTTCTGTATGAAAGTTGAGTCAACACAGAGGAGTCATAATTTCAACAATGAGACGGATCCATGTATAACAGCCTGAATCCCACTTGAAGATTGTGTTTCAGTCGGGGACTCACAACACTGCAATGTGCTGAATCATGGTTCAAATATTACCAAACCACTTGTGATTAACATGCAGGTATAAGAGTAATTATTTCAACCTTCGACTGCTTTTTAGGCGTGCATAAAAGAGTCACATTCTTACCTCGTTGCTGATCTCTTTTATGACACTCTTTGTACCATTAAGTGTTTATATGATATAACTGAGTCTTGTAATTATTTGTGAACTTTATACAAGTAAAAATCACAGGAATTTACACATGGACCTGAGACTGCTATGAGAGTCATAATATTTCTACTGGCTGGGTCCAGGTATGAAAGTTATTGTGCGTGTGTGCTTAACCCAGAGTGTTAACATATTTCTACTGAGTTGGTCCAGTTATGAGAGTTATTATTGTGTATGTGTGCTTAACCCACACATATGTCATAGTTTCACCTGTGAGCAGGGACAAGGCAGAAGAGTCACATCATCTGGGTGCTGAGCCAGTGATACATTATAATCTCATTTGTAGGCTGGGCCTATTTGGAAAATCACACAACCTGGATACACCCTGAAATAGTATGTCACCAAGCCTGCTATAGACAGGGAAGAAGCATAAGAGGAGAGTTACTCCACGTAGGTGCTGGGCTCTGCAATATGTAATAATGTGTCTATTGGCAGAGTCTGGAATATGAAAGACAGCCATATCACCTAGGTTTTGCAATCAGCAGTATGTCACAAGTTTTTTGGTGAGCAGGACCCTGGCCAGGAGGAGAGTCACATGACATAAATATTTTGCCAAAGAATATTTCACAATGTTCTCTAGGGGCAGGGCACAGGCAGGAGAGATATGTTACCCAGCTTATAGGCCCAGAGATCTGTGACAATATCCCAGGTTGGCAGGGTCCAGGCAGAAGAGTCATATTATTATTATTCTAACACAGCAATATGTCACAATGCACCCATGTTAAGTTATTTCAGCAAAAAGTCTCAACACCTGGGTACCAGGCCTAAAAACATGCCAAAACCTTTGGTCTTTGAGGGTGACACCATTAACTGCGACCTGGGTGTGTGTATGAGAGTCACAGTCTCACATTTCCCGGGCTGTTGTATGACACTCTACAACATCTGAAGGCTTTATACAGCATGCATGAGAGTTGCAAAACACTCTGAGGCCTATAGGCTCATATGGATTCACGATCATATATACTGCCCTAACCCAGGTATAATGGTCAACATCTCTGTAGGCTGGGATTAGGGATGCCTGTGAGCTGGACCCAGAAATGAGTCACCATGCCACCTGTGGCCAGATCATGCCTATAAGCTGAAGCGAAGTGTATGTCATAGTCCCATTTGTGGGCAAAAAACTTGGTTGGCAGGTAATATTGTTTAGCTGCAGTGCCAAGTAGCATGTCACAATGTCCTCTCTAGGCAGGATATAGAATTAGAGCCACATTAACTGGGTGCTGGGCTCAGCAATCTGAAACCATCCCACATGTGCAAAATCCCAGCCAAGGAATGAGAGTCAAAACACCTACATAATATGCCCAGAATATGTTAAAACCTTCGTGGCTATGGGACAGGCATGATAGATGAAATAATGCCCTGCTGTGAAAGGACATTGTCAACGTGCTGGCCTCAGTGATATGCCATAATTCTGTCCATTTGCTGGGCCCAGAAAAAGGAGTAACATTATCTCGAGGCTGGGCCCTGCAATAGGTCAAAAATTCTGTTTGTGTGCATGGCTCTAGAAAAAAAGTAGAGACAAATAACCTGAGTGATGAACTCAGCAATATGCCACAATCTCCCCATTGTAAAAACCAGGGAGAAAAAGAGAGTCACTTCACTTAGGTCAAAGGGCAGAGAGATATATCCCACTGTCCCCAGCAGGTAAAGCCCAGACAGAAAAGGTGAGTCATATCACCTAGGGACTTTCTTGGTTATATATCACATTCTAACATGTGGGCAGACACCAAGCAGAAGAGCCGCATCACCTGGGTACAACATCAAGCAATATGTCACCATCCCCATAAGGACAGGTTTGAAGGAAACAAAAGGGAGAATCACAACTCCTGAGTGGCGAGCTTAGCAATATGTAATAATCCCCACTCTTGGCAGAATCCAGGATAAAGAGGAGACTCATGTCTCCTAGGTTTTGGACTCAGTGGTCAGACTTTCTTCGGTGGGCAGGATCCAATCAGCAGAGGACAGTACATTTCCTAGACGCTATATCTAGCAATATGTCACAATGTCACCTGTGGGCAGGGTACTGTCAGGAGAGCCATATCAACTAACCAAGAGGCCCAGAGATACATGAAAATATACGCTGTTTGCAGGACCCATGCAGAAGCGTCATATTGTCATGATTCTGACCCAGTGATATGTAACAATGCTCTTATGGAAAAGAATGCAAACCAAAAGTCTCAACACCAGGATACTAGGACTAGGGATATGACTCAATCTCATCTTTAAAGGTGACAGCATTAACTAGTTGTGTATATGACAGTCACGATCTCATGTATGTGCTGGCCACTGTATGACACTGTCTACAATATCTGAGAACTGTATACACTATGCATGACAGTCTATATCTCTCCCATAGGTTGGCTTAAAGAATGAGGCCACTATTATTGCTGCGAGCTGAATCCAGAAATGAGTCATGATTCCAACTGTGGCCAGATTGACTTATGAAAGTCACAATTCCAACTTTGTGCTTTATTCACTCATTAGACTCAGGACATCAACAATACCCTTTGCAAATGCAGGATGGTAACAACTTTTACTTTCGTCTGTGCAGTCAAGAGTCACAATCTTAATTTTTTGCTGGGCCCTGTTATAAAACTCTCTCTACCAACCAAGAAGTTTTTATGATATGAGTTGGTATTGTAAACTTCTGTGATATTTGTACAAATATGCAATAAAGGACCTTAATTATTGAAGAAAACCTAGTGGTGAGTGGCAAAATATCTCCTATTGGCAGAATCCCAATATAAGCTTGATTATCATGGCTTTCAACTGGAGGAAGGTATATGTCATAATCTTATTTCTGGGCTAATAACAAGGCAGAAGGTTAACATCACTTAGCTGCTGGGCCAAGCTATATGTCACAATGCCCTCTCTAGGCAGGGCCTAAGGAAAAGGGTCACATTTACCAGGGGTTGGAGCCAGCAGTTTAATGCAACCACAGATGGAAGAAACCAAGCAAAGTGATGAGAGCCAAAGCACCTAGAGAATTTGCCAGAGATATTCTAAAATACTTTCTGTAACTTAGTCACAAGCAGGAGAGCCATGTCATTAGGGTGCTGGACCAAGCAATATGCCACAATTCCCTGCTTATGCATGACTTACGCAGAAAAGTAGCATCATCCAGGTGCTGGGCCCTGAAATATTGCAAAAGCCCTGTTCGTGGGCGTTGTTCAGCAAGAAGACGAGAGTCACATTACCTAAGTGCTGGGCTCATCAATATGTCAAAATGTTCCTATTGTTAAGGCCCAGACAGAAGAAGAGAGTCACATCATTTACGTCACGGGTTCAGAGATATGGCCCAATGTCACCAGTAGACAAGGCTCAGGCAGAAAAAGTCATATCACCTGGATGTTTTTAAAAAGTATATGTCACAATTTAATATGTGGGCAGAAACCCTGGTGAAGAGCCACATCTTCTGTTCCAGTGTCCTGAGATACTCACAACTCAGTCCCCCTTAGAAAAGAACCGACTCCAGTTAGTTACATCGCCTAGGTTCATGTTCCACGGTTCTTTCACAGTTCTCCATGTGGGCAGGAACAAGCAGGACCAAGGACCAGGGCCAAGCCCATCACCTAAGTGATAGGCTGAGAGATATGTCACAAAAGCATGGCCCTGACCAAAGAACACCACCACCTTTGTACCTGGCCTGGCAATATGTCACTATTCAAGTAGGCAGTTCCTGAGTAGAAGAGCCATATCACCTACATGATAGGACCTGTGATATGCCAAAATGCCCTCTTCGGTGCAAGGCCCTGGCAAAATAGTATCAACACCTGTGTTCCTGCCCTAGAAATATGTCACTATTTTGCCCCGTGTGCAGGACTCATTCCAGAGAGGAGAGTTACATCTTCTAACTGATGTACAAAGTGATATGTAACAATGATGTCTTCAGGCATGGTGCAGGCAAAATGTAAAGACAGTTTGATGGTGGATCCAGTGATGTCACAATTCTTACTGAGAGAAGGGGTGGCTGGGCGGAAAAATCTCATCCCTTCAAGTTTTGCCCAGGTAGATATCCAAATCTCATGTAGACTGGAACCAGTCTGAAGAGTGAAATCACACAGGTGCTTGGCAAAGATTTATATCACAGTCACAATGAAATAAAAGTCTATGGATTAGACTTACAATGCCACACATATCATGTTTGCATGTAGGACAGTTGCCTTCATCCATCTGTGATGGTGAAAGTCTTTACTGCCAACTGGCTGTCCATACAAGATTCAGAATTTCCTCTCTGTGCTAGGCCCTGTTATGACACTCTCTATACAATCCAAGGGTCTTATAAAATATGTGTGAGTGTTGTAATTTTCTGTGACATTTTTACCAGAGTTAGACCCTGGACATCACTCATGTACCTCAACCTAGTTATAAGGGTCAAAATTTCTCCTATTGGCTGAGTCTGCATATGAGAGTCAGTATCATTCCTGTTAGCTGTGTCTAGGTATATGTCACCATCCCCTCTGTGGTTATTAGACCAGCAGGACAACCACATCACATAACTCTTCAGCCAGAAATATTCCAATATTCTCTTTGTAGGCAGGATATAACAGAAATGTCACAAAACTTGGGTGCTGGTCTCTGTGATTTGTAAATTTTCCTGTATTGCATTGGTAAACAAGGTGTTACATATTGCTCAGGTGCTTGTTGCATGTATGTCACAATTTCCACTGTGCTCTGCACCTAGAAAGGAGAGTCAAACACTCAGATGCTGGGTAAAGTCACATTTCTCAATCACACACTCAAAAATGTTCAGAAAAATTTTCACAGTCCCGTACTAGTCGTGCCTTTGGATATAAGAGTGAACATCTCCCATGTGTTGGGTGGAAGCATAGGAGTCACAATGTCATCAGTGGGCAAGGTCCGTGTATAAAAGCCCCATTCCCACTTGAAGATTGTATTCCAGTAGGAGAGTCAAAGGACTACATGTCTGCTGAGTCATTCTTCAAACATCAAAAAAACCACCCATACTATTATTTTGGAATGTCCTGGTGACTTGTCCATGTTCAACAGTAGGGCTGTCTACCTGGCACTATGAGAGCATAATACACACACACACACACACACACACACACACACATTATATATATATACACAAACACACATAAACACATACACACAGAGTAATATTTCACAACGCACCCGTGGTAAAGAATTTAAGACAGAAATCTCAACACCAGGGTACTAGGTCTGGTAATATGACACAATCTCCTCATCTTTTAGGTGACACCTTTAACTTTTAGCTTGATATGTATATTACAGTCACAACCTTACACGTGTTCTACATCATTATATGACACACTCTACAACATCCAGAGGCTTTATGCAACATGCATGAGAGTTACAAACCACTCTGAGGCCTACATGCTTATATTCACTCACAATCTTACATATTGCCTTAAACCCAGTTATGATTGCCAACACCTCTCTAATAGGCTGGGTTCAGACAGGAGACCCATTATTATGCCTGTGATCTGGGTCCAGAAAATAGTCACCATCTCACCTATAGCAAGATCCACATATGACAGTCAAAATTTCAACTTTGTACTTTATTTACTTATACTCAGGACTTTAACAGCTGACTTTGTAAATATGGGATGCTGAAAAGTTTTGCACTCACCTGTATGTGTAATCAAGAGTCATGATCTTAATCTCTGGCTGGGCCCAAGCAGTTTTTAGAATATGAGTTAGCGTTGTAAGCTGCTGTGAGCTTTCTGCCACTATGCAACTCACAACTTTAAGTATTGCCCTGCGTGGAGAGGTGATAGGCAAATGTTACTATTGGTGGAAAACAAATATAACTTTGATCATCATGCCTCTGAATTGAATCATGTAAATTTCATAATCCCATTTGTAGGAAAAAAGAAAAAACTAGCCAGGAGAGTAGCACAACGTAGGTGCTTTGCCAGGCAATATGTCACAATGCCTTCTCTAGGTAGGGTTCTAGAAATGAGGGTTACATTAACTGGGTGCTGGACCTAGCAATATGACACAATCCACCTCCCCAAAAGAAAAAAAAAACAGACAAATGATGAGAATAAAAACTCCTACTGGGTGTGCCCAAGAATTGTAAAAATACTTTCTGTTGCTCTGGCACAGGCAAGAGAGTTACAGCATCAGGGTTGGGGGCGGAGCCATATGCCATAATTCTCTCTTTATGCAGGACTCAGGATGAAGAGGAACATCATCTGGGTGCTGGGCCCTGCAGTAAATCAAAATTCCTTTTCCTGGACACTTTTTGGGAGAAAAAAAAAAAGAAAAGCCATATAACCTGAGTATTTGGCTTAGCAATATGTCACATCACCCCATTGTAAAGGCTCAGACAGAAGAAAAGAATTACGTCAGTTAGGATACTGGCTCAAATATATGACCCAATGTCCAAAATAAGCAAGGCTAAGGCAGAAGAGAAAAGTCATATCACCTAGGTGCTTCCCTAGGTATATGAAAAAAATCTAACATGTGAGGTGAAGCCAGGCAGAAGAGTCACACCGCCTTGATCCTGATTCCTGAGATATGTCACAAGTTTCACTTAGGACAAGACTCAGACAAGAGATTTACAACAAATAGGTGTAGGTTCTACCTTTATGTCACAATGCTCTTTGTGGGCCATGCTGAAGCAGGGAGTTACGTTACCCAGGCGATAGGCACAGAGATATGTTGCAATGTTCTCCTTGAGACATGACCCTGGCAAAAGAGTACCATCACTTATATGCCTAGTGTAGTAATATGTCACTATTCAGGAAAGCAGGACCCAAGCAGGAGAGCAACATCACCTAAGTGATCAGCCCAGAGATTTGTCACAATGCATTCTTTAGGACATGGCTCTAACAAAAGAGTACTGTCACCAGTGTGCCTGGCCCAACCATATGTCACAATCCCCAATTGTGTGCAGGGCCCATTCTAACAAGGAGAGTTACATCACCTAAGTAGTTGACACAGTGATATGTCACAATAATCTCTGTGGGCATGGCTAAGGCAAAAATTTAACATGACCAAGGTGCTGGATCTAGTAATATGTCACGATTCTTACTGAGAGCAGGACCCAGGCAGTAACATATCACTTGTATCAGTATCATGTAGAGGTAGGCCCAGGTAGATACCGCAATAAGATATGCGGGCTAGAACCATTATGGTGGATTAAATCACACAGATGTTTGGTGAAGATTTGTATCACAATAACACTAGCAGAAAATTCCCAGGATGAGATTTACAATATTGCACATGTCCCATTTTCATGAGTGACAGTTAGCTTCATATATGTGAGATGTTGATAGTACTTACTGTCAGCTGGGTGTGCATTTGAGACTCACAGTTTCATCTTTCTGCTGGTTTCTGTTATGACACACTCGGTACAAGCCAAAGGCTTTAAAAAATATGTGAGGCTGTTATAATTTTCTTTGACCTTGTTTTTTTACCAGATAGGGATTTAATTACTCGTGTCTCTAAAGAAATTTATGAGAGTTAAAATTCTATTTGTGGGATCCACATAAGACAGTCATTATCATGCCTATGAGCTGTGCTTGGGTATATATCACAACTTAGTCTGTGTTAATGAAACAGGCATGACAGCCAAGGCACCTAAATACTGAGCCAGAAAATTTCCAATATTCTCCTTACAGGCATGCTCCAGGCAGAAAAGTTGCATAACTTGGGGGTTACATCAAGATGTATAACACAATACACCTTATGGGCTGTGTCCAGGTAGAAGAGGAGACTTGTATCACCTAAACAATAGGCCCAGAGATATCTTACAAAGTCTCCTTTTGCAAGGATCAGGCAAGAGAGTCACGTAATTTGGATGTAGTGCTTAGAAATGCTATAGTCCCGGCGGGGCGTGGTGGCTCATGCTTGTAATCCCAGCGCTTTGAGGGGCCGAGGTGGGTGGATCATGAAGTCAGGACATAGAGACCATCCTGGCTAGCATGGTGAAACCCCATCTGTACTAAAAAAATAAAAAAAATAAAAAATTAGCCAGGCCTGGTGGCTGGTGCCTGTAGGCCCAGCTGCTTGGGAGGCTGAGGCAGGAGAAGGGCGTGAACCCAGGAGGCAGAGCTTGCAGGGAGCTGAGATCGCACAACTGCACTCCAACCTGGGCAACAGAGCAAGCCTCCATCAAAAAAAAAGAAAAAAAAAAAGAAAGAAATGCTACAATCTCTAGTGGAAGCAGGGTCCAGGTAAGAGAGGAGTGTCAGGTAACTAGATCATGGGTCCAGAAATATGTTACAATCCTTCTGGAAGATATTGTTAAAACAGGAGAGTCAAATCATCATGGTGATAAGTTGAAGTACACATCCAAATCTCATTTGCGGGCTACAACTAGGCAGGAGTATTAAATCACTCAGGAGCTGGGCAAAGGTATATGTCACAATAACACTGGTGGAACATTCCAGGAATGGGAGTCTCTGTCTTGCATATGACCTGGATCCAGGTTTAACAGTCATGATTAGTCCTCTTAAGTAGTCTTAGGTATATGACACAATATCACCTGTGGGCAGAGAGCAAGCAGAAAGGTCACATCATCTGGATGGGTGCTGGTCCAGTGAGATGCCACAATCTTCCTTGTGGGCAGGACACTGGAAGAAGACTCACATCACCTGGAGGCTGGTTTTAGTGATATATCAAAAGTCCCCCTGTGAGGAAATCTTAGGAGTGTGAGGACACTCCCTTTACCTAAGCAATTGGCCTAGATATATGTCACAATGTTCACTATCTGCAGAACCACGGTATGAAAGTGACCTCACTTCGGCGCTGGGTTTAGTAATATGTCACAATCTCCCCTCTGGTCACGGCAAGACAAAAGAGAAAAACATTATCTAGGTGTGAACCAAGTGATATGTTATGAAGCTTCCTGTTGGCAGAACCCAAAACAGAGAGTCACATCACCTGGGTGCAGTACCCAGTTATGTGTCACAATGCCCTGTAACAGCAGGGCCAAGGCAGTAGAAGGGAGTCTCATCACTTATATGATGGACCTAAATCTAAGTCACAATGACTTTTATAGGCAGGAAAAAGACAAAGAATTGACATCACCTTGATGCTGGTCCCCGTGATATGTTTAATTACCCTTGGTAGGCAGGCCCAGGCACCTCTGCTTAGGTGTATGGTCCACCTACGTCACAATTTTATCTGCCGTCATGGCCTAAAAAGGAGAGTCAAATTATTCAGGAGCCGGGCTAATTTTTATGTCCTAATCACACGCTGGGAAATATTCAGAAATAAGTTTCACAGCCCTTCACAAGTCCTGGCTTTGTGCACATGGGTCAACACCTCCTGTGCAAGGGGTCAAAGCAGAGGAGTTACAGACTCAACAATGGGCAGGATCCATGCATAAATTGCCCAGTTCTACTCGAAGATTGTGTTCCAGTATGAAAGTCACAGCCTCACAGTTGGGCTGAATACTGCATCACCAAACCACCCACGGGGTTAAACCATGTACGAGAGGAACAATTTCAACCTTCGACTACTCTGTTGTGTGAAACTTAGTACCTTATTTGTAGGCCACGTTCTTGTATGAAAGTGACAATCAAGTTAGCTGGGTGTGCATCCATGATTCACAATCACACCTGGTTGCTGTTCCCTGTTATGACACTCTTTGTACCACTGAGGCTTTATATGATATGCCCGAGGGTCATATCCTCTGTGAACAAATAGGAGACCCATTATTTTACTTATGGAAATAAGACTGGCTATGAGAGTCAAAATCTCTCTCCTTTCTGGGTCCAGGTATGATGATTATAATTGTGCATGTGAGATGATTCCAGGTATATGTCACAATTTCACCTGTGGGCAGAAACAAGGAAGAAGTCTCACAACATTGATGCAAGCCCATGATACATTATCTACTCTTTTGCTTGCAGGTCCAAGTCAGAAGAGTCACATCACCTGGGTACAGCCTCAAGTAATATGGCACCATGTCCACTGTAGACAGGGTTGAAAAAAACAAAACAGGAGACTCACAACACCTAGGTGTTAGGCTCAGCAATATGTAATAATCCCCTCTTTTGACAAACTCCAGAAAATAAAGAGGAAAGTTGCATTACCTAGGTTTTGCACTCAGTGGCATGTCACAATTCCTTTAGTAGGAAGGACCTAGACAGGAGAGAAGAGACGTATTTCCTAGCTGCTACGTTCAACAATGTCACAATGTTTCTTTGGGGCAAAGCACAAGAAAAAAAGACAAATCCCTTAACATTTAGGCTCACAAATATGTGATGATATGTCTTGTTGCAGGGCCAGGGCAAAAGGTGTCACATTATTATGATTCTGACACAATATGTCACAACACATACACGAGAAACAATTTAAGCAAAAGTTTTAACACCTGGTTACTAGGCCCAGTGATATGACACAGGACACTCGTTGGCAGGACACTCGAAGAAGACTCACATCACCTGGATGCTGCTCATCTTTGAGGATGGTACCTTTAAGTGTAAGCTTGGTGTGTATATGAGTCACAATGTCATGTGTGTGCTGGGCCATTATATAGAACCCTCTGCAACATCCGAGGGATGTATATGGCATGTATGAGAGTTGCAAACTTCTCTGAGGCCCACATGCTCATATGGACTCCCAGTGTTATGTATTGCCCTAAACCCAGGTATGATAGTCAACATCTCTCATTTAGGCTGAGTTCAGGAATGAGACCTATTTTTATTTCTATGAGCTGGGACCAAAAATGAGTCATAATCGCACCATTGGCTAGACCCACATGTGAGTGTCATGATTCCCACTTTGTACTGTTTTTCTTTGTTAGACTTAGTACCTTAACAGTGGGCTTTGTAAATGTGTGCTTGTGACAATATTTACTTCCACCTGGCTGTGTAATTTAGAGTCACAATCTTAATTTTTTTATGTTTCTTGTTATAAAACTCTCTGTACCACCAAAGGAGTTTATACAATATGAATTAGTGTTGTAAACCTCTGTGAGCATTGTACAAACAGAAAACCCATTTTACCTATTTCCATAAGCCTAGCAATGAGTGGAAAAATATCTTCTATTGACTGAGCCCTAATATAAGTTTGACCATCATGCCTGTGAACTGAAGCAAGATTTATGTCATAATCTCATTTATTTGTCAACAATTAGGAAAAAGAATAATATCACTTAGATGATACGGCAACAAATGCCACAATGCCCTTTTTAGGCAGAATCTAGGAAGAAGGGTCACATTACCTGGACCCAGCAATGTGACACAATTCCACATGTGGAAAAGTTTAGCCATGGGATGAGAGCCAAAACACGTGTACAATGAGTCAAAGGTATGTCGAAATACTCTCTGAGGCTACTGGCATGCAGGTAGGACAGTAGCATCTTCAGGGTGCTGGGCCCACTCATATGTAATAATTTCCTCTTTATTCAGAACTCTGACAAAACTGTAACATCATCTGGGTGCAATATGTCAAAATTTCCCTTTGCGGGCATGGTTCAGAAAAAAAGAGTAGAGTCACATCAGTTAAACTCTAGGCTCAGCAATATGCCACAATCCCACCATTTTAAAGGCCCAGGCAGGGGAAGAGAATCATATCACTTAGGTCATGTGCTCAGAGATATGTCCCAATGTCCTCAGTAGGCAGGACTCAGGGAGAAAGGGAGAGTCATATCACCTATGTGCTTTTATAGGTATATGTCACAATCTAACACGTGGGAAGATACCAGGAAGAAGAGCCACATCACCTGGGTCCTGAGATATGTTACAAAGCTTCCTTAGGAAAACACCAAGGCAAAAGAGTTAAATCAACTTGCTGCAGGTTTAACTTTTATGTCACAATGCTCTGTGTGGGTGAGGCCCAAGCCTCAAGTCACATAATCTAGGTGACAGTCACGGAGATATGTTACAATGCCCTCCTTGACACATAGCCCTGGTGAAAAAGAACCATCACCTGTTTGCTTGGCCTAGAAATATGTCACCACCAACCCTTCTGTTCAGGACCTATTCTAGAGAGGAGAGTTACATCACCTAATTGGTGGAGACAGTCATATATCACAGCAATGTCTGTGGCCAAGGCTCAGGCAAGAATGTAACGTCACCTGGGTTTTTGATCCAGTGATATGTCACAATCCTTAATGAGACAAGTGCCAAGGCAGGAGAGTCACATCATTTATATGTTGGTCCAGGTAGAGATCACAATCCCATATATGAGCTGGAACCAGTCTGGAGAGTCAAATCACAGATGCTCAGCAAATATTTTTATCACAATCACAATGGCAGAATATTCCAGAGATGAGACTTACAATACCATACATGTCCTGTTTTCATGAGTGACAGTTGGCTTCATGTATGTGAGATGTGACAGTCCTTACTGTCAGCTGGGTGTGCATATGAGACTCACAATTTCACCTTTCTGTTGGGTTCTCTTATGACACTCTGTGCAAGTCATGGGCTTTATAAAATATCTGAGCCTGTTATAATCTTCAGTGACCTCTTTACCAGAAAGAGATCTAAGAAATGACTCATGTTTCTAAAGCAAGTTACAAGAGTCAAAATTATTCTTATCTGTAGGATCCACATGTGAGAGTCAGTATCATGCCTGTGAGCTGTGCCTAGGTATATGTCAAAATTTACTCTGTGGTAATGAAACAGACATGACAGACTTGTCACCTAAATGCTGAGCCAGAAGTTTTCCAATATTCTCCTTCTAGACAAGTTTCTGGCAGAAAAGTTGCATAACTGCGAGGCTACAGCAAACTCTATGGCATAATGCCCCTCGTGGGCAGTGTTCAGGCAGTAGAGGAAGTTGTATCACCTAAATGATAGGCCCTGAGATATGTCACAATGCCTCCTGTTGAAAGGGTCAGAAATGTATCATTTCCAATTATACTCATTTTTACTGCAGTGATTTGGTGTCTTATTTTGGCTTTGATTTGCAGTTTTCTAATAATTAATAATGCTGAGCATCATTGTATGTAATTGGCCATTCGTATGTCTTCTTTGAGGAAATGTCAGTTAAGGTATCTTGCCTATTACTAAATAGTGTGTTATTATTGCTCTTAAAATTGTTATGTATTCGTATGTTTATCTCTTGTCATATGTATATTTTGCAGATATAGTCTCCCACAGTGTAAGCTGTCTCTTCACTCTGTAAATTTATTTTTACTATTTTTTTTTTTTTTTTTTTAGATTCTGGTAATTTTACTTGTCTGCTTTTGCTTTTGTTGCCTGTGCTTCTGGGGTCTTATTTAAAAATTTTTTCTGTCCTATCTGATTAAGAATTTCTATATGTTTTATGGAAATTGTTTTATAAGTTTGAGTTTTACATTTTAATCTTCTATTTATTTTTAATTAAGTTTTTAAAATATGGTAACAGGTAGGCATCTAGTTGTATTACTTTGTATTTAAGAAATTAATTTTACAGCACCATTTATTGATGAGGTTGACTTTTCTTAAATATGTCTCTTAAATACCTTAAAAATTATTTGGCTCTAGGCTTATTAATTTATTACTAGAATCAATGGATACTTTGTTCTATCTGTCTGTTTCATATGCCGGTATCACTCTGTTTGCTTGTTATAGCTTTGCAGTATATTTAGAAGTCGGGTAATTTGATGCTTTCAGCTTTGTTCTTTTTTGCTAGATGACTTTGGCTATTTGGGGAGTTTCTTTTGTTCACTATAGATTTTAGGCCTGTTTTTTTCCATTTCTGTGAAAAAATGTCATTGGTATTTTTATTGAGTTTGCATTGAATCTGTTGATTACCTTGAGTAGCATAGTCATTTTAGCAATATTTTTTATAACTCATGAACAAAAAATATTTCTCATGTTTTTCATATTTTTTAGTTTTTTAATTAATGTTTTATAATTTATAGTGTAGACAGTGTTTATCTTTTTAATTAAGTTTACTGCTAGGCACTTTATTTTTTATTTTAGATGCAGAAAAATTATTTTGAAAAATTTAGCATGTTTTGTGATTAAAACAAGTGAACAAGTTAGGTACAGATGGTATGTAACACAACACAGTTAAGGCAAAATATGACAAATCAATACCTGATAAGACACTGAACATTAAAAGGTGAAGGCTTTTTACTTAAGACCTAGAAGAAGACAGTGATGTCTACTTTTACCACTTTTATTCAACAGAGTACTGGAGGTCTTAGCAAGATTATTTATGCAAGAGAAAGAAATAAAAGACATCCAAATAAAAAGGAAGAAAGTCAAATTATCTGTTTGCAGATCTCTTAACTGTTTGTATAGCAAAACTTAAATACTACACTAAAAATCTTGAGAATTGATAAAGAAATTCAGTTAAGTAGCAGAATACCAAATTCACTTTAAAAACTTAGTAGGAGCATATTTTCATGCCAAGAAAAAGCCATCTGAAAAAGAAATTCAAGAAAAAAATTTACAACAACTATAAAGTGTCTTACTTCATTTCAGCCTGATGGCTGAAAAATTGGACTGCTGGTTTCAAATGAAGCCAGCCATTTTCTGACGGCTTCTTTCTGAATAATGCCTACCTGTGCAATGGGAAAAGGAGGTGGAGCCACTGAAATTCACACCTTTTGGCAGGAGAGGAACCTGGATTCTTAAGTTGCTATGTTGTGACCTGGTGTTCCTCAATCTGTGAGGTCAGGGCCAGATAACACGAGTGCTTCCCACTCTGCTGACACTTTGTTGTTGATGTTGTTGTTGTTGTTTTCTTTTTCCTTTTGGCCCAATAAACTTTACTCCTAACCCTTCAGTGTATTCATTAGACTCTTCCTTCATAATCATGTGAGAAGATCCTTGTTTTAGCTTAACTAAGGAGAAAGTTCTATAACATTTCGGTGTCTAGATGTGGGGCTTGAGGTAAGTAAGATGTAAACTAAAAAATCTTTTTCTATTTTGTTTGTAAGTGTTTTCATTCTTGGACTTCTCCTGAGGATAGAGGAAACTCTTCAACACCCTACCCAAACAGCCCCAGGCACATGTGGGATGGTAGTTGAATGGCAGCTCTTCATTCCCATCTCCTCTGGGCTGAAAAATGCCAGGCATTCATGGTGTCTTCATGTTCACCGACCAAGGGATCCAACCTCACCCAACAGCATTAAGTTTTTCTCCTTGTTGAAGGAACTCATTTGCATAAGAAAGAAAATTGTCTTTCCTGCTCTACACTTAAGACTTTTTTTTTCTTTTCTTCATCCTGTCTGCAATTTACTTTTAAGCAGAAGGTTTTTTTGTTTTCTTCATATGAAATGTTTTGCCGGACAATGCCCCAATGATCACTGCTTATATTCTTTGTAGAGTTTTGATTGTGAATAGATGTTTCTCAGGTTGGTCTAGAGCTGTGGCCAATCTGGTGTGCTTTGTATGTCCTTCTCTATAGCTGTCAGAAAATTTTGCGCAGGCATCCATCTTGTTTTATGTTTTCAGGAACATGACCTGAACCAATGTGGCTCTGTTTTGTTTTGGCCTCTGCCATTTTACAATGGTGGCCCAGGTTTAATCCTGGCTTAAGGAAAGAGTCTCTTCTGGTTTTATATCAGCATGTAACTTTTGCCCTTTGCTGATTCTCTTCCACTTAACAAACTGCCTTACTTTTTTTTTTTTTTTTCCTCTGAGCACCTGGTAAGTTACTTTTGTTAAAATTTGAAAGCCAGAAACACTGGCTGCTTGGTGCTACTAGAGTCAGGTAATAAAAAAATTAAAAGGATATTCTTAAAGAGTCCTCAACTTAATTAAAAGTGGATATCCAAATTATAGGTATATTTAAAAGACCTTTATATTTTTCTTTTCCTGGATCTTGTTTTGCTGGTAGAAGTTTTTTTCTCAGTCAACTGAATCCTTTTTCTTCATTTTGTCTGGCCACTCTAATGCATGCATGAGAGGACAGTAATTCAATCTGGAAATTGGCAAATAAAAAACCTTATGACAGCTGGGTGTGGTGGCTTATGCCTGTAATCTCAGCACTTTGGGAGGCTGAGGCAGGAGGACCACGAGGTCAGGAGATAGAGGCCATCCAGGCTAACATGTTGAAACCCCATCTCTACTAAAAATACAAAAAATTAACCAGGTGGACGCCTGTAGTCCCAGCTACTCAGGAGGCTGAGCCAGGTGAATGGCGTGAGGTTGAGGTTGCAGAGGCAGAGGTTGCAGAGAGCCAAGATCGCGCCACTGCACTCCCGCCTGGGTGACAGAGCGAGACTCTGTCTCAAAACAACAACAACAACAACAACAAAAACCTTATAATTACTAGGTTTTCTTCAGCCTGTTTCTGTAGTTATATATATATGTTGTGTGTATGATGTCTATATAAAGAGGTCTAATAAATTTACTTAAAGAATGATAAGAACTTGGATCAAATATTTATTGAAGGGAAGAAAAAAGACATGTACCTTTTTGTTCACATGACTTTTAATCTTTGAGAAATAAAAACAGCCTTAAAGATTATCAGTAGAACACAAATATCAATGTATCAGTGGGTGGACGAAATTATGCAGGTGAAATACTAGATTTGCTAAATGTTTTAAGGTTATAAACAGCATTTTTGGTTTTTGAGAGCAGTTCAACTTTGCTTCACTGTTGGTAAGGCCTGAGGACAAATAGAATTAACCATACCCTTAATTATGCTGAAAGGAGTCAAACCCTTGACTGCACCTAGCACATAATTAAAACAATTTACCTGGTTTTACATTAAAGTTAAAATTGCTAGAAGTTACCATTATAAGATGTAATTAAAAGCACTGGAAGTAGAGTTATATATGAGTAAATGATTTACATACAGTAAAATGTGTTTTTAATAAAAAATTATAAGAAGGCATGAATATATAAATTCTTGCCTAGGGTAAAACATTTGTTCTCAATTAGATAAGATAAAGCTAACAGTTCAAACAAGCTGTGGAAGGATTGTTAAAATTAATCTTGCCAAAGGAATTCTTTTGTGAACATTAATTAAATTTAAAAAGTTATTATATGGGTTTTTTGTAAATTGAGGCTTGCAATAAAAATACAACAAAGTACTCTTAGGGCACAAATCTGTTCTTTAGCAAAATTTGTAAAGAATTATAGAAGGTTTTTGCTTTTTACATTTCTAAGTCATTTGGTTAAAAGATTGATTTAACCTAATTAATTAATTAATTAACATGCTTAGTGATACTGTCTCACTCTGGCCAATCTCAAAATATGCTCAGGTGCTTGCTGAAACCAAAGGGAATATAGAAAGGGTAGTAGAAGAAGGTAGTCATCAATACCAGGTACAACCACTTGATCAGCTGCAAAAGCGAGGGCTGTAACTGTATTTCCTTCTTCTTTTGTTAAAAAAATTTTTTTGTGTTTATACACTCATACTAAGAAAATATCTTTATTTCCTTTTTCCTTCATTATGTGTTATAAGATTTATTGACTTTGCATTAGCACTTAAGTATTATTAACTTTACGTTATGGTATTTGGGTTGGGGATTTCTGCATTTCCAGTTGTGTGAAGAATAGTTGTATTATATTAGGCATACTTGTGACCTTATTATTTTCCTTATTCAAAGATTGTGTATGATCTCAGGAGATATGTGTGGGTTCAAGTTGACAAGGGGTGGACTTGTGATAGTTAATACTAAGTGTCAATGTGGTTAGATTGAAGAATGCAAAGAATTAATCCTTGGTGTCTCTGTGAGGGTGCTGCCAAAGGAGATTAACGTTTGAGTAAGTCAGCTGCAAAAGACAGACCCTCCCTTAATCCGAGTGGGCACCATCTTACTAGCTGCCAGCATAACTAGCTGCTGGCTAGAAAAATATGAAAAGATGAGACTGGCCTAGTCTCCTTGCCTACATCTTTCTTCCATGCTGGATGCTTTCTG
Organism: Homo sapiens; assembly: GCF_000001405.40. Classification (NCBI taxonomy): domain Eukaryota; kingdom Metazoa; phylum Chordata; class Mammalia; order Primates; family Hominidae; genus Homo; species Homo sapiens. The sequence continues at coordinate 25,234,321 of NC_000024.10, forward strand.
TCCTCAAACATCAGGATCCAAGTCCTTTAGTTTTGGGGACCTGGATCAGCTCTCCTTGCTCCTCAGCTTGCAGATGACTTATTATGAAATGTTTGATGAATACAGCCATTCAAACTCTCCCCACAAACAGAGAGAAAGACATTCATCTTAACCTTGGTTTTCAGTTATAAAGAGCATAGATGTGATTCTTACTCTTTAATTTTATAGCCAAAATCTGTTATTATGTAGGTTTGACAGCAGAATGTATACCCTTTCTGTCACTTTCCAAAAACTCAGTGTAAGAATTGGCTGGAAAAAATCTTTTGTAGAGCTCCTGACTGCAGTACAACAAATATCCCTTTAAAAACCTTAAACTCAGGCCTTAAAGAATTTTCCTAAAGTTTAGATGATTCACATAAATATAAAAATATTGAAAAGTCATGAAAGAAACCAACACGAAAAATATAAGGAGAAACAACAAGAACCATTTGAGAAATACTGCAGATCCTTTAATAAGCAGACATTGAATATAACATAACTAGCTTAATGAATTTTAAAAAATGAAACATTAATATTAAAAGTGTGGTCAAGTATTAAAAGATTATCTTAAAGGTTAAGATAGGTCTGAAAATCTGGAGAGAAAATAGAAATTTTAGATGCAATAAATACAATACTTGGAAAGTAAAAACTCAATAGAGCATTTAGAGAACAAAAGTCAGAAACAGTTTAATTCCTTGAAAGGCTTGAATGAGTAAACTTAAAATCAAGAAGAGAATTTTATTCTCAGAAAAGAAAGAAAAATTCATAACCAATAAAATGACTTAAAAATGCTGAAAGATTTTCTAGAACAGAGACTTTCTCTATAAGAAATTTCTGGGAAAGAAAGAGAGGTCATTCTTGAAGAAACCTAGTAAAACAATGGCATGTAGTTATCAAAAACAGTGGATAATAATAATACATTTCATATAATTTAATGAAATAAGATAGAGTTTAAAATATTATATTAAAACATCCAAAATAAAAAAATCAAAATAAAAGATGATAAGGTCTTGAATTTTTCTTAAAGCTGGTAAAGATCTTGATTAGATTTAAACATAATTAAGATATATTTCTTCAAGTCATGACAATATATAAAATGAGGAAAAAATACAACAGTTTAATACAACAAATTTTAAACAGGAGATGAAAGTGAAACCTAAGGACTAGAGCAAATATAAATAAAACTTAAAATTATAAACATATATCTAAATATTTGAATAAAAAGTTTAAATAAACATGCGTACTAAAAATATATATCTTTCTAAAAACTGGAGCTCTGTGCTGCTTATGAAACTTACATCAAACACAAGGCAAGAAACAGTTAATAAATTATGTAAATGGATATACTGGGTAAATTCCATGCCCTAGCAAACACTGCATGTTTTCAGATTTAAAGCAACAATTGATACTAAAGGAAAAATTATGGTAACCTAGATAACAAAACTTTCAGTAGACTAGGAGGATAATACAGTTTTAATCTACACTTCTAAAATATAGACAGCAAAAATTGTTTAAATCATAATATTCCAAGAAATTTAAAAATTAATTAAATAATTTAAACAATTCAATTAATTATTTTAATTAACTTTAAATTAATTGAAATAATTAGTTGATTCAATTAATTATATCAATGAATTACATTATAATGAAACATTTTAATACAACACTCCAAGATTATTGGTTCAGCAGAGGTTAAACTATGTAAGAAGCTATTTAAAAAACTTTATCCAATAGGCAGTTACAGGATATAGTATCTAGCAATGCACATTGTTCTAAAAACTCAGAAACATTTAAAGACATACTATGCCTTAAGGCAAGTCTCAATACATTTCAAAGGTCCATGTATTATCAAGAACACATTCTGATTCCAATACAAACAATTATAAAAATATACATATTTTTAATCATGTAAATTGGAAATACATAATACAGACTTGTTAATAACATATAAAAAACAAAATTTGAAATACAGAACTAAATAATAGTTTAAAATATTAAGTATCAGTACTTTTGGAATCCTGATAAAAGAAAAGTTAGTCATAAAAAAAAGGTTAACGTTTGGTGTTTCATGAAGAAATAAAAAAGGTGGCACTAATATGTGAATCATTTGTTATAGTTAGGAAAGGAAGAAACATGTACACCAAAAGAAAAAAGGCATAAATAAGAAAATAATGAACGAAGAGCAGAAGTTAATCAAATAGAAAAAGAATTAGTTCTTTGAGAAGATAACGAAGCTTACAGATCTCTGACCAGATTCACTGGGGAAAGAAAGAACACATAATATTAAGACATAAAGAAAGGGTATGCTCAGCTAGGCAGCAGAAATTTAGAAATACAGCAGTATTAGAAACATCTTTACACAAACAAATTTTAATTCTTCAGTGAAACAGAAAAGTCTCTACAAAAAAGTCAGTTACCCAAACTAGGAACTAGGAAGAACTAAGAAACTGCACTTACTGTAGCATTTTGAAAAAAAATGTGTCCACATTTAAATTATCCCTATAAAAAAGTATTAGAATCAACTGCTTTTATAGTTGGATTCTACTACACATTCAAGGAAATAAATATTTCTGAGAAGTGAAAAAGAGAAGAAAAACAATCCTAATTAATTTTCAAATGAATAATGTCTTGTTACTACTTTCAAACAAACAGCATAAGAATTAAAAACAAAAAAGATTAATTTTACTTCACAACAATGTGAAAACATGAGCAAAATATAAGCGTATTATTTTGTTTTCACACAGTTGTAAAGAAACACCTGATACTGGGTAATTTATAAAGAAAGGAGACCTAATTGGCTTATAGTTTCTCAGGCTGTGCAGGAGGCATGGCTAGGAGGTCTCAGAAAACTTAAGATTATGTGAGAGGGCCAAGGGAAAGCAAGTGTGTCTTCACATGGTGGCAGGGAAGAGAGTGTAAAGGGTGAAGTGCTGCACATTTTCAAAAAATTCCATCTCATGAGAACTCATTTGCTATCATGAGAACCTAAAGAGAAATTCTGCTCCCATGATCCAATCACCTCCAACCAGGCCCCCCTCCAAAACACGAGGGTTAAAATTCAGCATGAGATTGGGTTAAAACAGAGCCAAACCATATCAATGAGCAAACAAATGTAAGGTTATACATCATAACCACATATCTACACTAAATTTATTTCAAAGAGAAAGGAGGGGCTCAACTTAAGGAAATCTATTTATTTAATGCATCATACGTATATATTAAAGTAGGAAAAAGTATAATTACATCAATGAATACAGAATAAGCATCAAATAAAACAGAATAGCTATTTATAATAAGAGATTAAAGTACAAATAAAGAAAGTGTTCCTTATCAGAAAATACTACCTTCAAAATCAGAAGAAAGACTAGAAGGCTCGCTATTACCATTTCTCTTCAACATTGTCCTGGAGATTTTTAACTTGTAATATGAGACAAATAATACTAATAAAAATACTTTAATATATAAGAATTGGAAAGAAAGAAGTAAAATATTCCTCATCTGTAGATGACATGATTACCTACATGGACAACTTCAAAGAACATACAAATCATATATACTAATAAGAAAACTTAGAAATTTTTCTAGATGTAGTATTAAGATGTCCAAGTTGAAACTACCTACCTATAAGAGAAAGCCACAGGATGGCCAATTACTTGAGTGATAATGGAGGCTTTACTTCCATTGTGAGATGTGTGATATTAAAGTATACATAATGGTCCCTCAGTATCAGTGAGGGATTGTTTCAGGACATCCATGGATACCAAAATCTGCAGATTCTCAATTTCTTGGCATTAGATAATGTAGTATTTGCATATAACTAACTGTCTAGCTCTTAAAGAAGGTAGCCATGATTCACTGCAGTAGGCACTAAAAAGAAGGCCCTTCTATTATCAAAGGAAATTCTCTGGGAAAGAAAACGGCTGAGGCCACATCTAAAGAGGTAACATTGTTACAGGCCACTGGCTAATGTCAGATACTGCACCCATGTTGGGAACACCACACTGTACCCACGAAAAAATTCAATCGGCAGAACAGAAAGGCTTACAAAAGAATCCCTCAGGATGGTTGCTAGAATGCAACAAAACTCTTTCTCCCTGAGGCAATGCAATGAAAAAGAGTTAATCTTTTATATGACTCCTCACTTTTGGGACAGGTCTCAATATACAAGTTATTTTCTCAAATCATTTAAGGAAAGAATCTATTCCAGACTATAAAGAGGACGGCCAGGGCCTATGATCTTTGTGACCGTAACAATCCAGGAAGCTACTCCACACTCCTTCCTCTACTCAAACCTTTACAACATTGAGGGGCATACACTGGAAAGCCTGTCAAATAGAATTTTTTGTTTGTTTGTTTGTTTTTGACAAGGAGTCTCACTCTGTCGCTAAGCTGGAGTACAGGGGCACGATCTCTGTACACTGCAACCTCCACTTCACAGGTTCAGGAGATTCTCCTGCCTCACTCTCCCAAGTAGCTGGTATTACAAGCACGTGCCATCGTGCCCAGCTAATTTTGTATTTTTAGTAGAGATGGGCTTTTGCTGTGTTGGCCAGGATGACCTCAATCTCCTGACCTCGTTATCCACCCACCTTGGCCTCTCAAAGTGCTGGGATTACAGGTGTGAGCCACCAAGCCCAGTCAGCAAATAGGGTTTTATCAGATACAACCATACAGGTGAAGGAAACATTTGCCTGTTTTTATAGACACCTTCACCAAGTGAATTGAGGCTTTTCCCACAAGGACAGAGAAGGCATTATGAGTGTCCAAATTTTTACTTAATAAGATCAACTGTAAAGTTTCAATTACCTGAAAGTCTGCAGAGCGATAATGGAACTACCTTCACAGTTAGAGTGACCCAATAGATTGCATTCAGCTTTAGACGTTACCTATCACCTTCACTCCCCATGGAGTACTCAATCCTCAGGTAAAATAGAAAAATCTAATCATGTTTTGAAAAGACATTAGCTAAGTCATGTCAGGAGACCTCAGAGACCCAGGTTCCTCTCTTAGCCATAGTCTTTATACACATAGGAATGACCCTTAAAATACTTCCCAAAAAATCCACTTGAGGCGAGTTATGTGAGGCCATGTTTAGCTTGGGGTCTCCTGCTTAATAAAGAGATACATAGTTAACTCATAAGTTGACACATATTGTCAACTTAAGCCAGGTTAGAAAACTCCTCCAAGCCTATGGACAAAAAGTATTGTCCCCTCTCACAACACAATTAACTGGCCTCCTATTCAATCATGAAACTTTGTAAACATTTTGAAAGAAGCATCCCCTGAGAATCAATTACAACCAAAACAGAAGGGCCCCTATCAGGTGTTGTTGACTATCCCAGTCCTTTTAAACTTTAGGGCATACCTAGTTGGATACAATTGTCCAGGATTAAACCTGTTTCTTATAAGTTGCAGGCACAAATGGAGGACACTGTAACCTAAATCTAAATTTTTGGAAGATCGCCACTACCTACTTAAAAGTATCAACAGTCATTCATCCAGAATTGGCAACATAATGCTGCCAGTGGGAATAGAGGGTCTTCCTACTAGGGAAGACTGAGAAAAACACAATTGAGCTCCTGAATTTTCTAGAAGAGGAAGGGTATCATTGTCAGTTTCACAATTTTCTGTGAAGAAGGGTATTTCTCTCTTTTTCCACCTTTTTAAAATCTATCTTAGGACCCTTGACAGCTGTATTGTTACTAATTTATTTACTTGTTTGTTTAGCCTCATAGTAAGGTTTGTATCTTGTAGATTACTATATTTCCAGGTGAAAACAACGCTGGCTTAAGGCTTTTGAGTTATCTTATGTACTGACCTGGAGAATTATAATGTTGTTTCTCCCCTTTAGCTCATGCATCCAGAGAAATTTACTTCTCTAGTGCTAGGCAAGGCCAATGCTCATGACTCAGCAGGAAGCAGTTACAGTGCATGGACCTCCTCCCTCCTGCAGCCCCCTTAAGATTAAGGGAAAGTAGTTAATGTCTGAGTGGAGAATGAGGTTGAAGGTGGGACTCAACTCCAGGGGTAGGGCTCACATAGGATCCAGATTGAGGACTAACTAAAACAGGGACTAGGCAGAAGGAGTTTTCAACCAGACATGCCCACCAGTCTGCCGTGTCATTTTACCATTGCCGCTACAACACACAGGAGGTACCACCCTTCTATGGCAATGATCCAATGATTACCACCCCTTCCCTATAAATTTCTGCACTTCTGCAATAATCCATGCATTTAAAAGCAAATATAAATATGACTGCAAAATATCCCTGACCTGTTCCTCTCTTGCTATGGTGTAACCCTGTTCTGAAAGACGAGTCACAGAGCTGTAACACTGCAAGAGCTGTAATTCTGTCTCATTGTGTCCGGAATTGGTAGGTTCTTGGTCTTGCTGACTTCAAGAATGAAGCCGCGAACCCTCACGATGAGTGTTACGGTTCTTAAAGATGGTGTGTCTGGAGTTTTTTCCTTCAGATGTTCAGATGTGTCTGGAGTTTCTTCCTTCTGGTGGGTTCATGGTCTCACTGGCCTCAGGAGTGAAGCTGCAGACCTTCGTGGTGCTCATACAAGTGGCACAGACACTAAGAGTGAGCAACAGCAAGACTTATTGTGAAGAGTGAAAAAACAAAGCTCCCACAGAATGGAAGGGGACCCGAGCAGGCTTCCACTGCTGGCTCAGGTGGCCTGCTTTTATTCCCTTATCTGGACCCACCCACATCCTACTGATTGGTCCATTTTACAGACATCTGGTTGGTCCATTTTACAGAGAGCTGATTGGTCCATTTTGACAGCCTGCTGATTGGTGCGTTTACAATCCTTTAGCTAGACACAGAGTGCTGATTGGTGTGTTTACAATCCTTTAGCTAGACAGAAAAGTTCTCCAAGTCCCCACCAGATTAGCTAGACACAGAGCGCTGATTGATGTGTTTACAAACCTTTAGCTAGATACAGAGCACTGATTGGTGCATTTACAATCCTTTAGCTAGACAGGAGGCCAGCAGAAGGAGCCAGTCCCAGCCTCAACCAGCCCCAGAGAGGGGCCCCCACAGGGCAGTGGCCAGTTGAAAGGCTCCTCAAGCAGAGCCAGAGCGGATGCTGAGGTGAAGGAAGCACCAAGAGCGAGCGAGGGCTGCTAGTATGTTGTCACTTCTCAATCCCCCCTCTAAACAGGACACCCCAACTGCTGTTGGGAATTTGGCCAATGACCACTCTAGCTACTCACTGCTGGATAGAGGTGAAGAAAGGGCCCTTCAGTTGTAGTGTCCTCCAGAGGGGAACGCTTTAGGCCAGTGGAAGGGCCAGCGTGTTGGTCCAGGGGTCCTCAGTAGAAGTTGTTAGTTGAGCTCATTTGGGTTTCCATTTGTAAGACCATCTGTAGCTTCTTGGCCTCAATTCCAAGGAAACAAATTTGAGAAGCAGGTTAAAAATACAGGGTCCAAAGGTGAGTAAAAGCAAGATGGCTGCCACAGGACCTAGAAAGCGGAGAAGCCATGTTGCCCAACTAGAGAGGTTGGTATGAGTTTGAAAGGCATTGTCTGATTTCAGAAACCATTTCCTATAAATGCTGGGTGGCATCTCGTACTATCCCTGATGGCTTAGTGTAAAAACAACACTCTTCCCCTAAGAAGGTGCAGAGTCCTCCTTTCTCAGCAGTGAGGAGGTCTAGGCTTCAGCGGTTTTGGAGAGTCACTGCAGCTAAAGAGTCTATTTGGGATTGCAGAGTAAGGATAGGTTCGTTATTTCTTACAAACCGCCTGAGAAATCCTTTGAGAGTATGTGGCAGTAGGATAATGAAGTAGATATACTGGCTCTTCTGGTTCCTGTAGCAGTAGCCATTCCTAACCCTATAAGTAGGTGGTATTTGTTGTATGGCCCTGTGCTGATGGACTTGAGCTTTGAGGGGTACTGATAAGTTTTGATTTCCTGGGGCAATGTTAATGTTGGAAGTTAGAAAGACTAAGTGCAGCTGTCTGTCCACTTAGTGGGGAGGCAGATATAGGTCGATGTTCCACATAAGAAGAATATACCTTGGCTGGGTAGACAGAACTGGTTGTGTATGTTAAAAAGGTGTGTGAATTTGTTGTTTTCTTTTTCCCATACTCCTAGAGTACTTGCCAAGGTAGCTCCAGTGACTGGCTGGCAAGGGGTGTTGGGAGAAAACTGAATGGCTCCCTGTGTTCTATTTTCCCATTGGAGAAAAAAACGTTTTGTATCCACTAGGAACAATTTGAGAGAGTGATTGAAAGAGGGGATGAGAAGGCATTCACTAGTGGTGGGGGCACTGCTGCAGGGGGCCCAGGGGTGAATGATCATGCAGGGAGTATGTTTGCCATTACAAAACCTGGACCGTTTGTTAAGCAGGGAGGCAGTGATGATTTTGGGGCCCTGAGAAGCAGACAAGCTGTCTGAATGGAGCTGTTTGGGTTACTATGATCAGTTGGGGCTTGAAGTTGTAGGGTGTAATTACACTGATGGGGTAGTAGGTGCCCCAGGGGCAGGCTCATAAGAGGTTGCATTGGCTGCATAAAGGAGCTTGGAAAGTTAAGATAGTATTCATAGCTACAGGGCCATGTATGGGCTTTTCATTGCTTGCATAATAGGTGTGGTTGGAAATCTAAGAACGTAAAAGTTGGATTGCACATCCTGTTAGGGTATTCTTGATCCTATCAGAGATGGGGAAGTTGGCTAACGATTGCATATTTAGAAGTCAGAAAGGGTCTTTTCCTTCATAACAAGGGTGGTAGGTTAAGTTGGTAAAGATGCAATTTTTGGCAGGAATGGGAGTGGCAACATAAGAAGAGGTTGATAGGGAGACACAAAGCCAACAGTCATTTGCCAGGGAAGGACTGGACTGGTTTAACAGAGACTGGGTTAAGTTGAGAGTCTTGTAGAGGAAATTAGGAAAAAGTGGAAGGGGAGGGATGATTATATGAGGTATCCAAGGAAGCAGGAGGGATGCATAGGCAAAGAGCAAATAGGAAGGTAAAGAGGATGCTCTGGAAGAAGAGATCATTTTCTCGAGTCTGAGTTAAAGGTAGGAGTAAATTGCTGTTAAAAGAAGAAAGATGGAAGGTTGATGTGATTAGCATTTTCGTACTGGCAGGAGCTAGAGTATATAATCCTATCACAAAGAGTATGGTTAGTGTGTTGTTTTCACTTATCTTTTTTAAGCAGGAAGGAGTTTTTCCTCAGGATCAGTGGTAGGAGCCTTTTTAGTGTGGGATGTTTCCTTCTGAAATAGAAGATGCAAGTCCTCCAATGGTTCACAGGTGTATCGAGGCTGGTCTGGCTGATCTTGGGACTCCTGAGCTGACGGTTCCACAGGTTCCTCAGGGGACGTCCAAAGTTTAACTCAGGTGTGGTAATCCAAGTTTCCATTCCTGCCACCTTAATCGCAGTGAGAGTAGAGAGGATTACCGAGTATGGTCCTTCCCACAAAGAGTTGAAACAACTCTGTTCCCTTTTCTCTGTGACATCCTTCAGGTAGGTTTTTAAGGTTTTGTTGATATTTTGACAAAGAAGTTATATCTTTGACCAAGTAGGCCATTTCCTGATCCAGTAGGGGGTCTTTTGTGAGAAAAGATCGTCCATACAGCATTTCATATGGACTGAGCCCCATTTTGTGAGGAGAATTTAGGATTCTCAACAAGGCAATGGTCAAAATAGCTAGGCCATGGGAGATGTGTTTCTTGTGTTAGTTTCCTTAAGTGTCTCTTAAGTGTTTCATTTGCCTTCTTGACCTTCCCTGAGGATTGTGGCCTCCAGGCACAGTGAAGGTGATATTGTATCGCTAGCACCCTGGAAATTCCTTGAGTTATCGCAGCCTTAAAAGCCAGACAATTTTCACTCTGTAAGCTTTGGGGAAGCCCAAATATAGAAATTATTTCATGAATTAGGAGTTTAATCACTTCCTAAACCTTCTCTGTCTTGCAGGGGAAAGCTTCTATCCAATCTGTAAAGGCATCAACACAGACCAACAAGTATTGAAATCCCTTTGAGTTAGGCATATGGGTGAAATCTAACTGCCAGTCCTTTCCAGAATAGTGACCTATTCTTTGCTCCCCCAAAGGGGTCTTACTATGGATGAAGGGATTATTCCTTTGGCACACCTAACAGGCTTTGACTACCTGTTGGATGGTTTGGAGAAGATTTGGCCCTGTAAATAGGGATTTGGCCATTTGATGAGTGTTTTCAATACCCATATGTAAAGTTTGGTGGAGGGTTTTACGTATTTTCCACTGGCTGGCTTTGGGTATAAGTACCTTTCCTTCTTCTGTAGCCAACCTGAGGGGAGAAAACTATGCCCCCATGAAATTCCCCACTCTGCTTCAGGTGGGGAATACTGAGGCTTAATCTCTTGGTGGGGGTTTGTTCCATACTAAGGGTCCTTCCATAGGTATTTCTAAAGGGGGATTCTGCCTGGCAGGAATTTTGGCCTCAGAATCAAACCAACAGTTTCCTTCTGACTTTTCTCCTTCACCTTTCTGATGGTTTTGGCAGTGTAAGACTGCCACCTCTTTGGGTTTTTCCACTGCATGCAATAACTGTATAATTTCCTTGTGGTATTTAATGGGGGTCCTCACAGAGGTTAGGAACTCCCTTTCTTTCCATATTGCAGCATGGGCATGTAGGATTAGATAACCGTACTTGCTATCTGTGTACACATTTACTCTTTTTCTTTTTCCCAGTTCTAAGGCTCGGGTAAGTGTCATTAGTTCTGCTAACTGGGCACTGGACCCTGCAGAAACAGGCTTACTTTCAAGTAAGGTTAGTTCACTAACTATAGCATAACCTGCCCTTCATATCCTGTTCTTCACTAATGAACTTCGATCGGTACATAGGTTAAGGTCAGGATTAGCTAAGGGGACTTCTAAGAGATCATCTCGGGTGGCATAAGTCTGGACTATAATTTGTTGGCAGTCATACTCGATGGAGTCCCCATCCTCTGGGATAAAAGTGGCAGGGTTGAGGGCCACACACATATGTATTTGAAGAACTGGTCCCTCAAAGAGTAGCACCTGATGTCTAAGTAGGCAGTTTCCTTATAGCCATACACTTCCTTTGGTACCTAGTATGCCATTTACATCATAAGCAGTACAGACAGTGAGATTCTTTCCTTGTATTATTTTGATAGCCTCTGACACTAAGACCACCACCACTGCAACTACTCATAAACAGTGAGGCCAGCCTTTTGCTACTTCATCAATTACCTTACTTAGATATGCCACTGGTTGTGGGGTTGTCCCACGAGTCTGAGTAAGGACTCCAAGAGTGATCCCTGCTCTCAGTGATGTATAAAGAGCAGTTTTATCCTTTGGAAAGGCTTAAAGCTGGAGCTTGTACTAGGGCCTGCTTTAAGGTTTTGAAGACTATTTCTGCCTCTTCTTCCCATTCTACTAGATGAGCATTTGCTCTCTGGGTCTCCTTGACTAGAGTATAGAGGGGCCAGGCTAACTTGCCGTTTCTGGGGATCCATAGTCAGCAAAAGCCAGTGACTCTAAGGAACCCTCATAACAGTTCTAAGGTCTTAGGGTGAGGATGAGCCAGTATAGGCTGTCTTCATTCCTTGCTGAGGGCCCTGGTCCCTCTGGCTAAGACTAGGCCTAGATATTTGACCTGCTGTAGGCAAAGCTGGGCCTTTGACCTAGACACTTTGTATCCTTGATTAGCTAGAAATTTCAAGAGATCTAGAGTAGCCTGCTGGTATGAGGCTTCTGAAATGGTAGCCAAAAATAAATCATCCACATACTGAAGGACCAGAGTGCCTGGACTTGAGAAGTGGCCTAGATCTTGGGCCAATGCCTGATCAAACAGATGAGGGCTATCTTTAAATCCTTGGGTCTAGACTGTCCATGTAAGTTGGAATGTGTGATCTTGCAGGATCCTCAAAGGCAAAGAGAAACTGCGAGTCAGAGTGCAGGGGAATACAGAAGAAGGCATCCTTGAGGTCCAGAACAATGAACCATTCTGCTTCTTCTGGTATTTGACAGAGCAGGGTATAGGGTTTGGGTACAACCGGATATAGAGGAATTAGTGCCTCATTGATGAGTTTAAGATCTTGCACTAATCTTCACTGACCATTTGGTTTTTGTATTCCTAGAACTGGGGTGTTGTAGGGACTGCTGCATTTCCTTACTAAGCCTTCAGCTTCTAAATGTTTAACAATATCCTGTAATCCTTTATGAGCTTCAGGCCTTAAGGGATATTGCCTTTGACAAGGAAAAGTGGTGGGATCTTTTAGCCTGATTTGGACTGGGTGAACATATTTTGCCCTTCGAAATTGTCCTTCCAATGCCCAGACTTCAGGGTTGATTCCCTCCTCAAGTAGGGGACAACAAATGAGTAATTTACTCCCCATATTCATGTAGATAATGGCTCCAGCTTTGGCTAATATATCCCTCCCTAGTAAGGGTGCAGAACTTTCAGGCATAACAAGAAAGGCATGTGAAAAGAGCAGCCTCCCAATTACAATTAAGGAGGTGGGAGAAATACCTGGTTACAGGATGTCCCAGGATTCCTTGGATGGTAACGGACCTTGAGCACAGTCATCCAGGACAGCAGATTACCACTGAGAAGGCTGCACCAGTGTCCAGAAGGAAGTCAATTTCCTGGCCACCAATGGTTAAGCATATCCAGGGCTCAGTGAGGGTCGCAACGTGAGCTGACACTTGCCCAGGGCACCCTCATTCCTGTTGTTGGATTATCTGGTTGGGGGCCTCTGACCTAAAGAACCTTTGTCCTCTGGGGCAGTGCACCTTCCAGTGATTGTCTCAGCATAGCGGACATGGATTACGGGGTGGCTTGTTCCTCATTGGACAATCTTTTTTAAAGTGTCCTTGTAAACCACACTGATAACAACCGCTACCAGGTGATTGGCCTGCTCCATTTTCTGTCCTCTCTGAACCAGCAAGGTTTGTCTGTCTGAGGTCCATGACTAAGGCTGCGGCCTTTCTCTGATCCTGCTTTTCCTTTTGGGCCTGTTCCTCTTAGTCGTTATTATAGAACATGGAGGTTGCCAGGTTTAATAATGCCTCTAGATTTTGTTCAGGGCCAAGGGCTTGCTTTTGCAGCCTTCTCCTGATATCTGTGGCTGATTGGGTAATAAACTTATCTTTTAGAATCAATTGACCCTCAAGTGATTCGGGTGACAGGGGAGTATATTTTCATAAGGCCTCCCATAGCCACTCAAGGAAGGCAGAAGGATTTTCTTCCTTTCCCTGAGTTATGGTGGACATCATTGAATAATTCATGAGATTTTTCCTAATTCTCCTTAGTCCTTCTAGAACACAGGTCAACAGATGTTTACGACTCCAGTCCCCCTGATCTGAGTCAAGATACCAGTGGGGATCCATACTGGGGATGGCTTGCTGACTGGTAGGGATTTTTTCCCTTTCTTCAGCTGTCATTCTATCACTTACTTGGCTAAGATACCAGGTATCTCCAAACTCGGGCTGCTGCTAAAGACACATTCTTTTCATTAAAGGCCAGGCTTTTGCCTAACAGTAGCATAACATCTCTCCAAGCGAGGTCAAAGGTTTGCCCTAGACTCTGTAGGACATCTATGTACTTATCGGGATCATCTGAAAACTTCCCCAGGTCTGCCTTGGTCTGCTTTAAGTCAGAGAGGGAGAAGGGTACATGTATCTGAGTTGGACCAAATTCCCCTTCCCCTAGAGCTTGTAGGGGGCATAACTGATAGTCTGGAGGGTTTGGGGTCCTTTGGAGATTTCTTTGCTTATTTCCTTCTGGGCAGGGGAGATAAGAGGAGGCTTATCATTAATAAGAAGGGGAGCTGTAGGGAGGCTAGGATATGGGGGTAAGCTGAAATGTCCTCCTGTGGGGTGTAAATTGCAAACTTTGCATAGTTGTGTATTCTCCTTCAATGAAAAGAAAGCTTGGACATAAGGCATTTCACTCCATTTGCCTTCCCTCTTACAAAAGAGGTCAAGCTGTAGGATAGTATTGTCATTTGTACTTCCCTCAGGTGGCCATTTTTCCCCATCAGAGGGAGAATATTGGGGCAAGCCAAAGTGCAGAAAAAAATGAGCCACCTACTTTTCAGGATTGGTGTGTCAAATTGGTACCATTGGCTTAGGATGCATTTCAAGGGTGAACCTCTTGATGCCGGAGTGTTTTCCATCTGAAAGGCAAAACTGCCTATGGTTTTGTTCTGTTTTGTTTCTCCCCCTGCCCAAGAACCCACAATGGTCCCTGGACACTGCTGATCAGAATAGTTGTGCTCACTGATGCAGCAGGAGGGACAATGCCTGCTCAAGATCCCACAACAGTCCCTGGACCCTGCTGATCAGAATAGTTGCACTCACCAATGCAGCAGCAGAAACACTAGTTTTCCTCCAAGACCACAAGGAGGAGTGAAGAAGGTCAGATTTAGTGGCCCTTTCTGATGCATTTTGGGAAAGCTGCACCCTTGCCTGTCCTCCTAGACCACAAGGAGGACCAGAAAAAATTGGATTTAGTGGCCCTTACTGATGCATTCTCAAAAACCTGTTAGAGTCCTAAGCATTCTCCTCTTAGTACTGGGACCTTATCTGTGTCCTATAAAGATATTATGCCCCAAAAAAGAAGTGGAGGTCCATAACCTGAGGGAAGGAAATGATCTCCAGGTTTGGAAGTGTGACACCTTTTGTCCTCACTTATGTGAATAAGAAGGATACAATTTCTGAGGCTCCCCATATCCTAGCTTCAGCAATAGCTTTTGTTAGGCCTGCTAGTCTGAGGTGGGATCCTAAAATTCCAGATATTTCCCCCTGCAATGGGGCTTTGGGCAAAAAATATGTTTTTCTGATTGGTGAGCCCAGGTGCCTGAGGAAGGTAACAGAGTCCTGAAGCTTACACTAGAAATCATATTATAGCAGAAACTAAGGAAGCACCAGAGACAGGGAATGGTTTTTAGAAGTGGGGCTAGCCTCAGAGAAAAGTGGCAAGAGGAAGTTTGTCTGGCAGGCATTAGGACCCAGGGGCAAGTGTCAAGATAGATAAGATAGATGGACGAGTCTCTCTTGGGCAACATGCCTTTGAGAGTTCTGCTCATGGCTGCAGGGTCAACCAACTTGTTGTCAGGACCCTGGAGCCGAATGGCTTTCCTCTCTGTCAACCCTTGGCTTGGCCCAGAATTACAGGAAAAGTGGAAGCTGGTTTGAGGCAAACCAACGCTCCCAACTCCAAAGAGTCGGGGGTTGTTAGAGAGCCCTTTTCAGAAAGGCTGACACCCGTGTCTTTAGTCCAGCAGCCACGCTAGTTGCTTTTAACTGGCCGAAAGGTGCCCAATATTTAGCCCCAGAATTCTAGGGAAAAATAGCACATAATAGCAAGAGAAAGGGGTCTGATGGTACTCACCACTTGGCAGTAGGTGATGATCTCACCAATAGGCGATGGTCTTACCACTTGCTGATAGTCTCACTGCTTGGTGATAGGCGATAGTACCTTTGTGATTGCCAAAATGCGTCTGGAATTGATGGGTTGTTGGTCTCACTGACTTCAAGAATGAAGCTGCCAACCCTAGTGGTGAGTGTTACCGTTCTAAAAGATGGTGTGTCTAGAGTTTGTTCCTTCAGATGTTCAGATGTGTCCAGAGTTTCTTGCTTCTGGTGGTCTCACTGACTTCCGGAGTGAAGATGCAGACCTTCGCGGAGACTGTTACAGCTCTTAAAGGCAGCTTGTCTGGAGTTGTTAATTCCTCGTGGTGGGTTCATGATCTCACTGGCCTCAGGAGTGATGCTGCAGACCTTCACGGTGAGCTAATAAAGGTGATGTGGGCCCAAGTAAGGAGCAGCAGCAAGATTCATTGCAAAGAGCGAAAGAACAAAGCTTCCACAGCATGGAAGGGGACCTGAGTGGATTGCCACTGCTGGCTCGGGTGACCTGCTTTTATTCCCTTATCTGGCCCCACCTACATCCTAATGATTGGTTCATTTCACATAGAGCTCACTCGTCCATTTCACAGAGAGCTGATTGGTCGGTTTTCTCAGAGTGCTTATTGGTGCATTTACAATAACTTAGCTAGACAGAGTGCTGATTGGTGCATTTACAATCCTTTAGCTAGATACAAAAGTTCTCCAAGTTGCCACCAGATTAGCTAGACACAGAGCTCTAATTGGTGCATTTACAAACCTTTAGCTAGACACAGAGTGCTGATTGGCACATTTACAATCCTTAAGCTAGGCAGAAAAGTTCTCCAAGTCCCCATCTGACCCAGAAGCCCAGCTGGCTTCACCTCTCAATGGAACTCACTGGGGACTTTGTGGCATCTAGCCCAGGCACTCCAGCAGCCCAGAGGGAGCTCATCCTCTGATCAAGCCCAGCAGGTGCTGGCCAGCTTCGCTGAGTGTGGGGCCCACCCAGCCTGCACCCACATGGAACCAATGTCAGCCCAGGAGTGCCATGCACAGCCCTGGCTCCCACTGGCACCTGTCCCTCCACACCTCCCCGTGAGCAGAGGGAGCTGGTTCCACCCTCAGCCAGCCACAGAGAGGGGCCCCCACAGTGCAGTGGCAGGCTGAAGGGCTCCTGGAGCACAGCCAGAGCAGACTCCGAGGCCGAGGAGGCACCAAGAGCAAGCGAGGGCTGCTAGCACATTATCACCTCTCATCATCAGCTAAGCTATTTTTTTTTTCTACTTCTGGTTTGACATTGAATTCTTTCCTGAACAAAGCCAAGAAACCAGGAGGCTTAGCTCTGTTTGCGGCTTGCCTCTCCTGCATTGTGTCTACTATTCCATTCCAAGATTTAGTAAACTACAAATTAAGCAGATGAAGTGAATACAATTACTTTAAATGCAAAAGTTAAAGGTCACCAAAAAATTCAACAATCAACACTAAGAATACTTTTTAATGCAATGTTTTCATAATCCAAAATAATGCATAATCATAAAAAAGTATTATAATATTTTTAAAGATGGCACATTATTGATTCTTTATTTTGCTTAATGCTTCAGTATTCCTTAGCATAGCATTCATATTGATACTGATCTTATCTTTCCATAAAATATTTTGTCCAACATTTAATTTTTATTAATAATTATTTATGACGATTGCTCTGAAATACAGATCTTAATTACTGAGGCTTTTAAATCAATAAATCTTAGTAGAGTAGTTTTAGCCTTATAACAAAATTGAGAAGCAAGTAAAGAAAGCTCCCTTACACCCTGTGCCCACATGTACAACCTTCCCCACTATCAATATCTCTAATGAGACTGGTATGTTTGTTACAATTCATAAACCTACATCAACACTTTATCATTCAATATCTGCAATTTACATTAGGACTCATTTTTACTGTTGCACATTCTATGAGTTTTGACAAACATGTAATAAAATATATCCAAAATTATAGTATTATGTAGAATAGTTTCAGTATTGTATACTCTAATAATTACCTGAGTTGTGCCTATTTATTGTACTCTCCCTTGTAAATCATTGTGACCACTAATCTTTTTACTTCTTCAATAATTTTTTTCTAGATTGCCATATATTTGAAATAATATGTGTAGCATTTTCTGATTTGCTTATTTCACTTGTAAATATACATTTAATTTCCTTCCATGTCTTTTCATGACTTGAAAGCTCATTTTTTTCAGTGCTGAACAGTGTTAGATAAATAGTCCATAAACCACAGTTTATCCACTTAACTACTATACAACATGTCCATATGCAAATTTTGATGTAAACATGTTTTTAGTTTAGTTGGAAAAATTCCAAGAAGCAAGACCGCTGGATGAGATTGAGAGAGTGTTTAGTTTTGTTAAAACAAAACAAAGCCTACCAGACATTCTTCTAAATTTGCTGTTATCAGTTTTTAGAATTTTTGCTATTTAATGTTTAATTTATTATCACATTCACAACTACCCAATAATATATGATGGTTATCATCCTTTCATATGCTCATTCCCTTAGTCTTAACTATTGGGGAGGCAAAGGAAAAGGATACGTGAGACTTGGAATTGGGAGGCTGCAGTGAGCTATGATGGAACCACTGCACTACAGCCCGGGGACAGAGACCCTGTCTCAAAAAAAAAAAAAAAAAAAAAAAGAGCAAACAAAAGAAGAAAAGAAGGAAGGAAGGGAGAAAGGAAAAGAAAGAGTAGACAAGGGAAGGGAAGGAAAAAAGAAAAAGAAAAAAGGGAAATGAAGAAGGAATAATTTGTCAGCAAAATAGTGATGCCTAAGCAGGTTTTTCAGGTTTATTCCCTAGGATTCATTATATACGAGTTTGGTATTTAGTGTGTTTACTTGTTTTGTTTTGTTTTTGAGACTGGGTCATGCTGTATCACCCAGTCCAGAGTGCAGTGGCATGATCTTCGCTTAGTACAAACTCCACCTCCTGGGTGTAAAGGATTCTCCCAGCTCACCACCTGTAGGGGGGACCACAGTCTCATGCCACTACTCCCAGCTAATTGTATGTGTTTTTGGTAGAGACAGAGTTTCACCTTTTTGCCCAGGCTGGCCTGGAACACCTGGCCTCAAGTCATCTGGCTCCCCTTGGCCTCCCAATGTGCTGGAATTACAGGCTTAAGCCAACAACCTGGGCCTACAGATAGGGTTTTTCTTTCCAAACAATTCTTGATAAATCATGTGTTTTCTGAAATTATCTGTCATCTTATTTTCCACATCACTATAATAGTGCAAAGATTTCTTATAATTCTTTCATGTTTCTTTCTCTTGTTAAATTATTCTCTTGTTATTCTTTCAATGTGTGTGTGTGTGTGTGTGTGTGTGTGTATGTGTGTGTGTACTCATGCATGTGTGTTTCTTCATTTCCTTGTCTTCCTTGTTTAGGCATGTCTAAGTGTAAGTATATAATAATATAATTAAACAATTGGGTGTTTTACTTGATGTGAAACATCAGAAGCAACACAATTTTTTAAATATATTTTGTGTAGCTTTGACCAGTCACTAAGGAAAGCAGGATTGCAAGTAAACCTCTAGGTCTCACTGAATATAAATGTAATTACAATTCTATAGATTTTTTAGCCCTAAACTATGTTGCACATAGTGAGCTCAGTAAATTTTAATCTTATGATACTAATATCCAGTAGATACCGTTATTATATTCTCTTTGCTGATTGGGTAAATTTCAAAGATTAAGCAGTCTAACTTCACACAGCTATTAAGTGGTGAAGGTTAGATTTTTCTTGGTTTGCCAAACTTTATATTGTACAAATCACCACATGCATTATACCATCTGGTAGACACCAAGCTTTTGGTCAAATGATTTTTAACCGCTGCCCTAAAAAAAGTAGCCTATTTGCATGGCAAGCAAGATGTTTCGTGATCTTGCACTCTCTCCCTGTGTCCACTTGATCTTTGTGTATTTAGTGACATTCCTTGATCTTTGTGTATTTAGTCCTATTTCACTGATCACAAAAAAAGGCAGGTTATTCCACCGAGTAGATTTTTACTTGTAACATTGCATGTTTCTGCATATCCTCCCAGTAAATATAATTCTGTATTTGTGTTTTTGCTTTTCCTTCCACCACATGGATTATAATGACTCCATTCATCTTCACATGTTTTATCTCTGCCTAGAAAATGTTTCTTGGAAGTATATGTAATAGATTAAAAATCATTTTCAATCTTGTTTTTTACAATGTCTTTATAAGAGACAGTTTTCTTTAAGAAGAAAATATTTATAGAGGGAAGGTTTGTTGGTTTAAATCAATTTTTTTAGTAATAGATTCCTAAAACTGTGTACCTTTTAAAGGCTTGTAACTTAAGTTTCCTGTTTTGCAAATTAGGCCTAACAAAAATTATACGAATGTTATGGGACTTCTAAAAATGAACTTGGTGTAAAATATATGTAGATATTTTATCAAAGAGGTTGATCCTTATCATTATTTAGAAAATGACATTATGTGTATCCTCTTTTAAAAAAATACTGAGACATTTTCTCATACATCTTATGGCATCAACCATAATGTATAATTTACATATCTATTTTTCCTGTGCTGTAGTCTCACTAGCTAACTTACTAATTATTTGTATTAGTTAACAATTAAGTATATACTACTCAGTTACATATAACATTAATAAATGCATTCCATCAAGTAAATATCAATGAATACAAAGGGAACAATTATCTGTTCAAAATGGAAAAAGGGTAACAATAATGTAGAGAGAGCCATAGTCAAATCAATGTTCTTCTGCTAAGAATGTGACAAAAAGAATATGAGAAGAAAATGCTACAGTGGGTTTTGGTAAGAAAGAAACTAACAGGGGGTGGTTACAAGATGGCCAAATAGGAGCAGCTCTGGTCTACAGCACCCAGCGTGAGTGATGCAGAACGTGGATGATTTCTGCATTTCCAACTGAGGTACCAGGTTCATCTCACTGGTGATTGTCAGAGAGTGGGTGCAGGACAGTGGGTGCAGTGCACTGAGCATGAGCCAAAGCAGGGTGAGGCATTGCTTCACCCAGGAAGCTCAAGGGGTCAGGGAATTCCCTTTCCTAGCCAAGGAAAGGGGTGACAGAGGGCACCTGGAAAACAAGGTCACTCCCACCCTAATACTGCACTTTTCCAATGGTCTTAGCAAATGGCACACCAGGAGATTATAACCTGTGCCTGGCTCAGAGGGTCCTACACCAATGGAGCCTCACTCATTGCTAGCACAGCAGTCTGAGATCAAACTGCAAGGCAGCAGCGAGGCTGGGGAAGGGGTTCCCACCATTGCTGAGGCTTGAGCAGGTAAACAAAGTGGCTGGGAAGCTCAAACTGGATGGAGCCCACCACAGTTCAAGGAGGCCTGCCTGCCTCTGTAGACTCCACCTCTGGGGGCAGGGCATAGCCCAACAAAAGGCAGCTGAAACCCCTGCAGACTTAAATGTCCCTGTCTGACAGCTTGGAAGACAGTAGTTCTTCTCCCAGAATGCAGCTTGAGATCTGAGAACGGACAGACTGCCTCCGCAACTGGGTCCCTGACCCTCGAGTAGCCTAACTGGGAGGCACCCCCCAGTAGGGGCAGACTGACCCCTCATGTGGTCAGGTACCCCTCTGAGACAAAACTTCCAGAGGAACAATCAGGCAGCAACATTTGCTGTTCACCAATACCCACTGTTCTGCAGTCTCCGCTGCTGATACCCACACACACAGAGTCTGGAGTGGACCTCCGCAAACTTCCACCAACCTGCAGCTGAGGGTGGTGATTGTTAGAAGGAAAACTAACAAACAGAAAGGACATCAACACCAAAACCCCATCTGTACGTTATCATCATCAAAGACCAAAGGTAGATAAAACCACAAAGATGGGGAAAAAGCAGAGCAGAAAAACTGAAAATTCTAAAATCAGAGTGCCTCTCCTCCTCCAAAGGAATGCAACACCTCACCAGCAATGGAACAAAGCTGGATGGAGAATGACATGACAAGTAGAGAGAAGAAGGCTTCAGATGATCAAACTTCTCTGAGCTAAAGGAGGAAGTTCAAACCCATGGCAAAGGAGTTAGAAACCTTGAAAAAAGATTAGACAAATGGCTAACTAGAATAACCAAGGCACAGAAGTCCTTAAAGGAACTGATGGAGCTGAAAGCCATGGCACAAGAACTACGTGATGAATGCACAAGCTTCAGTAGTCGAGTCAATCAAATGGAAGAAAGGGTATCAGTGATGGAAGTTCAAATGAATGAAATGAAGCAAGAAGAGAAGTTTAGAGAAAAAAGTATGAAAAGAAATGAACATTTCTCTGATGGCCAGTGATGGTGAGCATTTTTTCATGTGTTTTTTGGCTGCATAAATGTCTTCTTTTGAGAAGTGTCTGTTCATGTCCTTCGCCCACTTGTTGATGGGGTTGTTTGTTTTTTTCTTGAAAATTTGTTTGAGTTCATTGTAGATTCTGGATATTAGCCCTTTGTCAGATGAGTAGGTTGCGAAAATTTTCTCCCATTTTGTAGGCTGCCTGTTTACTCTGATGGTAGTTTCTTTTGCTGTGCAGAAGCTCTTTAGTTTAATTAGATCCCATTTGTCAATTTTGGCTTTTGTTGCCATTGCTTTTTGTGTTTTATGCATGAAGTCCTTGCCCATGCCTATGTCCTGAATGGTAATGCCTAGGTTTTCTTTTAGGGTTTTTTATGGTTTTAGGTCTAACATTTAAGTCTTTGATCCATCTTGAATTAATTTTTGTATAAGGTGTAAGGAAGGGATCCAGTTTCAGCTTTCTACATATGGCTAGCCAGTTTTCCCAGCACCATTTATTAAATATGGAATCCTTTCCCCATTGCTTGTTTTTCTCAGGTTTGTCAAAGATCAGATAGTTATAGATAAGTGGCATTATTTCTAAGGGCTCTGTTGTGTTCCATCGATCTACGTCTCTGTTTTGGTACCAGTACCATGCTGTTTTGGTTACTGTAGCCTTGTAGTATAGTTTGAAGTCAGAAAGCGTGATGCCTCCAGCTTTGTTCTTTTGGCTTAGGATTGACTTGGCGATGTGGGCTCTTTTTTGGTTCCATATGAACTTTAAAGTAGTTTTTTCCAATTCTGTGAAGAAAGTCATTGGTAGCCTGATGGGGATGGCATTGAATCTAGACATTACTTTGGGCAGTATGGCCATTTTCACGATATTGATTCTTCCTACCCATGAGCATGGAATGTTCTTCCATTTCTTTGTATCCTCTTTTATTTCATTGAACAGTGGTTTGTAGTTCTCCTTCAAGAGGTCCTTCACGTCTCTTGTAAGTTGGATTCCTAGGTATTTTATTCTCTTTGAAGCAATTGTGAATAAGTATTCACTCATAATTTGGCTCTCTGTTTGACTGTTATTGGTGTATAAGAATGCTTCTGATGTTTGTACATTGATTTTGTATCCTGAGACTTTGCTGAAGTTGCTTATCAGGTTAAGGAGATTTTGGGCTGAGATGATGGGGTTTTCTAGATATACAATCATGTCATCCATAAACAGGGACAATTTGAATTCCTCTTTTCCTAATTGAATACCCTTTATTTCCTTCTCCTGCCTAATTACCCTGGCCAGAACTTCCAACACTATGTTGAATAGGAGTGGTGAGAGAGGGCATCCCTGTCTTTTGCCAGTTTTCAAAGAGAATGCTTCCAGTTTTTGCCAATTCAGTATGATATTGGCTGTGGTCTTGTTATAGATAACTCTTATTATTTTCAGATGCATCCCATCAATTCCTAATTTATTGGGAGTTTTTAGCATGAAGCATTGTTGAATTTTGTCAAAGGCCTTTTCTGCATCTATTGAGATAATCATGTGGTTTTTGTCTTTGGTTCTGTTTATATGCTGGATTACATTTATTGATTTGCATATATTGAACCAGCCTTGCATCCCAGGGATGAAGCCCACTGGAGAAATGCAAATCAAAACCACAATGAGATACCATCTCACACCAGTTAGAATGGAGATCATTAAAAAGTCAGGAAACAACAGGTGCTGGAGAAGATGTGCAGAAATAGGAACACTTTTACACTGTTAGTGGGACTGTAAACTAGTTGAACCATTGTGGAAGTCAGTGTGGTGATTCCTCAGGGATCTAGAACTAGAAATACCATGCAACCCAGCCATCCCATTACTGGGTATATACCGAAAGGACTATAAATCATACTGCTTTAAAGACACATGAACACATATGTTTATTGTGGCACTCTTCACAATAGCAAAGACTTGGAACCAACCCAAATGTCCAACAATGATAGACTGGATTAAGAAAATGTGGCACTTATACACCATGGAATACTATGCAGCCATAAAAAATGATGAGTTCATGTCCTTTTTAGGGACATGGATGAAATTGGAAATCACCATTCTCTGTAAACTATTGCAAGAACAAAAAACCAAACACCGTATATTCTCACTCATAGGTGGGAATTGAACAATGTGAACACATGGACACAGGAAGGGGAACATCACACTCTGGTGACTTTTTGTGGGGTTGGGGGAGGGGGGAGGGGGAGCACCTAATGCTAAATGACGAGTATATGCGCGCAGCACACCAGCATGGCACATGTACACATATGTAACTAACCTGCACATTGTGCACATGTACCCTAATACTTAAAGTATAATAATAATGAAAAAAAAAAAGAAATGAACAAAGCCTCCAAGAAATATGGGACTATGTGAAAAGACCAAATCTATGTCTGATTGGTGTACCTGAAAGTGATGGGGAGAATGGTACCAAGTTGGACAACACTCTGCAGGATATTATCCCAGAGAACTTCCCCAATCTAGCAAGGCAGGCCAACATTCAAATTCAGGAAATACAGAAAATGCCACAAAGATAATCCTCGAGAAGAGCAACTCCAAGATATATAATTGTCAGATTCACCAAAGTTGAAATGAAGGAAAAAATGTTAAGGTCAACCAGAGAGAAAGGTCGGGTTACCCACATGGGGAAGCCCATCAGACTAACAGCTGATCTCTCAGCAGAAACTCTACAAGCCAGAAGAGAATGGGGGCCAATATTCAACATTCTTAAAGGAAAGAATTTTCAACCCAGAATTTCATATCCAGCTAAACTAAGTTTCATAAGTGAAGGAGAAATAAAATACTTTACAAAGAAGAAAATGCTTTGAGATTTTGTCAGCACTAGACCTGCCCTACAAGAGCTCCTGAAGGAAGCACTCAACATGGTAAGGAAAAATTGGGACCTACCACTGCAAAAATATGCCAGATTGTGAAGACCATCAATGCTACAAAGAAACTGCATCATCTAATGAGCAAAATAATCAGTTAACACCATAATGACAGGATCAAATTCACACATAACAATATTAACCTTATATGTAAATGGGCTAAATGCTCCAATTAACAGACACAGACTGGCAAATTGGATAAAGAGTCAAGAACCATCAGTGTGCTGTATTTAGGAAACCCATCTCACGTGCAGAGACACACATAGGCTCAAAATAAAGGGATGGTGGAATATCTATCAAGAAAAGGGAAAACAAAAAATGGCAGGGGTTGTAATCCTAGTCTGATAAAACAGACCGTAAACCAACATAGAACAAAAGAGACAAATAAAGCCATGACATAATGGTAAAGGGATGAATTCAACAAGAAGAGCTAACTATCCTAAATATATATGCACCCAATACAGGAGCACCCAGATTCATAAAGCAAGTCCTTAGACACCTACAAAGAGACTTAGACCCTCACACAATAATAATGGGAGATCTTAACACCCCACTGTCAACATTAGACAGATCAATGAGACAGAAGGTTAACAAGGATATCCAGGAATTGAATTTGGCTCTGCACCAAGCAGACCTAATAGACATCTGCAGAACTCTCCACCCCATATCAACAGACTATGCATTCTTCTCAGCACCACACCACACCTATTCCAAAATTGACCACATAGTTGGAAGTAAAGCACTCCTCAGCAAATGTAGAAGAACAGAAATTATAACAAACTGTCTCTCAGACCACAGTGCAATCAAACTAGATCTCAGGATTAAGAAATTCACTCAAAACTGCTCAACTGCACGGAAACTGAACAACCTGTTCCTGAATGACTACTGGGTACATAACAAAATGAAGGCAGAAATAAAGATGTTCTTTGAAACCAATGGGAACAAAGACACAACATACCAGAATCTCAGGGACACAGTTAAAGCATTTTGTACACAGAAACTTATAGCACTAAATGCCCACAAGAGAAAGTAGGAAAGATCTAGAATTGACGCCCTAACATCACAATTAAAAGAACTAGAGAAGCAATAGTAAACACATTCAAAAGCTAGCAGAAGGCAAGAAAAAACTAAGATCAGAGCAGAATTGAAGGAGACAGAGACACAAAAAACCTTTCAAAAAAATCAATGAATCCAGGAGCTGTTTTTTTTTTGAAAAGATCAATGAAACTGATAGACTGCTAACAAGACTAATAAAGAAGAAAAGAGAGAAGAATCGATAGACGCAATAAAAAGTGATAAAGGGGATATCACGACCGATCCCACAGAAATACAAACTACAATCACACAATACTATAAACACCTCTAGGCAAATAAACTAGAAAATCAAGACGAAATGTATAAATTCCTCAACACATACACCTCCCAAGACTGAAAAATGATGAAGCTGAATCTCTGAATAGACCAATAACAGGCTCTGAAATTGAGCGACAATTAATAGCTTACCAAGCGAAAAAATACAGGAACAGATGGATTCACAGCCTAATTCTACCAGAGGCTCAAGGAGGAGCTGGTACCATTCCTTCTGAAGTTATTCCAATCAACAGGAAAAGAGGAAATCCTCCCTAACTCATTGTATGAGACCAACATCATCCTGATACCAAAGCCTGGCAGAGACACAAACAAAAAAGAGAATTTTAGACCAATATCCCTGATGAACACAGATGCAAAAATCCTTAATAAAATACTGGCAAACTGAATCCAGCAACACATCAAAAAGCTTATCCACCATGATCAAGTGGGCTTCATCCCTGGGATGCAAATCTGGTTCAACATATGCAAATCAATAAATGTAATCCAGCATATAAACCAAACCAAAAACAAAAAACGCATGACTATACCAATAGATGCAGAAAAGGCCTCCGACAAAATTCAACAGCCCTTCATGCTAAAAACTCTCAATAAATTCAGTAGTGATGAGATGTATCTCGAAATATAAGAGCTATTTATGACAAACCCACAGCCAATATCATACCGAATGGGCAAAAACTGGAAGCATTCCCTTTGAGAACGGGCACAAGACAGGGATTCCCTCTCTCACCACTCCTATTCAACATAGTGTAGGAATTTCTGGCCAGGGCAGTCAGGCAGGAGAAGGAAATAAAAGGTATTCAATTAGGAAATCAGGAAGTCAAATTGTCCCTGTTTGCAGATGACAGGATTGTATATCTAGAAAACCCTATTGTCTCAGCCCAAAATCTTCTTAAGCTGATAAGCAACCTCAGCAAAACCTCGGGATACAAAATCAATGTGCAAAAATCACAAGCATTCTTATACACCAATAACAGACAAAGAGAGCCAAATCATGAGTGAACTCCCATTCACAATTGCTTCAAAGAGAATAAAATACCTAGGAATCCAACTTACAAGGGATGTGAAGGACCACTTCAAGGAGAACTACAAACCACTGCTCAATTAAATAAAAGAGGATACAAACAAATGGAAGAACATTCCATGCTCATGGGTAGGAAGAATCAATATCGTGAAAATGGCCATACTGCCCAAGGTAATTTACAGATTCAGTGCCATGCCCATCAAGCTACCAATGACTTTCCGCACAGAATTGGAAAAAAACTACTTTAAAGTTCATATGGAACCAAAAAAGAGCCCGCACTGCCAAGCCAATCCTAAGCCAAAAGAACAAAGCTGGTGGCATCATGCTACCTGACTTCAAACTACACTACAAGGCTACAGTAACCAAAACAGCATGGTACTGGTACCAAACCAGAGATATAGACCAATGGAACAGAACAGAGACCTCAGAAATAATGCCACACATCTACAACTATCTGACCTTTGACAAACCTGAGAAAGAAAAAGAAATGGGAAAAGGATTCCCTATTTAATAAATGGTGCTAGGAAAACTAACTAGCCATATATAGAAAGCGGAAACTGGATCCCTTCCTTACACCTTACACAAAAATTAATTCAAGATGGGTTAAAGACCTAAATGTTAGACCTAAAACCAGAAAAATCCTAGAAGAAAACCTAGGCAATACCATTCAGGACATAGTCATGTGTAAGGACTTCATGTCTAAAACACAAGAAGCAATGACAACACAAGCCAAAATTCACAAATGGGACCTAATGAAACTAAAGCGCTTCTGCACAGCAAAAGAAACTACCAAAAGAGCAAACGGGCAACCTACAGAATGGGAGAAAATGTTTGCAATCTACTCATCTGACAAAGGGTTAATATCCAGAATCTACAAAGAACTCAAACAAATTTACAAGAAAAAAACAAACAACCCCTTCAAAAAGCGGGCGAAGGATATGAACAGACACTTCTCAGAAGAAGACATGTATGCAGCCAAAAGACACATGAAAAAATGCTCATCATCACGGGCCATCAGAGAAATGCAAATCAAAACCACAATGAGATACCATCTCACACCAGTTAGAATGGAGTTCATTAAAAAGTCAGGAAACAACAGGTGCTGGAGAGGATGTGGAGAAATAGGAACACTTTTACACTGTTGGTGGGACTGTAAACTAGCTCAACCATTGTGGAAGTCAGTGTGGTGATTCCTCAGGGATCTGGAACTAGAAATACCATTCGGCCCAGCCATCCCATTACTGGGTATACACCCAAAAGATTATAAATCATGTTGCTATAAAGACACATGCACACGTATGTTTATTGCGGCATCATTCACAATAGCAGACTTGGAACCAACCCAAATGTCCAACAATGATAGACTGGATTAAGAAAATGTGGCACATATACACTATGGAATACTGTGCAGCCATAAAAAAGGATGAGTTCATGTCTTTGCAGGGACATGGATGAGTTCTTGTCCTTTGCAGGGACATGGATGAAGCTGGAAATCATCATTCTCAGCAAACTACCACAAGGACAGAAACCAAACACCACATGTTCTCACTCATAGATGGGAACTGAACAATGAGAACACTTGGACACAGGAAGGGGAACATCACACACCAGGGCCTGTTGTGGGGTGGAGGGTTGGGGGAGGGGGGAGGGATAGCATTAGGAGATACACCTAACGTAAATGATGAGTTAATGGGTGCAGCACACCAACATGGCACATGTATACATATGTAACAAACGTGCACGTTGTGCACATGTAGCCTAAAACTTAAAGTGTAATAAAAAAAGAAAGAAACTAATAATGCCAATAGATTTGTAGCCATAATTTAAGAAACATTTTTCTAAAATATACGTAAACATGTAAGAATATCTTTACCTTCAGAGCATGCTTTTGCTGTTAGGTTATTCATCAGAAAAGAAAATATTGAAAAGATAAATTAAAATATTTATGCAGACACAGTCAGCTCTATATTGTTATGGTATACTTTGTGAACTAAGTAGTTCATAAGTGTGAGTATACAATGTATAGGTTTTAATTTGTTAAATTAATATAAAGCACTTAAAATGTGGCTTATAAGTAAGCACTTTTTAAAGAAATGTTCTTTTAAATTCTGGTACGCACAATTTATAGACAAACTCAGAAAAATAAGTTTGGTTTGCATTGCATAGATATTTAAAAGTATTTTCTTAAGTTACCTTTTATTTTGCAACACAATTCATAGAATGAAATAATTTTACCATGGAAAATACAGTCGTTCAGCTAATAAAATATTTTTTTCAGGAACATAAATAAAATATTTATTTTACTAGAGCTCTGTTAATGAAGAATGCTATTTATTATACACAAATTGAGGACAGAGAAATTGCCTATGTGTGTATATATATATTTTTAATTTTGGTAGTTTGGGTCAAATCACTGCATTTATCTACTAAGCAAATAAAATAAGGTCTCCAAATATATATGACAACCAAAAAGAGAAGATACAAGATTAAGATTTGGAAACTTTACATTCCTAATTGATTTATTTTTCTCGCTTTCTTTTAATGTTATTTTACTCATTATTGCTTGCTTCTTGTAAACTTCTTTAAATTTAATTATTATTTTTCCCCTTTATGCATTATTTTACAAAATAAGCAGACACCATGTAGAGTGAGCTTATTGCTAATATTTGAGAGGGGGATGAAACATGGATGACTATTTCATAATAAAAATACTTCTTTTAAGGTTGATCAGACTACCACAGTTGAAGACAGTAAAAAATGAAAACAATGTATAACGTATTTTGGCATTTTAATTTTCTTTCCTTATTTTTTTTAAATACAGAAGTTTCTTGGGCCACCCTTCCTTTGATTTATGTTATGCTCCTCTTTCCCTGCTTCCTCTGCGGCTCTCGCGGCGGGTGGTACATCCGAGTTTCTAAGCTTTTTAGCTGGGTATGCCTCTAGCCTCTACTGTTCCTTCAGCCCCTGGTGACAGGGGGTCGCGTACGGGTGTTCTCAGAAAATCAGGAAAATGAGGTAAAAAATTCATAAATTTAAGCAGAGTGGACATGTTTTTATCTCAGGAGAAAGAGTTAATGTCTAAGTCATCTCCTGCAAATAGATGAAATGTGGTAAAGACCATTTCTCTCAGGCTTTTTTTTTGGCAAATGTTAAGAAATGTTATAATTGTTATTGGGTGTGGACTTATGTTTATGAGTACAACTGTATATCTGAAAGTGTTGGATATCAGTTTGTGCTACCAAAAAGCAGCTTTATTTTATGTTTCTTTGCACAGATTCGTTTCTTGGCATGAATACAAAGACCCTGAAGTTTTTGGATTTTGTCTATTCAGGAGGATGGGTTTTCAATGTGTGGGTGTTGAATTATGGGAAGAAACAGTAGGGAGAGAACTCCTTAGTGCTATTAAGAAACTCACTTTTGTTAAACTCACTGATTTTTCTTGAGGATTCTTCCCTTTACCGTCGTAAATTTCCGACATGCCAGCAAGCTGTGGGAGACGGAGCTAGGGCGCCATTTTTTTCATGTGCACTTTTTGTTAAAGCGTTTTTTCTCTGTGAATGTGGTCATAATTCAAATAAATCGACAATATACTTAACCATTTGATTAAAAACTGGTACTTTTACTCATCACATGTCAAATTTGTGATTTGCTTGAGAGGAATTATGAACTTTTGACAAATTGCGTTACTTTAGTGTTATGAGGAAATCTGGGGCCACAAATAATCTCAGTTTAAATTTGTCTCCGAAAAGCCTTTGTCTCCTTCATTGTATGACAGTATTTGAAACATGTTTCATTTATCTCTGGCACCGTAAGTAATTTAAACCGAATAAGTGGGTGTAATCGAGATAAATGGTGATATCCTAAAACGGAGAAAAAATAAATGCGTTTAAGTTATTCTACTAACTTGGCACACTGACTTACTCTTGTAATCCTACTATTTTGGGAAGAGGAGGTGTGAGGATGGCTTGGAATCACGAGTTGGAGACCATCCTGCATAATATAATGAGCTCCTTTAATTTATTGCCATTTTGGCACCAGGGACAGGTTTAGTGGAAGGCATTTTTCCACAGACAAGAGGAGAGCAGGGGGAGAAGGTGGTGAGGTGGACACCTTGGGGAGGTTGGGGGCGGCCGTTCCAGGAGGAGTACAGTGTAGGAAGGGGTTTCAGGCCAGAGCAGTGTG
Source organism: Homo sapiens (assembly GCF_000001405.40). NCBI lineage: Eukaryota > Metazoa > Chordata > Mammalia > Primates > Hominidae > Homo > Homo sapiens. Next base: position 25,265,510 of record NC_000024.10, read on the forward strand.
ACGGGGGGCAGTGGTGGGACAGCGGGGCTGCGAGGGGGACAGGGCAGGCCAGCGGGGAATAGGGAGGATGGATTCTGGATGAAACTGTTCCACCTCAGGTCACACTCAGGCATTACAATCTTCTAGGGAGAGCGCCACCTAGATCCTCGTATGCGCAGTTCACAGTAGGGCTCTTACTCCTGTGAGAACCCAATGTCTTCGCTGATCTGACAGGAGGCGGGGCTCAGGCAGTGCCAGAGGTTCACCACCTGTTCTGCAGCCAGGTTCCTAACAGGCCACAGACAGATACCGGTTGGAGACCAGGGTTTGGGGATCCCTGATCTATTGTATATTTCAAATCACTAAAATATTGCAAACAATTTAAAATATTCTCCCCGAAGAAAGCATGTATTTTATTTAACTTGATTTAATCATTTATTAAAATATCAAGCTGGGCGTGGACATTCACCCTTCAAGTCTCATCACCTTGGTGGCACCAGGCCAGAAGATCGCTTGAGCCCAGGAGTTCGAGACCAGCTTGGGTACCATGGGGAAACCGTGTCTGTTAAAGAAACACACAAAAAAAATGCCTACAAGCTGTGATAGTGATCTCCTGTAGTCCTAGCTATTTGGGAAGCTGAAACGTGGGAGGATCACTTGAGGCTCGGTAGAGGAGGCTGCAGTGAGCAGTGCACATTGGCAATAGGAAATTGACATCTCAAGAAAAAAAAAACACAAAACATCACATTGTACTGTATAAATATATAGTTTTCAAATAGAATTATTTAAATGGGGCATTCTGCGTATTACAGCTTAAGAAAATTACAATAGCTTTTCTCATCTCATTTTTACAAACAAGTTTTTGTCAGGTACGTATTAAAATGCAGCATTTGTCCATGAAGTCACTGCCCCTTTCGCTCTGCATGTTACAAATTTTAACTACTTAAATTAAGAAATAGTAGAAAGATGTCAGCCTCCGTAAGGGAATTTCCCTAGAGTTTTCAACACAGTATGTAATAAAATTTTATCTTTTGGCTTATTTATTGTTATCTAGAGTTTTTTATTTTTTTATTTTTTATTTTTTACCATTTACAGCAAAATGGTGGAATCAGATCAGCCTGGCAAGCTTTTCATTGGTGGCCTCCGTTTAGAAACCAATGAAAAGATGCTTAAAGCAGTATTTGGGAAATATGGTCCCATACTGGAAGGCAACTGTTATATATATATATATGTGTGTGTGTGTGTGTGTGTGTGTGTGTGTGTGTTGGTTATATATATATTTTCCAAAGTAAATATATACTCAGTATATTTACTGAATACATAAATTAAAATATATATTTGTTTTAAAGTGTTATTTTCAAGTTTCTTTTCGATACTGGGAAAATTCTTATGGCAGCAGGCGAAGGTTCTTTGGTAAAGGTTACCTACTACTGAGAAAGGAAACTGAGCAAAAGTACATATGTTGTGGAGGTAGGGAGCAAATTGGAATAAAATAGGCTGAATACAGAGGTGACTTAGTATTAAAAATCATAGTAATGATGTGAAATGCAATTTTTTTGGTTTGTTAGTACTATGGTGAGTCCATTATATAAATGTAAAATGTTTTCATATATTTTAGTTCTTTTGATAAATGATTGGGAAACCAGCAACTTCAGATGCTTTGTACTTATTTTGAAAACCTGCAGATGCTAAGAATGCTGTCAAAGATATGAAGGGAAACGTAAGAGTCCCTTATTAATAATATCCTAACTGTTCCTCACTTAACAGAATTTCAAGGTCTTTTTCATATTACTAAACTTTTGAAGATAGCATAATGTCATATGATCTGAAATGCTTTAGCCATCCTCTTCTTTTGGTCATCTAAGTGCAACGGTAGTTGGAAGGATATTGGAATAAATGTTACATAAATCAATATATGGTAATCTTATTTGTATGTTAGTATTTAAATACAAGTATAAATAGATTTTCAAAGCTTTCAAGCAGCTTTAAAACTTAGAAGGAACCCTCACAAAAGTGAGATAAATAAATCAGCATTTATTAAATTCTATTAATGGAATTACTTCCAATTCATGGAAATACTTCTATAGCATAGACAAACTATGGATAGACAGGTAGACGGACTTACAAGATGGAAATCTTATACAGAGAGACATCTAGACCGACTCACAAGAAGGAAAGATTCTTTCTCATTTTCTGAAAGTACATTCTTAAGCAAGTGTATTTAAACAAGACCTTTACATTTAAGGAAATGTTAAGTACTTGAAAGTAGAAAATAATATGAGTACATTGAAGTTGGGTAACAGAACTACTAACTGGCATTTCTGCCCCATCCTTGCTCTTTTTCTCCTAAAATCATTTTTATCCTGTCACCAGAGTGATTTATGTAACATGAATACCTAATGACTCATTTTACCAGTGTGTTTGAGGACTTATTTTGATCCAACCAATTGTCTCTGTCTTACTGAATCTTAAATTCTAGGGATTGTGTGTTTATTACAGCTGTAAACCTTTTTATAATTCTATTACCTACTGAATTCCTTTGTATTACCATCAAAATCATTGCATTCTGGGTACGTTGGAGCTGTTTTGTTTTATAACATCATTTCAGTCTCTTTTTAGTTCCCGTTACTCTTCATGCTTTCACCAATATGCTTTTTCGGACTTCTTAAGAGTTATTCTTCCTGGCATATGTCTCACAAATAGCAACTTATGCTTCAAAGACAGCTTAGATTTTACATTTTCTTCTTTATTTTATATTGTGGGTATTTTGTCCTCACTGTACCATGTATTAATCTGTTGATAATTGTCTTTAGTGCATATTTAAGTTTTCCTAGTTGCTTTTATTTCTGGTACATCTAGCACACTTCCTGGTTCATCGAAGAAAGTACATTTTTATTCACCTTTATACTTTCATATTTTAAATTTGGGTAGAAACTGAAAGTTGCTCATGGTTTGGTGTTAGGTATGGAAATAATTTTGACTGATGTATAGTAATAATTTCTTTTTCCTCAAAGTTTTCAAGCACAAGAACAGATGATTTCTGTAGAAATTCTAAATTACTTCATCTAACATATCTTATTGTGTAAGAACAAATATAAATGTAATATGCACACAAAAGTTAAGAATGGAAATAAAGGAAGTACTTAGAGGTTTCAGGGGGAATGAACAGTTTAAGAAAGTTTGGCTGACTTCCGAATACTGGGAAGGAAGCAGTCATGTGCAAATCTGGGGAACATATTTTGGGCCCAGAAATAACAAAAGAAGTCCCAAGGTTGAAACGACTGCCTATGTAACTGCAAGAGGTCTTGGAAAGGATTTAAGATCTTCCCCCAAAAACAAAGCAATGCCATTTTTAAATACAATTTTTGCTGACATTTTTTTTCAAAAATTACCTTAGCCTATAGAAAAGATTAAACTGAAGAAAGTTATTATGAAATTAATTAGAACATTTAAGCATTTCTGAGAAATAACATGAAGTACTATATTAAGAGTCATTTATTAGGGACTCTTCTAAGGCAAGATAATAAATGAGTAAGGCAAAAAATCTGAATGAGACCAAGGAAGGATCACAGTTACAGAAACAGAACTAGACTAAATATAGAATTGTAAATCATATTGGGACATTTTATGTAAGTATTAGCAGAACAAACAAGAAACAATTCAGAATGAATAATATGGCTAATCACTTGGAATAAATAATCTTTTTATTAGATGACACATTATTACATATACCCTTGGGACACTGAAACAATTAAATAAGTGATGTGACTACAAAGATGAAGTAGATCATACATTGGAAAAAAGAGATGTGCTACATTATCCCATAGATGGGTGATGGGCTAATTTTTTTTGAGATGATGTTTTTAATACTGGAAAACTTTTCAAGGAATTTGAATAACAGAATTTGTGTTTGATCCCTTAATGGAAGGTATGTGGTCAGTAAACATCTCAAATTTGGCACTGTGAAAGACATCATCATTTCAGAAAAAAAATATATTTGCTTTGGGAGAAAACATCTAGAACTGAAATATAGTGGATGCAAAAATGTTTGTAAAATGTGTTTGGTTAAATGTGACAGTGTTATTGATAGGACAGTTAATACTTTTGGTCTTTGGATGGAAAAGCAATAAAAGTAGAACAAGTCAAGAAAACATCTTTTCAAAGTGATGGTAGGTGGAGATCACCACCTTCCTGGAGAAACAGGAGCCCTTCAGGAAGTCTGAGATCTGCAAGAGGAGGTAGTAGAGGACAAGAGGGTTGTGTCCCTCATGTGAAGGACAACTGGGTAATGTTTTAAAATATAAAGATGGAACCGTAGGACTGAAAGACAATAAGTTTGAAGATATCAAAATTTCTCAATTTTATTTACTTTATGTACAGAAAATGAACTTACTGATAATGAGCAAAATTATTTGTAAGTACTAAAGATAAATTATAAGAAAGATAGAAATAATATGAAAATTTTATTTTAAAATCTTAATTACTTTGCATTGAAATAACACGCATTTAAAACCAAATTGAGTTTATTAATGTTGATTTTCTGTACTCAACAGGTTTTCTGCAGAACTCGTTTACATTCATTATGCTATAGAGTTTCTTATTTTGGGAGCCAGAACTTCGTATAAAATGTATTATCAAAATAAGATGGAATCTTGAAAACCTTCCAACAGGAAATAAGTAACTCATTATTTTAGGATTGATCTTATAATATTTGTTATTTATGTATACACATGGAAATATCTATACAAATATATTCCTTTGCCATTTTGATATACGTAATTTGCACATTGGCCTGCCATAAAGCATTTTGCATTTAAGAAATCTATAACTTCAGTTTCTCAAAAGAGTCTGTGACTCAGGAAAATCTAAAAACCACTGCTTCACAAATATGAAGCAGTGGTTTCTTTGCTGGAAGATGAGACACTGAAAATGGTATTTATGAATGATTTACTCAATAGGAATGAGGGGTCAATTTTTACTTAAAAAAATCCATGTATTTTAAAAAATTGGTTCAATTGTATTATCTATTAACCAACCTTCAAAAACCTAACATCTGAGTTTTAATAACCAGATGTGTAATTCACTGGATATGTTTTCTCAAGTTGAAATTGCAGTGTTTGCTCCATTTTAAGGTACATAGCTTCATGGTATTTTTTTTCTCAATTGATCTTGAGGGTGAAGATTAATACTACTCTGCCATGTATGAGAATATGCATTTTCTTACCTGTGACACCACGAGGGCATTAGAATATATCTACATTTTTTGTAGCTATATGAAAATATCTTTTATTATTTAATATTAAATTCTTAAAGATTATTAAAATTGAGCATAGCCTAAGCTAAAATTTAATATTTCATAATGGATTTGTAAGGATTGTATTTCTGATACAAATTTTACAGATAATGTATTTTTCTGAGGTGTCATTTTTTGATTTTGTAAATATTTTAGCTTTTTTGAATGGAATTTGTTGTACCCTTATGATACGTTTTGACGAGGCTTTCTTCATACCATAATTATATGAACAGTAATATATTATTTTTCTCCTATTTTTCTTTATCTAGATTATATTTATATATTTAACTGATAGATTTTTGCTCTCTCTTCACCCTGCATTTATCCCACATCTTTCTCTCACACCAATATAAAATGATTCTTGTGTTATTTTTTAGATTTTCTTCAGTTGCCAGGCTGGAATGCAGTGGCACGATCTCAGCTCACTGCAACCTCTGGCTCCCAGCCAAGTGATTCTCCTGCTTTAGCTTCCCGTGTAGCTGGGACTACAGTTGTGTGCCAAGAGGCCCAGTGAATTTTTGTATTTTTAGTAGAGATGGGGTTTCACCATGTTGCCCAGGATGGTCTTGATCTCTTAACTTCGTGATCCGCCCACCTCAGACTCCCAAAGTGCTGTGATTACAGGCATGAGCCACTGCACCCAGCCATTTTCTGGGTTTTCTAAACCAACTTTTATTGTTTGTATTGCACTACTTTGGTACATAAATACTAAATTGTATTAGTTTAGACAAATGTAAATTTGTAAGATTATCATATTTAGGAAATATTTATAAACAACTAAAACTTAGCCATTTAAGACACAGTGATGTTACTTAGCTGGAGATATATATTTTATATATATATATATATATATATATATATATATATATATATATATATATGAAGTCTTGCTCTGTCTCCAAGGCTGGAGTGCAGTGGCACACTCTTGGCTCACTGCACACTCTCCTTCCCGGGTTCACGCCATTCTCCTGCCTCAGCCTCCCAAGTCGCTGGGGCTACAGGTGCCTGCCACCACGGCCAGCTAATTTTTTATATTTTTAGTAGAGATGGGTTTTCACCATGTTAGCCACTATGGTCTCGATCTCCTGACCTCGAGATCCGCCTGCCTCAGCCTCAAAGTGCTGGGATTACAGGCATGAGCCACCGCGCCCAGCCCTACAAGACTTTTTATAACTGTCTCCTTTCGTTTGCATGATGCTCTGAATGTTCATTTACATTGCAGCACTTCTCTCCTTACACAACCTGCTAACCCATTATTTTGTTTGGGTTGTTTCCACCACAGTATTTCTATATACACATATTTGTTTGCATACACTTATTCAATTCTTGGTATATATGAGTGAGTGGAATTGCTTGGTCCTATGATAATTGTATTTATTTTCTTGAGGAACCACCCCATTTCTCCATAGTAGCTGCACCATTTTCCATTCCAACTAGCATTTGTATGAGGGTTCCAAATTATCTACATCTTCTCAAACACTTGATATTTCCTGCTTTTTAAAAATCATTTCCATTCCAGTATGTGTGCAGTATAGTATCTCATTTTGGTTTTGAAATGCAATTTCTGAATAACTAATTATGATTATTTGTTCCATGTGCTTTTTGAGCATTTGCATATTTTAGTTGGAGAAATATGTATTCAAGTATTTGGCCCTTCATTTTGTTCAAGTTGTAAGTTATTTATGTTTTGGATACTAGAAGTTGATAATTTAAAATTTGTTGCTTTAACTTATGCAAGCAGAATTCATACAAGTTCCCGGGACACCAGGGATTATGCTCCACCATCTAGAGATTATGGATACCATGATTACGGTCATTCTAGTTGGAATGAACAATCCTCTAGAGCATATAGGTACTATAATATTTTCTGATTTTGTCAAAGGGATTTCTTAAGTTGTTCCTGCTGACGTTAGCAAACCTTTTTTAAATTTAGTGACTGTGATGGCTGTGGTGGGGGCCGTGGTAGAGATCCTTTAGTACATCCCAGTGGAAGTTCTTACAGAAATGCATATCAGAGTTATGGTAAGTGTCAGGGTTTGATTTGTAAATTATAGTATTATATTTAATACACCAGATTATTGTTTTAATACAATTTTAAGGAAAATCATAAAGGAAAAATATAACATGTTTAAACACTGAGAATTGTTAACAGTATAATGCGTGGTGAACATGTAGGTGAGAACTTCAGTTCATTTTCAGAAAATGTGACTTAACGTTCACTTTAAAATAAACTTTCTTATGCTTCAAAATACTATTCTTATATTCTTTTAAATGCAACCTTTTGACTATTTCAGACATAATTAATATGCTGTCAATGAAGACAGAGGAAAGCAGATTTTTCCAAATAGTACTTTAACTGATACATGCATTAGTGATACCATTAAAAATGTTTAAATGTAGTTCATTATAAGTTCTATATTTTATCAACCTTGCAGGGACCTCTCCTGGTGAACAACCTGCATGAGAGCCTTGGATGAGTTATGGTGGAAGTAGTCACTATGATTATAACAGTACATGAGATATATATGGCAGAAGTCAGGAGAGTTACTCATGAAGCAGTGGTGATTTATATTCCTGTGGTCATGAGCGCGGTGGCAGAAAGGAATGAAGGAATCTACCTTCTGTGGATAGGGTGCACCCTGCTGCTGGTGAAGGATACAGTAGCTCAAGTTATGGGGCATCTACAGCAAGTGGTGAGGGAAAACAAGGTGAAAAAGGAGGCTGAAGCAGATATTAAAGGAGATATTAAAAATAATAGTTACCGTGGTACTCAGGAGGCCGAGGCAGGAGAATTGCTTGAACCCAGAAGGCAGAGGTTGCAGTGAGCCCAGATCTTGTCACTGCACTCTAGCCTGGGCAACAAAGCAAACCTGTCTCACAAAGTAAAAATAAAAAAAAGAAAGATAATAGTTATTGCTTACCAAACCTTGCTTGCAAATCAAAAATTAAAATGTTATTTCTGTATCAGTTCGTGAGTACCACTAAAACAAAATGTTGATTTTGGGGGAGAGGTAGATCCTAACTTCCTCCATGAATTTTCTGAGGTATTTAAGATGAAAAGGAATTGTTTTTTCAAAGTAATTTCATAATTGTTAATGCTATTTGAAAACTCTCTCTTTAGATGATATGGCTGTATTAAAATTTTCAGAATAAAATTATACATGTAATGTGTAATGCCTGATTTTATGGCTACACGTGCTTAACAGCAAATTAAATGGGATATTAAATGGTGTGGTTTCTGTTGAAAAATTTTTTTGCAGCTTTGAATATAAATACATGCAAAAGTAGGCATAAATTACGTCTCCCTTGCAAGGTGCCCACATTTTCTAATTAGGCTGTGTTTCTCTTAAACACTTACAAGCTTTAAAAGCTTGAGAAGTATTCAGAAAGACTATGAAACTCTCTGCCTCACCATAAAATGTTTATCATTCAGAGGAATCATGTAGATAAAAGGAAATAATTAGATATGGTTGGTACTAAAGTTTAAGACATCCAGAACCTTCTTCTTGAAGCCTTTCTGTCACTGATGGGGGATAATGGTGATGAAAACATTGTTTTCCAACTAAATAAAATCTGAACCAGCTATGTTTCCTAAATACATAGCTTAATGAAATTAAGTGTTCCTAGTTTAAATAGTGGAAAATAAGTGTTTTTATGTGGGAGGTACTCATGTTAATTATCTCCTATAATATTTGACAATGGTTGTTGTAAGTAATGGTTTAGCAATAAGTTCTTACAAACAGAAATTATCTAGAAGGCTTGGGATTTTATCAGATTTTTTTTTAGACAGAGTCTAGCTTTGTTGCCCAAACTGGGGTGCAGTGGCTGGATCTTGGCTCACTGTGACCACTACCTTCTGGGTTCGAGCTGTTTTCCTGCCTCAGCATCCCGAGTAACTGGGTTTACAGGTGTGTGCCACCACAGCTGGCTATTTTTTTTTTTTTTTTTTTTTAGTACAGACAGCATTTCTCCATGTTGGCCAGTCTGGTCTTAAAATCCTCATTCACCTGCCTCTGCCTCCCAAAGTGCTAGGATTACATGTATGAGCCATCAGGCTCACACTATCAGATTTAAGTGAAGATACGAATAGGAATGCTTTAAACCTCATGGTTTTTGGAAACTGAAATGTGTAAAACATAAAACAACATCATAAAATTTCTGATAGGCAATTGTGTAAAGGTTTAAGATATCATCTAATGATAAAAATGAAAAGATTTGGACCCAAATAAGTAAACCAATTAATTTTCCTGATCATACAACCTAAAGAAATGAAATAGATTAAGATCCAGTGTTTTACAGTCCACAATTCTTAAAATTAATGGACTAATCTGTAAGGAGGATGTATTTTTATGAGAAAATTTTGATAAGATCATAATTTTTATAGGGTTAGTTTCCAAATAATTTTAAAGGGAGAAGTTACCAACTTTGATTCTCAAGTGAGTTATTTATGTTATGAAGTTGTGCTTTCATTCACCTATAATGTAGGATTGTAAGGATTAAATGAAAGGATACAACTCCCTAGTCTTGTGTATCTTGACAGCAGCAGCACGAGAAACAGTGTCTGTCCAGGTAGGTGTGATGGCTTAGGTCTTCAATCCCAGCATTTTGGGTGGCTGAGATGGGAATATCGCTTCAACTCAGGAGTTTGAGACCAGCCTGGGCAACATGAAGAAATCTTGTCTGTATAAAATAGACAAAACATTGTTGGATGTAATAGTCTATCAGTGTAGTCCCAGATCCTTGGGGGCTGAGGCAGGAAGATGGTTTGAGCCCATGAGGTCCAGGCTGCAGTGAGCCTGTTTTTTGCTCCACTGCATTTCAGCCTGCATAACAAAGCGAGACACTGTCAAAAAAAAAAAAAAAAGAAAAAAGAAAAAAGAAAAACAAAAAAGACAAAGTGTCTATGATATTCTGTCCCTAGGATTTTTTAACTCAAATTATCTCCATGAGGCATTCTGTCATAATGATTAAAAAGTATGGGAAACTGAAGAGTAACCTGTAAGATACAATTTATCAACCTTGGAATAGGGATTCTGTTTCAGTAAGTTATAATAAATTCTGAAAAGCCTTTATAAAACAAGAGTTAAATCCTTATTGCATCATTTTTCATAGGACCATAATGCTGTTGAATGAATAATAGGATAATTTTTTATCATCTTCGTCCACAGACATTGCTTTGAGAAAATACCTGGACTTGGAGGTTTATAACAAAGATTTCTTGTAATCCCAGAGGCTAAGAAGCCCAAGGTCAAGGAATCAGCAAATACAGTGTTCAGGTGAGGGGTCATTTCCTGGATTTTATTTTTATTTTAATTAATTTATTTATTTATCTTGAGATGGAGTCTCACTCTGTTGCCCAGGCTGGAGTGCAGTGGCACAATCTCTGCTCACTGCAAGCTCCGCCTCCTGGGTTCACACCATTCTTCTGCCTCAGTCTCCCGAGTAGCTGGGACGACAGGTGCCCGCCACCACACCTGGCTAATTTTCTAATTTTTAGTAGAGACAAGGTTTCACCATATTAGCCTGGATGGCCCCGATCTCCTGACCTCATGATCTGCCTGCCTCGGCCTCCCAAATCGCTGGGATTACAGGAGTGAGCCACCACGCCCAGCCCATTTATTTATGTATTTATGTATGTATGTATGTATGTATTTATTTATTTATTTAATTTCTTTTTGAGATGGAGTCTTGCTCTGTCGCCAGCCTGGAGTGCAGTGGCATGATCTTGGCTCACTGGAACCTCTGCCTCCATGGTTCCAGCAATTCTCCTGCCTCCCAAGTAGCTGCGACTAAAGGCACGCACCACCATGCCTGGCCAATTTTTTGTATTTAGTAGAGACAGGGCTTCAGCATTTTGGCCAGGATGGTCTCCATCTCCTGACCTCGTGATCCACCTACTTCGGCCTCCCAAAGTGCTGGAATTACAGGCGTGAGCCACCATGCCCAGCCACTTCCTGGATTTTAAACATCCCTCTTGCTGAGTCTGCACATGGTATAAGTGGCTTGGGAACTCTATAGTCTTTTAGGAGGGTGCTAATAACATTTAAGAGGGTGCTGTCATCCTGACCGGATTACTTCCCATCAAAGGCCCTTTTCCCCTTTCAGAAGGCAGCCAATTGACACTTCCACATGTTGAGCTTAAGGATGGTGGTGTGAGGTGGCAGTGATGATTTAATGAATTCTTTGGTTTGCAGTTTTTAATGCCTCCAGTGTTGTCATCAGGTATCAAAGGCATGAAGATGATTTTTTTAAATCGTTCATAATGCAGTCATCCAGCTTCAGATTACAAGGTTTGGGGACAATTGGGCAGTTTTAGTTTTCAGTGATGCTAAATCATGAAAGGGGGACACAATGTTGAAATTTTAGTTTGGAGAGTTGTAGCTATATGTTGGATAAAACAAGAATTGAAATTGTAGACTAATAAAATATGTAAGACAACTCACATGGGTGGTTTTAGTTTTCCATTGAAACAAAATTCTCTCTGCTGTTACTTCTCTTGACTCTTGTTCACAAAATAAGTCTGGTCTGACTAGATTTGTCCTCATTTTTTACCTAAGTACACTAAGAATTGTCATTGACCACAAAGGTATATATATATATATATATATATATATATATATATATATATATATATAAAATTTTTTAAATTAGAAACAGTGTCCGGCTTACTGCAGTCTCAACCTCATGGGCTCAAGTGATCCTCCAACCTCAGCCTCCTGAGTAGCTGAGACCGTAGGCGCAAACCACCATATTTGGCTAATTTTGTATGTTATTTGTTTGCCTGTTTGTTTGATTTTGGAGATGGGGTTTTACCTTGTTGCCTAGGTTAGGCTTGAACTTCTGGGCTGAAGTGATTCTCCCACCCTTGTGTCCAAATGTGCTGGGATTACAGGTGTGAGCCACCATGCTTAGCCACAGAGTCCTTTCCAGTTTACTTTGTCAGAACTTTATACAATTAGTTTCAGATTATACTTCTTAAAGCTGCCTAGTTATCTCTGATTTTATGCAAATCATTCTTAAATATATTTGACATTTCAGACAAGGCTTTGTAAAAAAAAAAAAAAAAAACGGGTTCTAATTAGGTTCTGTTGAAAGGAGAACGCATTCTTACTGAACTTCAGAAATGACTCAATTGCCATATAAATGTTTATAAAATCTTAAATGTCCAGTGAACATAACACAGCTTAACTAGTAAATTAGTAAATCCAAGAAGGATACAAATGACAAGTGTATTCTTTTTTTTTTTTTTTTTGAGATTGAGTCTCACCCTCTCGCCCAGGCTGGACTGCAGTGGCATGATCTTGGCTCACTGCAACCCCTGCCTCCTGGGTTCAAGCAATTCTGTATCAGCCTCCCAAGTAGCTTGGATTACAGGTGTGTACCACCATTCCTGGTTAATTTTTGTATTTCTAGTAGAGATGGGGTTTCGTAATGTTGGCCAGGCTGGCCTCAAACTCCTGACCCCAGATGATTCACCTGCCTTGACCTGCCAAAGTGCTGGAAATAAAGCCATGAGCCACTATGCCTGGCCCACAAATATCTTTTTATATTTAATAATAACAACAAATTGTAATATGTAGCTGTTTGTATTAAACAATTTTAAACTAGTCTTATTTACTAAATATTTCCATGAGTCATGTGAACTTGAATATATATTTCTAGGATTATTAGGAGTATGTAATTCACAATAGTGATCATATGTCTCTAAGCCAATTTGAATAGCACCCTTTTAAGTGATATTAAAAATTAACTTGGTAATAATATCCAGAGCTAGAAATATATCACACACATATAGCATATAGCCATGAAAATATAGATAGAGGAAAACAGATTTTAGAGATCACCTAAAATTTAGTCATGAATGAGGCAATAGAGTAATATAAAACTCACTGGGTTTATATCCATTTTATATTGTATCTAAATTGTTCTTCTGGCAAATGAGACAAGGTCGCCTATTCAATAGGAGGTCTAATACCTTTTGTCTGTATTGGCGAAGAAGACTTTTATGAGACTATTTTGTCCTAATATTGTATCTGTGGAGCCAGAGGACTATATTTTAGGCACAGAATATATCTAGTTCCAGTCTGCACATCTCCAAAGGCTGGGGAGATACAATACTCAATCTCTTCTAATTAGCCATTTTTTCATTTCAACTTCAGGCCAATAATTTCTTGGAGGGTAGAGAAGATACTGAAGTCCCTCAAGAGCTTCTGATTTAGTCAGCCTAAATTTCTGTTGACTTTAGAAGTTGAAAGGCTGAAATAGGAAGGAATAGGTTTGTTTAGGGGTAGATAGAAGAATGGATGATGAGAGGTTTGAAGGAGGATATGTCAAAGAATTCAAGGAAGGTAAAAGGAAGATTGAAGGTGGTGAGAGGAGAAACAAGAAACATGAGTAATAAGAAGGAAGACATCAAAGAGGCACCAGTATAGGGAGATGTTAAGTTTCTCAAAGATCTTTGAAGTTCCAAATTGTCCTTGAAAAATGCATACCAACAACAAGTTATGCAGAGTAAGCAAAGCCTAAAGTCTACAAGGGTTCAAGAAAGTGGGTTATGGTTGGCAATGAGACTTCCATGGGAGAGACAAGAATCCAAGTAAAGAAGAGAGAGGTGTCAAAGAGTTTCAGTGGATATTAGAGACAGAGATAGTGAGATAGAAAGATAGATAGAGATAGAGATAGAGTTAGATAGAGATAGAGGTGGATTAAGATAGAGATAAACTTCCTGACAGCCCAGAAAGATGGGAAAATTCCTGTTAAGGAAAAAAAGGTCTCCAACATAGCGAATCAGGAAATAATCTCCACTCAGGAAAGAGGCTAGAAAAAAGGGGACCCAGTCAATGGAGTCAGGGAAAACCCCACTCAGGGAGTAGCCAGAAAAAAAAGATGGTTAGCATAGAGAATCAGGGAAAAATTCTTACTTAAGAATAGACATCCAGGAGGAAAATTCAAGCCAAAAATATCAGAGAATGAGCCCCTCTTAGGAAGAAGGGTACACAACACAGAACATACAGGAATAATCTCAAACATGAAGCAAAGCTGACAAAAAAAGAGTTGCAGACTTGGAAATCAGGAAACAATTTCCAGTCAGATTAGAGAGCAAGGCAAGAGAGACTTGCAACCCCAGGGAGTCAGGGAATAAACATAAGAAAAATTATAACCTGGGAAAAGAAAATGTCACACTAGGAGACAGGGAATAATACCCAATAAAGAAAAAGAGCCAGGAAGATGAGATTTCCAACTAACGTATCAGGAAATAATCTTCAGAAAATTGGAATAATCTGTAATAAGGGAAGAACAAGTTAAGAAAAACAAAACAAAATAAGAAAATGTCTATCTCCTGGAGTCAGACAGTAATCTCTAGTAAGGGAAACACCAGGAGGAAAATACTTTCTGCACATTAGGAATAAATGCCACTCGGGAAAGACAGAGCCAATAAGAAGGAACTCCTACCTAAGAAAGTTAGAATAATCATTATTATTTTTTAAAGAGAGAGAAGTAAGGATTTTAAATGAACTAATGTTATAATCTTTATCAGGAAATAGAGTCATAAAGAAGAATATTGAGCCCAAATGTCAGATAAAAATTTGAAATCAGAAAAAAGAGTGAGGGAAGACAAACTTCTATCCCAGGGAGCCAGGAAATAATCTTCAATCATGAAAAGAAGTAGAAAAACAATCTTTCACCAGAGAGCTCATTTAATATTTATCTCAGAGAAAAGAACAAAGGGAAAAAAAAAGAAGTTCAGTCCAAGGATTCAGAGAATAATACTAATTTAGGACAGGGAACCAAGAAGAAGTGACTATGAACTCAGAATCACATGAGAATTATTCTCACTTAGGAGAGAGAGACAATCTAGTAGTCAGAAAAAATGTTACCCATTAACAAAGAGAACAGAAAGAAGAGATGTCTATCCAGAGAGTCAGAAAAGAGAGCTAATAAGTGACTTACAGCTCAGGTGCCAGGGAATAAACTCCATTTCATAAGAGAGCAAGAACGAAGGTCTTTCAAATCAAAAAGTGAGAGAATAATTGTTACTCAAGGAAGAGATCTGGAAAGACATGACGTCCAATCAGGAAAATAATTTCTTTTATGAAACAGAGCCAGGAAAAACAGGTTTTCACTCCAGGAGTGAGGAAATCTCTACACAGGAAATAGACCCAGGAATTTTTTTTTCCTGCTTAGCAAATAAGGCCAGAAATTTCCACACCAGGAGTCCAGGGAAAAGTCTTCAATCAGAAAAACAATCCAGAGGAAGAATAAGAAGAATTTTCTACCCCAGGAGGCATGGAATACATCACATTGAAGTACAATAGTCAGAAAAATAGAATACTATGCCAGAAATTGGGGAATAATTTCTATTCAGATGAGACATCCACTAAAAAGATATTTCTATCCCGTAAAGTCTGGGATTAATCACCAATAAAACAACAACAACAAAAAGATATGATGTTTAGCACAGAGTCAGAGAATAATCCCTATTAGGTAAGCATAGAAAAGGTAGAAGAGATTTTCACTCCAGGAGTCGGGGAGTAATTCCTACCAAGAGGTGATAGCAAAAAAAATGAAAAATAAAAAATAAAAAAAACACACACACACTTTAAGCTCAGAAAGTTAGGGAATAATCCCTGTTGTGAAAACAAAGCAAGAGAAAAAACAAAAAGCTTTTATCCTATGAAGTAAGAAAATAATTCCCTGCTCAGGGATATCAGGAAGTCAGGATTTCCTGACTTAAGCCCAGTCAGCCAGAAAATAATTTCTACTAGCAGGGGAGTCAGGAAGAATAGATATCCAACCTAAATGCAAGGAAATGGGTTTCCTATAAAGAAAGACAGCCATGAAGAAGAATGTTCCAGATTAGGAGTAAAGGACTAATGTTCACTGAAGAAAAAAAAAAAAAAGAGTTAAATAGAGCTGACTTTCACACCAGGCTTGGGAGAAACGTTTTGCATGCTTGGGAGAAAAAATACATTCCCCTCTTAAAAAAGAGTGCCAGGATGAAGAGAATTACAGCCCAGCGGAGTTGTAACTAAGGTTGTATTCCCTACTCTAAAGAAACAAACAAACAAAGAATACAGCTTGTGGAGCCTAAAGGGAAGGACATCAATCCCCCGGCCTTCTTCCCTGGCTTCCTTCAGTGATTAGGGAAAGCCTATTTTCTCTCCCTGGAAAGAGGTTTAAAGTCTTCAGGAGCAAGAAGAAAGGTCTCAGCACTTCCAGTCCCTTCTTCCCTAGTGTGCTTTAGTAATATATCTCTGAAATCTCTCCCTGGAAGGAGGCTAGAAAAATACTACTGAAAGACTAAATGAGAATAATGACAATCACTGTGCCGTCTTTCACTTCCTTCAGTGATTTCTGCAATTATTCTCTCAAAGTAGGCTGGAGACAGACCTCTATGAGCCAAACAGAGACAGACATCACTCCCTAAGACATTCTTCCTGACTTGCTCCGGCAAAATTCCCTGCAGTCTCTGTCTGGAAGGAGGCAGAGAGTCAGAATACTTCCAAGCCTAAATGAGAAGAACAGCACTTCCCACACTCACTTCCCTGGCTTGCTCTAATAGCAGATTTCTGCCATCACTCGCCAGAGAAAATCAGGCAGTTAGATCTCTGAAATCCTGAATGGAAGAGGTAGCACTCCCCTTCTGTCACCAGACATAGCAAGCTTGCTTCACAGGCTTGTTCTAGCAATAAATCCCTCCTGCTATTCTCCCTGGACAGATTTTTGGTGAAGTATAAATGTGACAGTGAACCCCTCTCAGGCCTTCTTGCTTTCTTCTCTGCCTTGCCACAGCAAGAAATCTGCCTTGCAGGTTCTTCCTGGAAGAAGCTTGTGCGACTTTGGCAATGCAGAAGGAGAAAGCAGGCAGTCTGCACTACCTTCTCCCTGGCTTGCTCTGGTGAGAAATCAATGTCTGTAGAACCTCCCTGGAAGTAGCTTCTGCATACATCATGCATCACAAATTTTACAGCCTGTATCTAAGGGACTGTCCTAAATTGTCTACTTCTGGAAGTGAATGGGACTCTGTATTCTGAGTCTCCTATATCACAGAGAACAAGATTGTCAAAGTTGTAAATATTCAGTGGCTATCTGTCCAGATTCAGAGTGAGCATAACGAATGACTGTACAGGTGTCAGTCATGGACACTATTCTTGGCATAAGGCAGAACTAGTTGGACATAAACTCTGAATCTAAGCTTGTCCACAAGCAATATACATCTAATCCCAAAACCTTTTACCTGCATATCATGGGGCTGGCTACTATCTTGCCTGTGTCAAAGGAATAGTATGATTTCACACATACTACAATCGAGGGGGGCATAAGAAGAAAGACAGTGAGTTGGACAATCACAGAATTGAGAAGCACCTGGAATCCCTGGTTGCACTGATAAGGAAATGAAATTTCCTACGTAGGATGAGTTAAGGACAACAGAGAAAGATGGTTGTCTTCACTGACTTGCAGAAACCAACTCATAGTCAAGAAAAATGGGGCTGGTGGTAGTGGTTACAGGAGGGCAGGGCAGTGAGGGAGTGCAGTGGAGAGGAAAATATGTTCTGAGGTAAAGAACAAAAGAAATAAACAGAACTGGACTCTGATAAAATGAAAGTATGTAATGTCCCTGACAGGGAAATCAAAACAGAAAGCTCTAAGGTATTACCAGAAGTCTGGACAGTAATGCATTTAAAAACTGAGAAGTTTAACAAAGAGGTAGAAAATATTTCAAGGTATCAAACAGAAATCAAAGAAGTGAAAAATACAGGAAGCTACATCAAAAATTAAATAGAGGGACCGAACAGTAAACTGGATCAAGCAGAATAAAGGATAAGCAAAATTAAGCCAAGTCTTTGAAAATAATCAAATTGGAGGATAAAAATGAAAGAGAAAAATAAGGAATCATGAAGACAGCATAAGGAACTTATGGAACATTATGAAGCAGGATGATAACATATGGAATACTATAAGGAGATAATAATGATAAAAGGAGAGAAAAATAACTGACATATATTTTTAAACAAATAAATAAAAGGCTGGGCACAGTGGGTCATGCCTGTAATCCCAGCACTTTGGAGGCCGAGGCAGGTGGATCACCTGATGTCAGGAGTTTGAGACCAGCCTGGCCAATATGCAAAACCCCATCTTTACAAAAATAAAAATACAAAAAAATTAGCCAGGCTTGGTGGTGGGGGCCTGTAATCCCAACTACTTGGGAGACTGAGCAAGGAGAATCTCTTGAACCCAGAAAGCGGAGGTGGCAGTGGACTGAAATCACTCCACTGCACTCCAGCCTGGGTGTCAGATCAAGACTCAATCTCAATAAATAAATAGATAGTAAAATAAAAAACAATAACGAAAGGATAAAGATGGCTGCTAGAGTCACTGAAGACTCACCTTGTCCACAAAGAAGGTCTGAAATAGCAAATAGATAACTATGCATTGAATCGAACATCTTTGGGAGAAGGCTGGAATTCAGCAGGGAAGTGACAGTGACTCTCTAAGACATGAAAACTGGGGATGGCAGCAGTATAGAGAGGGACCAAAGCAGCCAGCTGGAATTGGCTCAAAACCAAAAGGAATTCTCCACTGTGGGAGAAAGAAAGACTGCATTTGCAATCCTAGATGCAGAGAATCCCCTTGGCCCTGTGAGGACAGATCCTAAGCCTAATAACAGAGACCTGCCTGACGTCCACACAACTACACTGTCCCAGAGAGGGAACTCATGCAAGACCCGGTGCCCACAGAGGCCCACCCTGCTGGTGCATGGCCCAGTATTGAGGGTGATATTGAGCAAAAGGCTGTCTAGAACCTACATCAGAGAGCCTTTTGCCCAGGGGTCCAATATCCCCTGCATCTCCGTGTCTTGGGTCCTTGCTGACATGCCCTCTTGTCCACCCAGAGGCCTCAGTGTCATGATGTCAGCTGGATGCAGCAATGTGGTTGGGTCCATGGTGATGGAAATCATGCAGCATCCTATACCCCAGGGAATAGGCATTCCAGCATATTTGAGTGGCTGCGTCAAAACATAGGGAACAAAAATGTGTGATCCATAGAACGTGGGAAATACCTGCCTGAGGATGCTGCCACTGAGGCACCAACTTCTCCCAGCCCCTCAGCAGCAAGACAACCACACACCTGTAAGTGTCATGTCAGGTCCCACAACCCAGATCCTAAGCTGCTACTGCCAATATAGCCACCCACATGTACCACATGAGGGACTCAAGACTGACCCACCTAGCCCACAGGCACCACACTGGGGCCCTTCCATGCTGCCTGGGACCCCTAGGACTTACCTGTCCAATGCAGCTGCCACAGCTGCTGTCTACTGATGCTACCCAGGAGCCTGAATACAGGCCTACTCAGTACACCAAACCCCAGCAAAGTCTCACCCCAGGCTCTTAAAACAACTAAAATCTAAGCCATTAAGGCACCCTCATACATTTCTGATATTGAGTATAGCTAAAGAAATAATACGAAGACCATGCTATGCTACTTACCCAGAAGCAAAGTCAAAGTACTCTGCCCAATCAACATTATAGATGCATGTACAGGGAATAGTTTTGTTCCAGTGCTTTCTTTTAAGCTTCAGATAATATTCTCACATGGATATGCAGATTAACAGCCAGCAGAAGGCCTGCATGAACTCTTTTGCCTCTCTGGGGTTTTCTTTTTGTGTAAGTCCTCTTTTATTTTCTGGCATTTTGTTCTACAGATTCTAGCTTTCTTGATATAGTTGAACTCTGATTTTAGTCTTCTCAATCTAGTAACACCCCCTAAGTTATGGCCTGGTGATAAGTAGGGTTCATCCTTACACTGTCTTTGTTCATCTTTTCTGAGAAATTATTGTTTGGTGCTGCCTGGAATTGAATGTAGAAAAATCTTTGGTTCATATTTCTGTCTAGTTTTGTGGTTATTTAACCTGGGAGGGTAAATATGGTCCCTGCTACCTCATTATGGTTAGGGGCGTAACAGGACCATGGAAGGCTTTCAGAAGTCATTTTTGAAGACACAACGCAAATTCGGTTTGCATAATGAACTTAGATAAAATACAGCCAAGAAAATAATGTTAGCAGAAACCAGGCCTTACAGAAATCTTTTTAGCGAGTTATTATGCTCAGACTTAAAAGAATAAAAAAAACCAGACCAACGGGTAAAATATACATATTCTAACTTTAATCTGGGGTATTAGAATTATTCAGACAGTTGTGCAAATAAAATTCAAATATAGTTGAAACATTTGTATAAGCTGGTCTATATACTACTTTCTGTGTGGAAAGAATACATACGGATACAAATTTCAGAAAGAACATAAAAACTGGCATACTATGTTTTCAAAAAAAACCAGCATATTATGTTTTCAAAAAAACCCACATTTATTTTACTGTATTTTCCTTTTTTGGAAACAGATTCTGGATCTCTGGCCCACGCTGGAGTGCAATGGCGCAATTTTGGCTCTCTGAAACCTCCGCCTCCTGGAGGTGATCCTCCTGCCTCCCGAGTAGCCGGGACTACAGGCATACGCCACCAGACCTGCCAAAGTTGTTTGGTATTGTTAGTAAAGATGGGCTTTCGCCATGTTAGCCAGGCTGGTCTCATTTGAGATACACGTGCCTCAGCCTCCTAAAGTGCTAGGATTACAGGCGTGAGCCACCTTGCCTGGCAAAAAAATAAAAATAAAAATAAAATAAAGATAAAAATAAAATAATAATAATAATAATCCAGCAGGGCGCGGTGGCTCATGCCTGTAATCCCTGTCCTTTGGGAGGCCGAGGCGGGCGGATCACGAGGTCAGGAGATCGAGACCATCCTGGTTAACACGGTGAAACCCCGTCTATACTTAAAAAAAAAAAATACAAAAAATTAGCCAGGCGTAGTGGCGTGCGCCAGCAGTCCCAGCTAGTCGGGAGGCTGAGGCGGCAGAATAGCATGAACCTGGGAGGCGGAGCTTGCAGTGAGCAGAGGCATGCCACTGCATTCCAGCCTGAGCAACAGAGTGATACTCCGTCTCAAAAACAAAAAAACAAAACAACAAAAAAAACTACCAAAAAAAAAAAAAAAAGAAAAATGTGGATTTTTTTTTTCTTTTCTTTTCTTTTTTTTTTTTTTTTTCTTTTGAGACGGAGTCTGGCTCTGTCGCTCAGCCTGGAGTGCAGTGGCGTGTCTCAGCTCACTGCAAGCTCCGCCTCCCGGGTTCATGCCATTCTCCTGCCTCAGCTGCTCGAGTAGCTGGGAGTACAGGTGCCTGCCACCAGCCCAGCTAATTTTTTGTATTTTTAGTGGAGACGGGGTTTCACCGTGTTAGCCAGGATGGTCTCGATCTCCTGACCTTGTGATCTGCCCGCCTCGGCCTCCTAAAGTGTTGGGATTACCGGCGTGAGCCACTGTGCCTGGCCAGAAAAAAATCCACATTTAAAAAATATAGAATACAAATTATTATGGACATTACCATTTTTATATCAGTCACTTGAGAAATGGCACTTTTCTCAAATGAGTATTGTATATTGGAATCAATTTTGCAAAATCAGAAAATGTGATTTATTTCTGGGGATGCTAGGCATATTAGACATTTTTTCCAGTTGCATTTAGGTATGGGGAAAAAAGAGCTAGACAGAGAAATTCTGTGACTTAATCCAGCTAGTCTATGACTACACAGGACAAACCTATAGTCTGATACAATTGCATTGACTTGGTAGAGTAAGGTAGACCATGCCTGTGGGGCAACTAAAGTAATAAAAGGAGGTACTGTACGATTTATGGGAGAGGTGGTGAGTAGGTATTTAAACACAGCAGAGTTTCAATAGGTTCAAGGTAAAGGACGCCTATGTATTAAAGGTCAAAACATCATGTTTAGACTGTGAGAGAACCCAGTGTCTTTATTCCTTGTAGATCACAAGTTGACATTTGTGTGGAATTTTGAGTGCAAATGCCTGTTATTTGAAGCTATGCACCTAGGCTGGAAAACAGTTTTTCTTCTATGGAAAGTGACAAATCAGCCGGGCAAGAGTGCTAAGTTTTATCTTCACCGATAACATTTCAAACAGCAAATACTCTGTTTATAATTTTAGAACATAAAGTTTCTCAGTGAGTAAGAAAGCCGAAGTCATTCAGAGATGATAATTTTTGTGACCCTTTATAGCTGTACCCAGACTTTGGCAGAAATATTTATTTCCATTAAGTCGGGAGCTGGCTTTTCGGTTCTCCCCTCAACGTGATGAATTGAGGTGGTGGATTTTAACCTTTTCATCTTTGTTTTATTTTCTAACCTGTTAGAATTTACTTATCTCAGCATTATTGCTATTTCCAGTAACAAAGCTGAACTTGCTTGTTTATACTATATACAATTTAAAGTAAACTACCACGTTAGCCTCTATATTTGAAAGTAAAACTAAGTAAAATTTGGTCATTTTTATTACCGTGAGTGTCCATATACTTTTACTACATTTGTATGCAATTTAATGTAACTAGTTTAAATTTAACATTAGTATTAATGATATCCACTGTGGGTGCTCTTTTTTCTATCGGCTCTTTTTTGTGTGCACATTTAGGTGATTTCTTACATTTTGCTATTAAATATTGTTTCAGATAACTTTCTTCTGCACTCCTAGTTTCCTAATGTACAAGGAAATTTGTCAGTAGGGATTTTATATTGATAGTCATGCAGCAACACACATGTACACTTGTACATGTTTAATATAAACAGACCAGTTAGATAATATAAAGCGCAAAATAAAACAAGTAAATATTGCCCAGTTCTCAAACGATGAAGAAACTAGCCTTCATGGCAAAATCTTTAGCACGAAGTCATTTGCCACTCTACAAAATAAACAGAGGTCGGGAGCTGTGGCTCAAGCTTGTAATCCAGCATTTTTGGAGGCCAAGAAATTCAGATCACTTTAGGCTAGGACTTCAAGACCAGTCTGGCCAACACCAGGAAACCTGATCTCTATGAAAAATATGAAAATTAGCCAGACATGGTGGTGTACGCCTATAGTACCTTACAGTTACTTTGGAGGCCGAGGCATGAGAATCGTTTGAACCTGGTAGGCTGAGTCTGAAGTGACCTGAGATTGCACCATGCACCCTAGCATAGGTGACAGAGCGAGACTTCAACTCAAAAATAAATATAAATATAAACAAATATATAAATAATAGACATGGTATCCTTCACTTCAGGCAGTTATCATTTTTTTCTTCTTTTTTTTTAATTTTGAGACAGTGTCTCACTCTGTTGTCCACACTGGATTGCTTTGGCATCATCATAGCTCACTGCAGGCTTGAACTCCTGAGTTCAAATGCTTGGCCTCCCATTTGAGCCTCCTCAGTAGCTGGAATTACAGGCACACACAACCATGTGCAGTGTGTGTGTGTGTGTGTGTGTTTTGTTTGTGAACTATTCTTTTGAATCACATCTTTTTATAACCCAATCTTTTTATTCATTATTTTAGTTAAACTCTGTTTCAACTGCAATGTGCTTTTATATTAACTTTTTTTTCACAGGGTAGCATGGGATACACTTTCCGAGCTCTGGTATATGTAAAGTTGTCTTTCTACTAATTTTCCATGAGTTTGAAAATTTACGTGTATGAAATTTTTGGTCATGCCATATGAATTCTTTTTACCAAGAATTCTTTAGACATTGCCATATATTCTGGAGTTTTGTTTATAGAAGAGACATGTGTGGCCAATTTGACCAGTGACTTCTATTCAGGAAAATTCTTAATTTATGTTTATGCTATAAGATTTTTTTAACACACTAAATTAAAAAATTTGACCAGGATAAGCTCAATGCCTCTCTCAGTTTGTATAGGTGAGGTTAACACAAGACCATTGTGTACTGTGTTGTTTGTTTATGGCATTAATATACCTTGCTGAATGATCACTACCTGTTGACCTGCCTCCTTGCCTCCTCATAGAATGTAATGGAACCAAAAAAAAAAAAAAACCATTTTTAATCAAGCATATCTTCTAAAGTCAACCTGAGCCTTCCCAGTGTGGATTTCATCTTTGACCAAATTTTTCTAACCAACGTAGAGGACAGCAAGCGGGGGAACCAAGGAGATCAATCTCTGCCTCCTGTATTTTCGTGAAGTTAGAGCACCAATCTCTTTAACTGCTGTTCAGAGATATCCAAAATGCCACAGAAAGCCCAGAAGTAGTTTGTTTGTAGAGAAAGATACTTATCGTGACCAAGGGTAAGGAAGAGTTCTCTTCGCAGAACATGCAATTTAAAGGCTAGTTTGGTGCTTGATACACAGAGGACAATCACTCAATAAATGCTATTGGCTGACAAATAACCTGAAAAGCTGCCTGAATGCTCCTGGAATTAATGCATTCTTATCCCCCTTCAGAGCTGCCTGAATGCTCCTGGAATTAATGAATTCTTATCCCCCTTCAGCCTGTTTTTATGTTGGCATTTGAAGCATCATCTTCAGGCCTGTTTTAGATAAGTCATTTTGGATTCTTCTAGATCTTTAAGATGCCTTTTAATTTCATGGACCTTAAAGATTTGGGGTCAGACCACCAAAGATGATGAATGTGAATGGAGGAGCCATGGCTTCTACGATTTTAAATAACCTTTCTTCAAACTGGGTTGATAGTCACTGAGTACACAGAGAACTAAGCCATCTTTCTCCTAGTTGCAACTGATGTTCTGGATGCCCTGGTATATAGAAGATTCCAGAAAGCACAGAGTGATGGCCATTTCCTCTTCCCATAGGTGCCTCCACCTCCAGTCTTGACCTGTCATCTAATTTGTAGATGTATTGTGCGGTGTCACCAGAAAAGCAACATTACAGCGACTTCCCCTCTTTTGCATGTTAAGGTGAATTCTGTGTTTGTGACCTTTCTTGGATGTATGAAAATGGGGTAATAAGTGACAGGAGGGATGTTAAAAGGCAGCAAAGTGGGCTGAGTTTATTTACATGGGAAATGGCAGATAATTTTGGGTCAATAAGTATAGACTACAGACAGATAATATGGCATTAAAAATAAAAAGGAGCCACCAGAACAGAATTGGAAAGAGTTTCAAAAGGGGAAAAATGCTGGGTGCAGTGGTTCCCACCTGTAATCCCAGCACTTTGGGAGGCCAAGGTGGGCGGATCTGTAGGTCAGGAATTTGAGACCAGCCTGGCCAACAAAGTGAAACCCTGTCTCTACTAAAGATACAAAAAATTAGCTGGGCATGGTGGTGCGTGCCTGTAATCCCAGCTACTAGGGAGGCTGAGGCAGGAGAATTGCTTGAACCTGGGAGGCAGAAGTCGCAGTGAGCCGAGATAAGGCCATTGCACTCCAGCCTGGGTGACGAGGCGAGACTCCATCTCAAAAAAAAGAGCCTGGGAGGGTGGGGCAGGAAAGAGGGCTCAGTTCAGATAAAGGAGGAAAAAACTACAAGAGTAACTGTCATGTTCATGAGTTGCTGAGAAAGACAGGCAAGTGGGAAAAAGATTTTAATAAGCTTGCTCCATATTGAGAATGATCTAGGGAATTTTTCATAGTATTAAAATTGCTTTTCAAAAATCGCTGCTGAATGTCAGGTTGCTGCTCTTGCGAATGCCACACTGTGCTAAGCCTGGGCCATGAGGGAGCTCAGCTTTATAGGAATTAGAGAGGCTGTCACAGTTTCACCCAGTTCTACTCTACCAGCTAGAAATGTATATAAATGCATCATGTTGTTTTACTTGTCTCAACATTGCTTGATAAGAATTTCCTCCTTAAAACATAGCTCCACAGAATCTGAGAGCTGGGTAGGACTTCAGAGTCAATCAAAGCAGTCTGAATGCTCAACCCTAATGAACTTAATTTAAAAAAAGAAAAAGTAAAACCTTTTGTGATTTCTAAAGATTTTATTAATTTTAGAACTTGGGATATACTTGATATAGTTCGTTTTATAATAGACTATTTAAATTCTCAAACTCTCAAGTTATTGATAAACTTTTTTGGTAACAGCTTTATTGAGATATAATTCACATAGTGTACAATTTACCCATTTGAAGTGTACAATTAAGTGCTTTTTAGTATAATCACAGAGTTGTACAAGCATTACCACAATTTTAGAATATTTTCATCACTCCAGAAAGAGACCTCATAGTGTTTCACTATCACCTCTGAACCCTACTATCAACCTTTTCCGTAGCCAACCACTAATCTACCTTCTGTCTCTATAGAGTACCTGTTCTAGACATTTATACAAATACAATGATAATTTGGGGTCTTTCATGACTGACTTCTTTCACTAAGCATCATGTTTTCAAGATTTATTCATGTTGTAGTACATATCAGTGATGTTTATGGACCTTTTTTAGCCATATAGTATTCCATTGTACAGATCTACCACATTTGCTTTATTCATTCATCAATTGATGGGCACTTGGGTTGTTTCCAACTTTCGGCTATTTTAGCTATGATAAGTAATGCTGCTGTGAACATTCAGGTATACATTTTCATGTGGACATAAGTTTTTATTCCTCCTGGATATATACCTGGAATTGCAGAGTCCTTGAGCAACTCTATGTTTAACATTCTGAGGAGCTGTCAGACTGTTTTCCAAAGTGGCTGCACCATTTCCCATTTCCACTAGCAACATATGAGGGTTCCAATTTCCCCATATCTTCGCCAACACTTGTTTGTATCTGACTTTTTTGTTACAGCCATTCTAGTGTGTATGAAGTGATTCATTCTGGTTTTGATTTGTATTTCCATGATGACTAATGGTATCAAGCATCTTTATGTGCTACTGACCATTTGTATAAATAACAGAGAAACGTCTATTCATGTTTCTGCCCATTATTTAATTGAGTTGGTTCTCTTTTTATTCTTGAGTGGTATGAGGTTTTTATATGTGCTAGATACAACTCCCTTATCAGACATGTGACTTTCAAAAATTGGCTCCCATACCGTGGGTTGTCTTTTTTTTTTTTTTTTTTTTGAGATGGAGTCTCACTTTGTCACCCAGGCTGGAGTGCAATGGCAAGGTCTCGGCTCACTGCAACCTCCACCTCCCGAGTTCAAGTGATTCTCCCACCTCAGCCTCCCGAGTAGCTGGGACTACAGGCACATGCCACTGCACATAGCTAATTTTTGTATTTTTAGTAGAAACGGGGTTTCACCATGTTGGCCAGGCTGGTCTCAAACTCCTGACCTCATGATTCACCTGCCTCAGCCTCCCAAAGTGCTGGGATTACAGGCGTGAACCACTGTACCCGGCCAGGATGTCTTTTCAATTTCTTGATAGTGTCCTTTGGAGTATGAAAGTGTTTAATATTAATGAAACCCAATTGCTATTTTCTTATATGATTGTTTGTGCTTTTGCTCTATTTGGCCATTGCCAAATTGAAGGTCTTGAAGATTTACTTCTATGTTCTTTTCTAAGAGTTGTATAATTTTAGCTCTTACATCTAGGTCTTTGATCCATTTTGAATTAATGTTTGTACCTAGTGTGAGGCGAGTGTCCAACTTCATTGTTTTGCAGGTGGATATCCAATTGCCCTAGCACCATAAGCATCTTTCCTTATTGAATGGTCTTGGCACCCTTGTTGAAAATCAATTACCTATAGATGCATTGGTTTAATTTCTTGTCTCTCAATTCTACTCATTTATGGCAGTACTCTCTTGATTACTATTAGTTTATAATAAGTTTGAAATCAGAAGTGTGAGCTTTCCTACTTTGTTCTTTTTCAAGATTATTTTAGCTATTCTGAGTCCCTTGCAGTTCTGAAATTTAGACTCAGTATGTCAATTTCTACAAAGAAGCTAGCTGGGATTGTGTTAAATCTGTAGATCAATTTGGAGAGGACTTCCATCTTAACAATATTCCAGTCTATGGATATGGAATCTCTTTCAATTTATTGAAATCTTATTCAATTTATTTCAACAATCTTTTGTACTTTCCAGGGCACAGAAGTTTTGCACTTCTTTGTTCAGTATTTTATTCCTTTTGACGCTATTATAAATGTAATTGTTTTACTTTCCATTTAATATTGTTTGTGGCAAATGTATAGAAATATAATTAATCTTTACATATTGATATTATATTCTGAAATCTTGATGAACTCATGCATTAGGTTTTAAAGTGTTTTAGAGTATTTCTTAAAATTTTCTACATACATAATTATGTTGTCAGTGACCAGAGATAGTTTTATTTCTTTCTTCCCTATCTGGATGCCATTTGTTACATTTTCTTGATGAATTTCCCTGGCTAGAACCTCCAGCACAATGTTAAATAGAAATAAGAACAATATATCCCTGTGGGTTTTGTGGACGTCCTTTATCTGGTTGAGGAAGTTCTTTCTATTCCCAATTTGTTGACTGTTTTTATCAAGAAAGCATGTTGGACTTTGTCAAATATTTTCTCTGTTGAGATGATCACATGGTTTTTGGTTTTTATCATATTGATATGGTGTATTACATTAATTGATTTCAAATGTTAAGCCAACCCTGCATCCTTAGGATAAATCCTACTTCTCCATGTGCTTAATTCTTTCTATAGTTGCTGTTTTTTCTAGAATTTTGTTGAGGTTGTTTGCCTCTACATTCATAAGAGATATTGGTCTATGGTTTTCTTTTCTTTCAATGTCTTTGGCTTGGTATTACAGTGATATGAGACATAGAATGAACTGGGAAATGTTCCTTCCTATTCTACTTTTTGGAACAGTTTGTGAAGAATTGATATTAACTCTTCTTTAAATGTTTGGTAGTGATCCATTCATTTTCTTATTCATAAATATTTGTCCAGGGCCTCCTAGGTACAAGGTTCTATACCCTAAGGATATAGTAGTAAATAAGTTCCCACCCTCGGAAGGCTAACATTTTTGCCAACTTTCAGGGTTTTGTTTCGATACCTGAAACTTGAATATTTAGTTTATTTCTGCCCTTCCCCACGTTAACTTAAGATTTAATAACAACAAAACAAGTATAAGATAAGGACATAGATAAATTTAGTATTCTGATTCCCATGGGTTCCTTTTAGGATTTAGCATAAAATGAACTCTCTTACTCTTTCTTTCTCTTTTTCCTCTCTTCCCACCCCACATATACTCATTTTCTTTTTCCCTCTCTCTCCCTCTCGCTCTCTCTCTCCTTCCTAATTCCAAGCTCTACCTCCTGATCACTGCCTTGCCTCCTTGTTGACACTCTTGCAATCTAATACAGGATTTTTTAAAATATATAAGTACCTTACCTAAAATAATCCCTGCTACTGTGTAAACTAGCAAATGTGTCATCTTCCTTAGACTTCTCAGTCTTTGAGAAGTGATAAGGATTGCAGGTTCTACGGCATAGGGGAAGCATTCTTGGGTGTGTGTGGAGTGTAGAGGGGTTGCTTTATCACTCTAATCACAGCATCTTGACAGTTTCTACTACAGGCAGGACTTGTTCTGACCTTCCTTATACAGCTTTCCCCCGGGGTTATAAGAATGTTTGCATTCAGAACAAGATGTCTGTATCTCTGCCACAGATTCTGGAGATGGTCGATGCTCCCTGAGATTGCTGAGGATGAGAGGAACCCTTCAAACTGCATCCCCAGCAAAAGAACATGATTTTTCCCCATATAAGACACAGCAGAGAATTCAACCCCAGACAGCCACAGGGTCCCCTCTGACAGGCTGATTTAATACTCAAGGAAGATTCTTCTAGACAGTCTTATCATCAGTGCCTGAGAACAGACGCTTTAGAAGCCGACTCTAAGGAAGAAGCAAATCTCTACAGAATGGACCACTCACTGTTCTAGTAATCACAACTATAGAACCAGTACAATTCCTTCTCTGGTAATACATTCATTCACAGCCTTCAACAAACATTTGGTGACCGCTTACCCTATATCCAGGACTGTGTCAAATAATTATGAAGCTAAGTAAGAAAAGACTCTATTCTCCAAGAGTCTGAACTCAGTGGGGAACTCCCAGTCCAGTGTAGTATAGAGGACAAGGTACTCGCTCCCAGTTTAAGCTCCTCATGCTACCAGAGGACCTGGACAAAAAAACCTTATGATGGCCTGAGGTTATGTGTTACATTTAAAGTTTCAATACAATGTAATTAACACCATAATATAAACAGGAATATTTCAGCAAGCGTCTACGCATCCCAGAATTACAAAATAAAGTGAATAAATGTCTATGAGCACTTCTTTGTGCCAGGGACTATGCCAAGTGTTAAAACATGACATTGAATAAGACACAATCCTTTCCCTTTGAAAGGGATACATTTAGTTCAGTAACTCAAATAAGAAAGCAATTCTGTCAAAAGTGATAAACTTCTGAAAGAACCAAAGAAAACTATAAACCACAAGATTACTGTTACAAAATACACTAAAGCCCCTGTAAGGCACAACTTACTAATTAACAATGTTCCACAAAGACTCAAAGTCCCTGACAATCTTCAAATCAAGTGTCAAATTGCTCTCTTAATCGATTCGTTTTGTTTTGTTTTTGAGACAGAGTCTCACTCTGTTTCCCAGGCTGGAATACAGTGGCACAATCTTGGATCACTGCAACCTCCACCTCCCAGGTTCAAGCAACTCTCCCACCTCAGCCTCCCGAGTAGCTGGGACTACAGGCACCTGCCACCACACCTGGCCAACTTTTGTATTTTTAGTAGAGATAGGGTTTTACCATGTTGCCCAGGCTGGTCTTGAACTCCTCACCTCAGGTGTTCCACCTGCCTTGGCCTCCCAAAGTGCTGGAACTATAGGTGTGCACCACTGCGACTGGCTGATCTGTGTCTTTTTTAACCGAAAACATGACTAGAAAGATACCTTTCCTGGACCTTGGTATCACAAACCATTTAATATCTTTAATAAGGCAGAAAGCAATGTAAAATAAAATCCCCTCTAGGTCAAAACACATACTTAGCATAGATTTGTGTGGGTTTTTTTTTTTCTGATTTCCACTATTAGTTACAACATTTGCCTTGTGCCCACTCTGTAGCAATTGTACAGCAGAGCTGAGGACTTTCATAAGAGGAAGGGAAACATCCCAGTGATGAGGTCCCAGCCTTGGAGCAGCCCTGGATCCTGCTCCGGGAGTTTATGGTCTAGGATGGGAGTGAAGACACAGCTACAATATTTTAGGTAAAAAGTGAAGTCCTGATTAAACCCTGTTAGGGCAGGAAACTAACAAAGGAAGAAATAAGGTATGACCCAAACCATATTTTTTGTCTTTTTTCTTTTCTTGTCTTTTCTATTTTTTTGAGTCAGAGTCTTACTCTGTCACCCAGGCTGGAGTGTGCAATGGTGCAGTCATAACTCACTGCAGCCCTGAACTCCTGAGATCAAATGATCTCAGCCTCCCGAGTAGCTAGGAGTATAGGCGTCCACCAACATGCCCAGCTAATGTTTATATCTTTTGCAGAGACAGGGTCTCACTATGTTGCCCAGGCTGGTCTCAAACTACTAGCCTTAAGCAATCCCCCTGCCTTGGCCTCCCAAAGTACTGGGATTACAGGCATCAGCCCTGTGCCTGGCCCCCTATGATTAGAATATGTTTATTCATGTATTCTTATTAGTTGAGAACCCCATCTCCTATGTCAGAAGGCTACCCGATAAAAAGAAGATACTAAGACATACAAGATAAGCTACCAGGGATAGATACACAAGTTCTTCGGGGTGCTGGAAGGATTGTCCATCTGGGCTCAAGCAAGCACAAGCTTGGCAAAGAGAGATTGAGAAAGGTATCTGGACCAGAAACCACATCCTCTTAAGGTGGTAGTTCACCATTTAGGTGAAACTAGAGGGGAAAATGTCAACAATGCTAATGAACATTTCAAATGTACAAAGTGCTACTGCTCACCACCCTCCCTTGCTCAATCCCACACACCCCTCTCCCCAGCCACACTGGGACCTTCTGGCTCCTGGATGTGACTAGGTTCTACTTCAGGGTCTCCACATATGCTGGACCCTCAAGTGGAATATTCTTTCCCCTTCTCTCCCTTGGGTAATGGCTACTCATTTTTCAGACGTTAGTTTAAATGCAACTTTTCAAAGCTCCTTTCTCTGAGTCTTCATTCTACAAAAAAATGGTTCTGTTGGCCTCTCTCATGTAAGCAAACTTTACATACATTTGCTTCAGAGCATTTTTCGCAGTCTGTGGTTATATTTTTGTATTTAGATTTTAATCTGTCCCCACTACTAGACTACCTAAATGAGGGTGAGAATCACATCTGTTCACCACTGTATACCCAGTGCCTACCACATAGTAAGGTGTAAAAAGTTACATGATGCTAAATGGATTTCAAGTGCAAGAGAGATTTTCATAGGTCAGAGCTAAGACCAATGGAAATAAGACTGTACCAACACTATAAAAAAGAAATTCTTATTTCCTTATTAGCATCATAATCAATATATTTGTAATATAAATTAATTATAATGTATTTCTAAATTATATGCCCTAATCATTATGCTAAGTAAGGATCTTGCCATGTCAATACATAATGAGATCTCAGACACCAACAGGATTTGAGAGGAAGCAAGGTGATCCCCTTGATTCCGAAAACAAGAGGGTGTTGGGCATTGCCGTGTATTAACTACTTTGCTAGATGTTGAAGATACAAAAATAAATAAGAAAATATTGATGATCCCAAGGAGCTCCTCTTTCATCATCATTCTTTTTTTGGTGTTCTTTTGTTTTGTTTTGAGATGTAGTTTCACTCTTGTTGCCCAGGCTGGAGTACAATGGTGTGATCTCAACTCACCACAACCCCCACCTCCCAGGTTCAAGTGATTCTCCTGCCTCAGCCTTCTGAGTAGCTGGGATTACAGGCATGCGCCACCATGCCTGGATAATTTTGTATTTTTAGTAGAGACGGGTTTTCTCCATGTTGGTCAGGCTAGTCTTGAACTCCTGACCTCAGGTAATCCACCACCTCTGCCTCCCAAAGTGCTGGGATTACAGGTGTGAGCCACCGCACCTGGCTGGTGATCATTCTTAAAGAAAGCATTTAGACTAGAAGATCTATAATAATCCAGACAGAAATTTGTTGATCAGGTTATAGAGGTCACCTAGCAAACACCATTGGGACTGACCTGCAGACAGGTCCACTGTGATGGGCAATGAGAACCTTCAAACAGCATCTTCTTGGCTCCCCCATGCCTGTCCAGCAACAGCACTTTAGGTGTTATGAGTTGATAGATGATCTCTGAATTGAATAAAAGGCATGCATCTGGAAGTAGATGGCCCCAGATAAAGCAATTCTGTGAGGAGACCTCAGAGATGCAAAACAGTCCTTGCCTTCCCCATGAAGAGAGGGTTCCAGAAAGAATATATTAGTATGCAGGGGCTGTTATAACAAAGCACCACAGCCTGGTGGACTTAAACAACAGACATTTGTTTTCTCATTATTCTGGAAGGTAGAAGAGTGAGATCAAGGTGTTGGCAGGGTTGCTTTCTTCTGAGACCTCTCTCCTTGACTTGCAAAGGGTCATTTTTTTCCCTGTGTCTTCATATGGTCTTCCTTCTATAGGTATTCATGTCCTCATCTCCTCTTCTAAAAAGGATGCCAGTCATATTGAAATAAGGCCCCATCCTAATGCCTCACTTAACCTTAATTACCTCTTTGAAGACTGTGTCTCCAAATATAGTCGCATTATGAAATAATAACCCCTAGTAAGGGGTTGGGGCTTCAATATATGAATTTGTGGGGGAGCACAATTTAGCCCATATCAGCAAAGAAGCAGAATATTGAAGTCAAATTGCCCGTATTTCACAATTTTCACTTTAAAATCAACTTAGTCCCCTCTCCTTAGTCCTGTTCATATTAAAATGCCACCGTCCAGAAAAGAAAAACAAAAAAAACCTGATGCAGCAATGAGCTCATACTTACATTCACTAGGAAGGTGGAACACATTAAGCCAGTAGCTCCCAACACCTGGCTCATCAAAAGAAGCTCTTAGGATGAATTTTTTTTAATCTAGATTACTGGGCCCCATCATGTTACCAAAATATCAGAGGTTCAGTCTAGGTCCTACTGCTTGTCACACAGAAAGCCAATCGATCACTAACACAATGAGTATTTCTAAGAAGAAGGCTTTAATCGGGTGCTGCAGCCAAGGAGATGGGAGATGAGTCTCAAATCCACCTCTTTGACTGATTAACATCAGGTATTTATATAGCAGGGAAGAAATGTAACCATGCAGGAAAACAGGAAATAGGGAGAGGTAAGAAGAAGGAGTTGGTCAATAGGAAGCACGTAGTCAGTTAGGCAGTCATGAAGGGTGAGGGTTCTGTCATCTCATTGTCCAGATGCAGTGATCTGGTAAGCTTCAGTTCCTTGATACTATCTGAGAGGCTGAATAGTTGGTTTCCTGAGAAAGGAACTCAGATAAGACAAATGCAACTTTCTCAAGTTTCAAGACTAGGAGTGTCAATTTCCATGTTTATTCAAAAGAAACCATAAAAATCAGCTTGATGGGACAACTGGGTCAGTTTCAGTCATAAACCAATGAGGCCAGGCGCGGTGGCTCATGCCTGTAATCCCAGAACTTTGGGAGGCCGAGGCAGGCAGATCATCAGGTCAGGAGATAGAGACCATCCTGGCTAACATGGTGAAACCCCATCTCTACTAAAAATACAAAAAATTAGCCGGGCGCAGTGGCAAGCACCTGTAGTCCCAGCTACTCAGGAGACTGAGGCAGGAGAATGGCATGAACCTGGGAGGTGGAGCTTGCAGTGAGCTGAGATAGTGCCACTGCAGTCTGGCCTGGGCGAAAGAGTGAGACTCTGTCTCAAAAAAAAAAAAAAAAAAAAAAACCAATGAATTAGAAATATCTAGTGAATCTGTATTTCTCTAAATCTCCTCAAATGTTTCTAGTAATTAGTAAGGTTTGAGAACCACTGCTTTTGACTTTCTGGCAAAACTAATAATTGTTTTCATGGAAAAAAAGTGTGTCTTGCCACTTCCATATTAATTCTCCCCCGTCCCCCTACCCCTGCTAAGGAAATTCTGCATATTATAAGTCATATATAAATATTTGGATTGAGCTTTACCAATAAGCTTGCAAATAAAGTTGAGGCTAAAACTTAAAGAATTTACATGCATTCATCCAATCATTTATTAGAATCATTTAGCTACCAACTGTTGGTGAGTACTCACCACATGCCAGGCTGGATGCTAGGTGCTGGAGATGGTGTAGTGGACACAGTGTGGTCCCTGCCTTTGGTCCTGCTCTTGTATGTTTCTGTGTATAAAGTCTCCCACTTTCAGAGGAGGCAATGGGATTCTTCAGCTTCTGGCTGCTGTCTGAGGTTTAGACTCATCAAGGTGAGGAATGTATTTGTTGCCAGGCTGGAGTAGGGAGCTTCTCCTGAGGGTTGTGGCCCAATTGGAAAGCCAGCCACAAATCATGCTCAGATTGACAGTGCTCTTAAAAATAAATTATCTCCTGGTCTTATGCCACTGATGGTCTTGTCAAGAAGGACATTAATCCTATTCTCCCTTAATCACATACCAGGGTTGCATACAAGCCAACTGAGACAAAAAAGGTACCTATACAGCTGGACATAGTAAACTGTTTAAATGACAGCCCTGGCTCAAACAACTTTTCCAGGATGTGAGTGTGTGTGTGTGTGTGTGTATGTGTGTGTGTGTGTGTGAGAGAGAGAGAGAGAGAGACAGAGAGAGAGAGAGATTGAGATTCTCACTGGCATTTGCAGATACATTTCCAACTCAGTACTAAGGGTAACAAATAGGCCTGGCCTGTTGGCTCAAGACTAATAGTAAGGACATGGCATTTAGCCGAGCTTAATTCCCCTGCTTGTTTTCTGGCTATTCAAAGATAGCTCCAGTGTCCAGACTGCAGCAGTCTTTGCTCCTCTGTTAAATACAATTGTGCCAATTGCCAAGGACACTAAGATATTCTTGATTCTTAAAGACACCAAGCAAGTGTGAAGGGGATGATGAAATACAAATTAGCTTCATCTAGGATATTGCTCTTTAGGCCGGCCTTCCTATTAGTTAGTTGGGAGAATGCAGATTGCCTTGTGGTTTGAGACCTGTTATTCAGTCCAGCTGGTGCCCAAATCAGGAGATTCTTTGGGACTAAACAAATGAGACTTGCTCACTCTTATCTTGACCTCATGTTTATTCCTCAGCTCTTCCCTTGTCATGCAAAGTGGATCCTATTTTTCTAGGACTATATTCCAAACTGCATCTGCTTTAGAACCAAGTAAGTCTCTCGCATTCCCCCTCCACTCCTTGCAATAGTTTTCCTTGCCTCTCTAATGTGCATATCCCCTTCAATTACATGACTGGACCAGGAAAAATCTACTTAGCCTGAAGCCAATGACTCCAGATGATCATAAATAAACACCAGAAATGCTAAAGTTTTCCCTGCATTGGCCAAGAGCT
The DNA here is from genome assembly GCF_000001405.40 of Homo sapiens. Classification (NCBI taxonomy): domain Eukaryota; kingdom Metazoa; phylum Chordata; class Mammalia; order Primates; family Hominidae; genus Homo; species Homo sapiens. The sequence goes on from NC_000024.10 coordinate 25,302,108, forward strand.
CTTTATTTCTGCATGCTCGATGGAGCAGAGAAAAATGGATTAGAGCCTGGAAGAATGTGAGTGTAACTATTGTTCATTGATGATCAGCTACTGCTGTGTTTTCAATAAAAGGGTGAGTCTCCTCTCTCTGACCCTAATTTGATTCAAATATTTTTACTCTCTAGATGAACAATTTGAGTGAATGTCAGCTCCCATATCTGGGGAGAGAATTGGGGCCTGAGATAGATTAGGATATTCAGTTCTCAACTTACCCCAGCAAGTTCTGACAATACTGTACCATCAGACGTAAACCATTTTAAATTCCCACTTATTCTCTGCAGAACCTGACTCTCAAAGGTAAATTACAGGAATAAAGAGCCATCCACTGGAGGTAGGAAGTGGGAGATTAATAACAAATAGAGAGCATAAAGACTAGTTAAATTTATTTATTTTTAATCTAAGTGTTCCTTTTATTATCAGATGTGGAGCTCAGGAGAATAAGGAGGTCAAAAAGGTAGAGAGAATACACGTGGCTGAGATTATATAATGCCATTCTAACAAAGTAATAAAAGTGTCATAAACTCCCTGACATTTAATATCCTAAGGGACAGCTAGCAATCTCAAGGACTAAATAGCTTAGGAAATTTCCTTTAGAGATAAAGAGTGTGTCCTCAATCAAAGGGCTGTGGACTCAGTCACTCATTCATATTTTAAGATGACATAGGATGATTTGCTTACAAATTGAGAAAACAAACCATATCTGCATGTGCCAGCTTCGAAGCAAAACTGGGAAAACAAATCTACCTATACTGGCCATTTTAAATGCAATAAAAGCTTTCTGATTAAGGTTTGTGGATTTCCTTCCTTGTTTTCATCACAAAGAAAAGAGAAATGGAAAGGAGAGAAGAAAGGCAAAGCCCACTACTCTTTGAAATACAGATCATGATGCCCACAGAACCATATTTTTCTTGGATATGTACATTTTTATACAACTAAGCATTCCTGGATTTGGGCTCTTTTAGGAAATGTATCCAACAACCTGATCACTAGCCAGAAACCATAGAGTGAATGTTATAGAAGCTGACCCATATATTTCCAAGGTACCTTTAAAATACATCTTTTTTAAAGATGATCAGTTCTTTTGGTGATTCACGTAGCTGGGCAATGGTCCAACTTCACTGTCTAATGTCTTTTTCCATGAACAGTTTCTCAGCAGTGGTCAGATAAATAACATTGACCACTCAATGCTCCACTTTAGTTTAGGACATTGAAAGCCACAAGAGAATGTTACTACCACCTCTACAACCAGAACAAGTGAAAAGGTCTTCAAGAGAATAACATTTTTCAGGTCCTCAGAGAGCTGAGATTATAAAGTAACACATTGAATTAAACTCATGCTACTCCAAAGAGAGAGGAACATACAACCTTTTCATTCGCAACTTGTAGGCCAAAAGCAGACATAATCTCCAAAGGGGGAAGAATCTGACAGGATTCATCAGCATTTCAAAACTTCCTATCATGCTAAACCAATTTAAAAATGCCTATTAGATGGCCAGGAACAACAGTTTATGCCTGTAATACTAGTACTTTGGAAGGCTGAGGCAGGAGAATCACTGGAGGCCAGGAGTTCAAGAACAGCCTGGGCAAGATAGCAGATCTGTCTCTACAAATAATAATAAAAAAAAATTAGCCAGGTGTGGTGATGTATGCCTACAGTCCTAGCTACTCAGAAGGCTGAGGTAGGAGGATCCCTTGAGTCTAGGAGTTTGAGGTTACAGTGAACTATGATTGTGCCACTGCACTCCAGCCTTGGTGACAGAGAGAGACTTTGTCTCTAAAATAAAAAATTTAAAACCCTGTAAGTCACTTAATGATTATTCACAAATAATTAATAATAATGACTAGTGTTTAGCATGTGATATGCTCAACTTCATATACCTTCTAACTCTTGAATCAAATACTGCCATTGAAAAAATTTTTAATAGATAAATAACCCAAGGCTTAGCAGAAGTGAAATAATTTGCTCAGAAACTATTTTACAAAGCTTTTAGCCCAGACCAGGATACTCTTCCACTGCTGTTTGTGATCTGAATGAAAATCAGGAGGTGCTTACATTGCTAAAATTTTCTGAATATCTGAGGCAGATTTTCTTTAAGTCCCAAGGCATCATTGTGACATTCCCAGGGAAATGCAAAAACCTGAAGTTTTAAAACATATGCATACTTTCAATTTAACTGCCCCAAATCATCTGAGTTGATTATGAAACCAGCCCAATATCCCCATAGAACTGAAGTTTATGGGTTAAAAAAAATAAACATAGAAATAGACCCCTCTGGTCTTAAAACCTGAGAAACTTACATTTGTCTTATCTGAGTTCCTTTCTTAGGAAACCCACCATCAGGCCTCCCAGATAGTATCAAAGAACTGAAATTTATTAGATCACTGCATCTGGACAATGAGATGCCAGACCCCTCCCTAATTCCTGTTCACCTACACATAGTTCCTGTTGACCAAATCCTCTTCCTTACCCCTCTCTAATTCTGTTCTTCTACATGCAGTTAAATTCCTTCACTGCTGTATAAACCCCTAATTTTAGTCAGTTGTAGAGATGGATTTGAAACTGATTTCCCATCTTTTTGGCTGCAGCAATCAATTAAAGTATTTTCCTTGGCAATATTCATTGTCTCCATGATTGGCTTTCTTCATTATTATTTTAATCTATTCATTTATTTATTTTGAGGCTGGGCTATGAGACTGGCTGATTTTTGTATTTTTAGTGGAGACAGGGTTTCACCATATTGCTCAGGCTGGTCTTGAACTCCCGGGCTAAAGCGATTCACCTGCCTCAGCCACCCAAAGTGCTGGGATTAAAGGTGTGAGCCACTGCACTTGGCCCCAGTGATTGGCTTTCTGTGCAAAGAGCAATAGGACCTAGATCGAACCCCTGACCTTTTGCTAACAGTTATTTAAATTCTCAAAGGAATTGTGCAGGGAAATTAAAGATATGCAAAGACTAAATGTTGCTTGAAATAAATATTTAGATGCCTAAGCCCCTCACTGCATAATCACTCTTGACTTTTTTTTCCTTAGGTGGTATATATATGAAATTATTATAAAATATATTATAAAAATTAGAATTTAAAATGTAAATATTCATTCCATGCATGCTTTGTTCAGGAATGTTACAATGATTTAAAACTAGAATAATCTACATCATCAATAGTATTTAACATGCTACTTATAAAGGCTTAATATTTAGAATTCAACCCAATTTCTATTTCAACATGGTAGACTGAGGTGGTATCACTTGCTCTTCTCATTTAAACAAGCTGTAAGAAAGGCTGTTCAAAGGGGAAAACTTACTTCCTAACAGATAAAAGAGTCTTCTGTGTCTCAACCAGCCATAGTGGCGGCTCATGCCTGTAATCCCAGCACTTTGGGAGGCTGAGGCATGGATTACCTGAGGTCAGGAGTTCGAGAACAGACTGACTAATGTGGTGAAACCCTGTCTCTACTAAAAATGCAAAAATTAGCCAGGCATGGTGGCATGCCCCTGTAATCCCAGCTACTCAGGAGGCTGAAGTGGCAGAATTGCTTGAACCCAGGAGACTGAGGCGGCAGTGAACTCAGATCACATCACTACACTCCAGCCTGGGCAACGGTGCAAGATCCTGTCTCAAAAAAAAAAAAGTATTCTGTGTCTCTTTGAAACTCTTTGTGGCTACATATTTCCATTAGTTTCATAACAGTTTCCCATTCTTCGCTGAGAAGCACGGGCTCAGAGTGTGACCACACCAGACCAATCTGGCTCAGCTTTCATGTCACAATGTTGTAGTTGCTTTTCAGTTGCCATAAAGCACAGATTGAAGGTCACATAAGCTGAGCATGCCCAGATGAACCAAGTGTGCAACCACAGGGGGAAACCTAAGAGCTCAGACTGAGGGGAAGGGACTGAATTAAGAAGTGGATACAACATGGTAGGATCCAGGGTCTACTTAGATCAAGCTCTGGCATCACCCCATGACAGGTTCCAGGCAGATCCTACCTCCCAGCATCATCTCAAATCTCATTGCAAGATCCAATCAGATCACATCTCATCACCTTATGCTTATAAACCCAACCCAAACCCCAGCACAGGGAGACAGATTTGAGTATTTCCTCCTGTCTGCTTGCCAGGTGAGTCACAATAAAGCTTTTCTTTTCTCAAAAGCTGGTCCAATGGTATTAGCCTCTCTGCACCTTGGACAGTGAGCTCATGATTACTCAGTAATGAGAGGACTTAACTAAGAGTTACTCAGAACATGAGCCATCCCTGCCATGAACTACCTAGAAAGATGATGTTGATGGCAATGATGATGATGATGGATAATTGTGAAATAGTCACTAAGTGGCTGGGACGGTGCCTCACGCCTGTAATTCCAGCACTTTAGGAGGCCGAGGCAGGGAGATCACTTGAGGCCAGGAGTTTGAGACCAGCCTAGTAAACATGGTGGAAGCCTGTCTCTACTAAAGATACAAAAATTATCTGGGCGTGGTCGTGGCACTTGTAGTCCCAGCTATTTGGGAGGCTGAGGCACGAGAATTGCTTGAACCCAAGGGGCAGAGGTTGCAGTGAGCTGAGATCACACCACCACACTCCAGCCTGGGCAACAGAGTGAGACTCTGTCTCAAAGAAATAAATAATAAAAGTAAATAAATAAATATATATATTCACTAAGTGTTTTATGTTAGATTATCTGGTTTAAAAGTCACAACATCTTTCTAAGGAGGATATTATTATTGTTGTTATTCCAACTTTATAGATGAGGAAACAGCGAAAAGATCTAAAGTCCTTTGCCCAGGACCACATAGCTAGAGAGTATTAATACCTGGAGGCAAACCCAATAATCTGATTCCAAAGCCATGTCCTTTTCTCCGTTGTGCCTCTGCGCCACTAGAGCTTACCATGTTATATAAAGTCTCTTGGACTCCTAGTCATAACTTGTTAAATGAGACCTTTAGTCTACTGGTTTAAGATTCTGGATTCTCACAAATTCCACCCATGGAAATAAAGTGTGTGGATACATAAAATGCACTGGAATACTCCTCACTTCTACACAATGTCAATGTATTAATTAGCAAGTGCTTATTGCACGGTGGCAGACTTTAGCTGGGTGCTAAGGTATGCTACTACTTCGCGTTTTTAGCATCTGCTTAGAAATACTCATTTTACTGGGCCAGGCACGGTGGCTCATGCCTGTAATCCCAGAACTTCGGAAGGTCAAGGTGGGCAGATCACTTGAGGTCAGGAGTTTGAGACCAGCCTGGCCAACATGGTGAAGCCCTGTCTCTACTAAAAATACAAAAATTATCCAGGCATGGTGGCGCATGCTTGTAATCCCAGCTACTCAGGAAGCTGAGGTGGGAGGACCGCTTGAATCCAGTATGTGGAGGTTGCAGTGACCCAAGACTGTATAGCTGCACTCCAGCCTGGGCAAAAGAGCAAGACTCTGTCTTAAAAAAATAATAAAAAGAAGTATTCATTTTACTATTATTCTATAAATTAGAAGTTACTTAGAGATACTATTTGAAGCAAGTTGTTGTCATCAAAACAATACTCAGGCTCTCGACCTTAGCGCCATTTTCTTGGAAACCTCTGCGCCATGAGAGCCAAGTGGAGGAAGAAGCGAACGCTCAGGCTGAAGCGCCAAAGAAGAAAGATGAGGCAGAAGTCCAAGTAAACCGCTAGCTTGTTGCACCGTGGAGGCCACAGGAGCAGAAACATGGAACACCAGACGCTGGGGATGCTGGTACAAGTTGTGGGACTACATGCTACTGCCTAGAGCTTGTCTCAATGGATCTAGAACTTCATCGCCCTCTGATCGCCGATCACCTCTGAGACCCAACTTGCTCATAAACAAAACTGCCCATGTCGGTCCTCTGCCCTGGACCTGTGACATTCTGGACTATTTCTGTGTTTATTTGTGGCCGAGTGTAACAACCATATAATAAATCACCTCTTCCGCTGTTTTAGCTGGAAAAAAAAAAAATACTCAGACACTCAGATCTTCAATGTCAGAATTTTTAAAAACATGACCATGTTCTTTTACAAAAATTCATGCTCAGTTATCAACTGACGTCTGATCTCAATTCGTACAACCAACTACCCTAAACTGCCTCACTTTGGATTATTTTTAAGCAAACCCCAGATATTAAATCATTTCATGTGTAAATAACTCAGCGTGTGTTAACAACTCAAGGAAAAATTCCACAGAACCAGAATCTCATTATTATACTTTTAAAAAAGTATTAATTTGTTACTATCAAATATTCAGTTAGCATTCCAATTTCTCTGATTGTGTCCTAACTTTTTTTTATACTTTGAGCATCATGTTGTTCTTTGTCATAATTAAAGGTTATCGTTTCCCAAAGTGTCTTCCTTGAGATGTTAAGTGATGTTATGCAATTTTTACAAAACATCTTGTGGGCCAATAAATTTAGAGGACACTGAAGTAAAACAGAGTTAAACAGATTTCTCACTGTAGGACTTTTTTTTTTTTTTTTTTTTTTTGAGACAGAGTCTCGCTCTGTCACCCAGGCTGGAGTGCAGGGGCGCGATCTCAGCTCACTGCAAGCTCCGCCTCCTGGGTTCACGCCATTCTCCTGCCTCAGCCTCCCGAGTAGCTGGGACTACAGGCGCCCACCACCGCGCCCGGCTAATTTTTTGTATTTTTAGTAGAGACGGGGTTTCACCGTGTTAGCTAGGATGGTCTTGATCTGCTGACCTCATGATCTGCCCGCCTAGGCTTCCCAAAATGCTGGTATTACAGGCGTGAGCCACCGCGCCCGGACTCTCACTATAGGACTTTCTTAAGCCTTCGATATATTAGTGTGCATTGAGACCTTCAACAGAGGCACTTGGTATGCAGCTTTTCCCAAATCAGTTTGAACATAAATTTTTTTTCTGAAACACACCTTAGAAAATATTGCCATGGGCAAAGATTTTTGTCTCAGTTTTCTTTTCCTTGTGTGAAATTTAATGGAGTTCATTTTGTCCTCCTAGAAATCTCAATGGAGACCAGTTTCACCTGTACACAGCCTAAATTCTGTTAATGAAGGGATTGTTTCAGAACAATGGTTACAGGGTTAGCATGTGAGTAGAGCAATGGCCACCATATTTTCTGCAAATAAAAGTTTAATATATGTTGGATTGATACATGGTTTGAATACATGACTTAGCAAAAATGCACAATATTTAAATCAGCACTATTCTTAGAATTTAGCACGTGTGATCAGGCTTTTGGATAAAATGGGCTGTTCTTTACCAGGGAAAACAGCCCATTCTTGCTATGCAACAACTTGCGTAGTGACTATGCTTTCCAAAACTGATAGAACATAGTGTATGAAATAGGATTTCTGTATCACAAGGGGCTAGAAGTAAGCGATCTGAGAAATATAGATTTAATTCCAAAAGTAAGAAATGTCTAGGACATTTTATCGGTTTATAGACATAACAAGGCAAAACATTTGCAATTAGGTGTCTCTAAGAGGTTTGAGATGTGCTATCTTTGAACGAGAAATGGCCGCATAGACTTATCTAGTTCAAGCACTGGATTTTCAGTTTCTCTTGAGGTACATGTTCTATGTCTAGTGCTCACTCCATAATCCTAAAACCAATACTATAGAGAAAAAGTGGCTCAATTTATGTTTCAAAATGAAAGCAGCTATACTGGCAGAGGACAATGATTTCCCATCTCCAATGAGGGACAGGGAGAAAATGGAAGGCTGAAACAATATTATATTAGGATTACACTGAGTTGGCCCAGGCGACCCTAACTTTTCTATAATATCCCCAGGATCATACCCTCCGCCAGGGCTAGTCTTTGAAATGTCCCTATCTTTTAATCTACAACAGTCACCATCCCCTATGTAATGAGAATGATGCATATCTGCCCAGGACCTTTCCAAAGCCTGTATCTTTTAGGACAGTCATGAGTGCAGTAGCCCAGGGGTTATGTGTTGTTTCAGGATTTTACTTAGCTAACTTGCTTTCGCTTGGGCAGAAACAGCAATCAAATTAAAATGAGTGATGCTGATTGGGAGACTGGTTGATTTCTATTTTCTTTTGCATCAACTGCTCTGAGAGCAAAGTTAGAAAAGTTTGTTTTCGCTGGCAGGCATCGGGAACATGACTGCAATTACCACCCTCTCATTTTCCAAGCTAAGGCTATAAAGAGTGAAGAATGACAATGTCTTCTTCAACTGCAGCCGCATTTTTTGAATTGCTGGTCTGTGTAAAATTTCTCTATTGCCTCTAGTTAAGGACCAGGCACCTGTATTGAGGCATTAGCACCAGGCTTGGCTACGGAGGTACAGAGTCAGGCCCTAGACCTTCAGGGGTTTGTAGTCTAACTGGAGAGAGATGGCTAAATTATCAATCATGGAGCATGTGGTCTCCTTTCTTTTCAACTTTTTGTTATGAAAAATGTCAACAGTCAGAAAAGCTAAAGGAATATACTGAGCACCCACATACTCACCCCTTCAATTAAAAAACTAATAGCTGTGATTACTTGCTTTGTCACTGTGTGTGTGTTTGATATTTTGAACAACTTGAAAGTAAGTTGCAGAGATCATGACACTTAAAACCCCTAAATAATTTGGCCACATCTCTTTTTCTTTTTTTTTTTGAGACGGAGTCTGTCTCTGTCGCTGAGGCTGGAGTGCAGTGGCACAATCTCAGCTCACTGCAAGCTCTGTCTCCCGGGTTCACGCCATTCTCCTGCCTCAGCCTCCCGAGTAGCTGGGACTACAGGTGCCCACCACTACGCCCGGTTAATTTTTTGTATTTTTAGTAGAGACGGGGTTTCACCATGTTAGCCAGGATGGTCTCGATCTCCTGACCTCCTGATCCGCCCGCCTCGGCCTCCCAACGTGCTGGGATTACAGGTGTGAACCACCGCGCCCGGCCCACATCTCTTAAAAATCAGAACATTCTCCTATCTAACCAGAGTACTACTATATCTAAGAAAATTTTAACTCCCTAATACCATTAATATCCCATAAACATTCAAATATTCTAACTTGTCCCCAAAACATCTTTTGGTGCTGTTTTGTTCTAACCAGAATGCAATTAAGGTTTACACATTGGATTTGGTTGTCATGTTTCTTTAGTATCTTTTTTTTCTCTTTTTTTGAGACAAGAGTCTTGCTCTGTTGCCCAGGCTGGAGTGCAGAGGCACAATCTCGGCTCACTGCAAACTTTGCCTCCTGAGTTCAAGCGATTCTCCTGCCTCAGCCTCCAGAGTAGCTGGGATTACAGGCGCCCACCACCACTCCTGGCTAATTTTTGCATTTTTAGCAGAGACAGGGTTCTGTCATGGTAGCCAGGCTGGTCTCGAACTCCTGACCTCAGGTGATCCACCTGCCTCAGCCCCTCAAACTTCTGGGATTACAGGCGTGAGCCATTGCACCTGGCCTCTTCAGTATCTTTTAATCTAAAACAGGCACCACCACTCCTCTTCCATAAGGCACCCTGACTTTTTGAAGCGCTCAGGCCAGTCATAGAATGTCCTACTTTATAGATTTGCTTCATTGCCCTCTCATGGTGTCCGTTAATGTTTTTCTCTGTCAATGTTTCCTATAAACCAAAACCAGAAATTATGTCAAAAGTCTTGATTAACTTGATTAAACATGCTTGACAAGAAAACTTAAGTACAAATATGAGACAGTGCAGCAGTTTTAGAAAACAATCTGGAAGCTCTTCAAAATGCGAAGCATGGAGTTCCCACCTGATCTGGCAGTTCTGCTCTGAGGTGTACACCCCCAAAAAATGAAAACCTGTCCAAACAAAAACTTGTAACAAGTATTCATAGCAACGTTATTGATAATAGCTGAAAACTGGAAAACAACTCAACTGTCCATTAAATAATAGACTTTTTTAATGTGGCAAATTCACTGGTGTGGTGACTCACACCTGTAATCCCAGCACTTTGGGAGGCCAAGGTGGGTGGATCACTTGAGGTCAGGAATTTGAGACCAGCCTGGCCAACATGCTGAAACCCTGTCTCTACTAAAAATACAAAAATTAGCTGGGCATGGTGGCACACACCTGTAATCCCCGCTACTCAGGAGGCTGAGGCATGAGAATCGCTTAACCCAAGAGGCAAAGGTTGCAGTGAACCAAGATCACACCCCTGCACTCCAGCCTAGGTGATAGAGTTAAGACTCTGTCTCAAAAAAACAAAAACAAAAACAAAAACAAAAACAAAAAAAGATAAAATGTGGCATATTCATACAATGGAATATTATACAAGGAATAAAGTGCTGATATCTTGAGGAACCTTGAAAACATCCTGGGTGAAAGAAGCCAGTGACAAAAGACCACATATTAATAATATATGATTCCACTTATATAAAATGTTCATAAGAAAATACACAGAAAAGAAAGTAGATTTGTGGTTGCCTAGGGCTAGGGGTGGTAGGAGGGGGATAGAGAAATGACTGCTCATGGCTATGGGGCTTCTTTTGGGGGTGATGAAAATGTTCTAAAATTAGATTCTGGTGGTGGTACAACTGTGTGAACACAAAAAGCCTTTGAATTGTATCTTTAAATGGGTGGATTGTGTGACATATGAATTATACCTAAATAAATCTGTCAGAAGAAAAAGAAAATGTTCATAGATGCTGCAGTGCATTTTGTATTGTGTTACATCAAGAGGCTCCCAAGTTCACACCATCCCTGTTTAATGATGCTCAACCTCTTAGTTGAGATGGCGACCTCATGTCTCTCCAAATGAAAGGTTTGCTTTCCATTTGTACAGAGCAAGCAATCTGTGGGGTGACAGATTGAAACACACAAGCAGCCCACTCCCAGCATCTTTCCACCTCATGTTTTAGCAGACACTGCTAAGTCTGGTAAGACACTGCTAAGACTGACAAGTCTTACTGGAATCAATCATTTCACTGGGATTACAGAACGGCCAACAGTTCGTCTTACAGATTCAAAAGCTTAGATGGTTTGACAGACTTTCCAGAGTCACTAGACAGGATGGTAGCAGAACAGGGACTAGAGCCCAGGGCTCCCTTTTCTAGCCCACTTCTGGTGCCATTGCCTTAGACTGTAATTCACCTGTGTATAAAGAGAGCTTCTGCTGCACTGAGGGGCAGGAAAGTGCTGAATAAGGAGTATTTCAAGGATCTGGCCACAAAATTATTGCCTTACAACCTGGAGGATATCCAGAAAGACTGTTGCTGTATGCCTTGAAGGTTAATTAGGAAAACACAGGAGGAATCCATCTGTAGCAGAAGCAAAGAATCCCGGCAGGAACAGCCTCAGCATAGGGGAGAAACACTGTCAGTGAGCAGGGGAGTTAGAATTAGTTATAACCTAGCACTAAAGGGCATGAACCCTTGAGCCAAATTGTCAGGATTTGAGCACCAGCTCTGCCACTTTCTACCATAACCTCTCAGTGCCTTGATTCCTTGCTTATGAAAAGGGGATCATAGTAATACCAACCTCATGGGGTTTTTATGATAATTAAATGAGTTTGAGAACAGTTCCTAGCAACAGTAAGTTATCAAAAATATTGGTTACCTTTACATTGCACAAAATGTTTGGATGGCAATTTGCAAAGAATAGGAGTGCTATAGAAGTTAATGACAGCCAGCTGCGTTTCCCTCTGGAAACATGGCATTGCCCCTGCTCAGTAAGCACCCCTTGGGCACTGCTACTGCAAGAGGCAAAGTGGGTTTTAGGGAAATAAGTCAGGATTGAAACCAGGATATCTGGGTTGCAATCTCACATCTGCCACCTACCACTGAGTGATGTAGAGTGAGTCCCCTGTCTTCTCTGAGCCTGTCTCTACAGTGTGAAATGGAGAGGTTGGACTAGTACATGTTCAATGACCTTTCTGCCTCTGACCTCTGACGTGTGATTCTAAGAGTCTTCAGTGGGTATTTCAGCTCCTGCATCCTGCTCAGGGCTGCTAGGTTATGTAGAGTTGGCTCCTAGAAGTCTAAGGCATTACTTCTCTGACGTCAGAGTTGGTACATCTCAGAGCATCCAAGGTTACCCAAGGTTACTTCCATTTATCCATTTATCCATTTATCAAAAGGAGTAGATTCTTCCCTCTGTTGCACAGAAGATTGGTTCTAGAATCCCCACATATTCCACATTGACCATACTCAAGTCCTATACTCAGCCCTGTGTACAGAAAAAGTTGGCCCTCTGTGTACATGGGTTTCTTGTCCAGGAATACTGTATTTTTGATCCAAGTTTGGTTGAAAAAAAATCCACTTATAAGTGGACCCATGAAGTTCAAACCCGGGTTATTCAAGAGTCAACTGTAGTTTTAAAAGACTCACCTGAATTAATCAATCCTACAGTGAGTATGTAATTTTTTTTTTTTTTTGAGAGGGAGTCTCACTCTGTTGCCCAGGCTGGAGTGCAATAGTGCAATCTCAGCTCACTGCAAGCTCTGCCTCCTGGGTTCACGCCATTCTCCTGCCTCAGCCTCCAGAGTAGCTGGGACTATAGGCGCCCGCCACCACGCCCGGCTAATTTTTTGTATTTTTAGTAGAGACGGGGTTTCACCATGTTAGCCAGGATGATCTCCTCCTGACCTCATGATCCGCCCACCTCGGCCTCCCAAAGTGCTGGGGTTACAGGCGTGAGCCACTGCGCCTGGCCGTGAGAATGTAATTTTTTATAGTTACTCTTATTGTGAGTCGTAAGTAGCTCATTGTGTCAATGTCATAAAAGTTATGTTTCTTTCATTGTTTTCTACTTTTCAGTCTATCTGCAACTTATAAATAAGCATGTTGGCTAGAAAACAGAACTCATGGGGAAAAATGTAAATCTTTGTTTGCACAAAGGTTTCTTTGATGTTCATAAGTACACACCATGAAGCACATCTAAATTTGTATGTCATATTTATGACTGAGAAATATCAGGTGAAAAATGTAATTCTGGTATGTCCTCAACTCCACATTCCATATATAATATTTTCCTTCTTTGCATTTTGAGACATAGTAGGCAATCAGCAAAGATAACTGATTGATATTATACCCTATAGTGGAGAAAGAGGGCTGAAAACATCTCCAAGCTGACCCATCCGCCCCTCCCCTCCCCTCCCCTCCCCTCCCTTCCCCTCAAGACAGGATCTTGTTCTGCCACCCTGGATGAAGTACAGTGGCACAATCATAGCTCACTGCAGCTATGATCTCCCAGGCTCAAGTGATCCTTCCACACCAGCCTCCCAAGTAGCTGGGACTACAGGTACATGCCACCATGTCTGGCTTTTATTTTTTTGTAGAGATGGGGTCTCCCTATGTTCTCCAGGCTGGTTTCGAACTCCTGGGCTTAAGCGATCTTCCTGCCTTCACCTCCCAAAGTTCTGAGATTACATGCATGAGCCACTGCACCTAACCTCATTGTTTTCTTTATTCCTGGGTTTCCAGCACCTAGAACAGTGCCTGGTACAAAAGAGTTACTAGAACAATATTGGATGCTGTTGTGGCTTTAAAACACATCCACAGGTCGGGTGCAGTCACTCAGACTGAGAGATTCAAGAGAGAGTGGGGAAGAAACTGTGGTGCATTTTGTGATCTAGTCCCTGAAATTGTATGCCTTCACTTCTGCTTTATGCTAAATCACTAAATCCAGCCTACACTTAAAGGGAGAATAATTACGTTCTACTTCTTGAAAGGAAAAATGTCAAGGAATTTGTGTGTGTGTGTGTGTGTGTGTGTGTGTGTGTGTGTGTGTGTGTGTGTGTGTGTTTTGAGACAGTCTCGCTCTGTTGCCCAGGCTGGAGTGCAGTGATGCAATCTTGGCTCACTACAGCCTCTGTCTCCTGGGTTCAAGTAATTACCCTGCCTCAGCCTCCCAAGTAGCTGGGGTTACAGGTGCCCACGACCATGTCTGGATAATTATTGTATTTTTAGTAGAGATGGGGTTTCACGATATATATAGGCTGAGCATGGTGGCTCACGCCTGTAATCCCAGCACTTTGGGAGGCCGAGGCAGGTGGATCATGAGGTCAGGAGATCGAGACTATCCTGGCCAACGTGGTGAAATCCCAACTCTACTAAAAATACAAAAATTAGTGCGTGTGGTGGGGCATGCCCGTAACTCCAGCTACTTGGGAGGCTAAGGCAGGAGAATCACTCGAACCAGGGAATTGGAGGTTGCAGTGAGCCGAGATAGCGCCACTTGCCACTGCACTCTAGCCTGGTAACAGAGCAAGACTCTGTCTCAAAAAAAAAAAAAAAAAAATACACACACACACACACACACACACACACACAAAAATTCCTTGACACCTTTCCTTTCAAGAAATAGAACTTAATTACTCTCCCTTTAAGTGTAGGCTGGATTTAGTGATTCACTTCTAATGAAAAAAACAAAGCAGAAGTGTCTGGGCATGGTGGCTCACACCAGTAATCCCAGTTTGGGGAGGCCAAGGCAGGAGGATGGCTTAAAGCCAGAAATTCTAAACCAGCCTAGGCAATGTAGCAAGAGCTCATCTCTACAAAAACAGAAGTGTAAAAAGTATCAAAAATTAGCATGAAGCAGAAGTGAAGGCATATAATTTCAGGGACAAGATCACAAAATGCACCACAGTTTCTTCCTCACTCTCTCTTGAATCTCTCAGTCTGAGTGGAAGTAGCTGATGTATTGTAAGCAGCCCTATGGCAAGGCCCACATAATGAGGAACTGAGGCCTCCAGCCAACAGCCATGTACATGAACCCTTGTGGAGCAAATCCTCCAGACACAGGCAAGCCTTGAGATGACGGCATTCCCAGCCAACATCTTGACTACAGTCTAATGGAAGACCCTGAGCCAGAACCACCCAGCTAAGCCATTCTCACATTCCTGACTTTTAGAAACTTTACAAGAAGACGAATGATTGATGTTGTAAGCCGCTAAGTTTTGAAGTGATTTGTTATGCTGCAATAGTAACTAATACAGATGCATAAATGAATAGAAAATCTGTTGCACATTTATGTACCCGAAGAGTGTCAATATCCAAACATCTTTTTTTTTCTTTTAAGTTCTCCAATTTATTCATTTTTTGGTTGTGTCAGTAAACATACAACTCCATGGGTAATTTTGTGGTAGAGCTGTCAAAATAACCATAAAAATATAATGAAATATGATATGATCTGATTAAGATCAAGTAAGATGTGTGAGAAGTCTAGCAAACTGGAGGGAAAATGCTGAAAAGTCACACTGGCATGAGACAAAATTCTGTCTTGTCTTCTCCACACTCATGCATAAGCTGGGAGTCCTCTTTTCCTCCTCTTTATAGGGAATAAAGTTGCTTCCCCTGCTCCTTCCTTTTTGCTTATAAACAAAAAAAGCAAGCTGTAGATTTTTAGCAGCAGCAACCTGCTCTAAAGTAAGCCATGCTATCTAGGAGAAACAGGAACATTTCAATCAGGGCTAAGATGATTTATTTAAGGATAAAGAGCCCAATATATCTCAAATGGAATTTTCCAGGAAAGGAACATATTGTGAGTCTAGCTCCCAAGTTAGTCCACTGGCTAATACACTGAGAAGCCAGGGTTACTGGTTGTATCTTTCCAAACCAGCATGGTTAGTTTGGTTGGTTTCAACATGGCATAAATAAATCCAAACTTCTGAGTTTAGTAATCACAGTATTAGAGGTGACACTGACTGCTTCAACAACAACAAAATTAACCCCAAAATGTAGAATGGCTCTCAACACAATAGAAGCTTATTTCTCATTAACATAAAGCCCAGAACACACACTCGTGATCAGTAGGAGGCGCTCATCTGAGCCAGGCACCCAGACCCTTCCATCTTGCGACAGACATATGGCTTCCCATCTGCTGTCTTTGTCCACATGGACACAGAGAAGGTACACAAAGAATTGCAAGGTAGAGAGTCTGTGGGCCAGGCCGTGAAGTCACAGGCATCACTTCTGCTCAGATTTTCTTGTCTAAGCCTCAGTCACTTGGGCTCCTGACCACAAAGATCACTGGTAAGCACAGGAAGAAGGGGAGACAGATGCTTGAACAGTTAGCCCGTCTCTGCCACAGTAAATGGCACCACTTACTCCTGCACAGCCATAGATAACCTCCTCAGCCATCTCCCCTCCAGAGCCTATTCCATTCTTACCTGCATCCCTAACCCAAGACAGATTGAACCCCCTTCCTCTCTGCTCCAGGGAACCTTGCACCCATCTTATCTCCATCATATTAATTATTGCTCAATTGCCATCATTTATGGGCCTGTCATTCCACTACTGTGTTAGCATCTGGAGAGCAGAGAGCATGTCTTTTCCTCTGTATATCATGGTGTCTGGCAAAGAGTAGACACTCATTTGACAGATTGAAGGATGAATAAAGTGTTACTCAAAACAAGTCCAGGTAAAATAATATGGAGAATTATGTGTTAAGACTACTTTTTGATAGAACACAAGGTTGGGCCCAAAGGCTCATGCCTGTAATCCCAGCACTTTGGGAGGCCAAGGAGAGAGGATCACTTGAGCCTGGGAGTTCAAGACTGGCCTAGGCAACATAGTGAGACCCTGTTTCTACAAAAGAAAAAAGAATTAGCCAGGCACGGTTGCAAGTACCTATGGTACCAGCTACTTGGGAGACTGAGCTGAGAAGATCACTTGAGCCCAGGAATTCGATATTACAGTGAGTTATGATCATGCCACTGCACTCACCCTAGGTGACAGAGCAAGAGCTTGTTTCAGCACAATGTGAAAAGGAAATATAAGAAATAGCAGAGCCATGCCATATTCAAAAACAAAGGGCAGCTCTTGTGGTTCCATCTCCTATCTGTGAAGTGCCAAGACAAAAGCAAGAATTCTAGTATTTATGACAGTCTGGTCATGGGCCATGCGAACTCTCACTTCAACACTCATGTTTTTAGGGTATCTAAGATGTACTGCCAGGGACCATAACAGGGTGAAAGTTGGACCTGGGCCGGTCACGGTGGCTCAGGCCTATAATCCCAGCACTTTGGGAGGCCAAGGCGGGTAGATCACGAGGTCAGGAGATCGAGACCATCCTGGCTAACACGGTGAAACCACATCTCTACTAAAAATACAAAAACAAAATTAGCTGGGCATGGTAGTGGGGTGGCGGGCACCTGTAGTCCCAGCTACTCGGGAGGCTGAGGCAGGAGAATGGTGTGAACCCAGGAGGCGGAGCTTGCAGTGAGCTGAGATCGCGACCCTGCACTCCAGCCTGGGCAACAGAGCGAGACTCTGTCTCAAAAAATAAAAAAAGAAAGAAAGTTGGACCTGTAGGGGAAATGACAGGAAGGCAGACTTGGTCATAACTGAAGAAAGGAAAGGACATAGAGCAGACATCAGATGCTCTGAAGTTCTAGTGTTGGCCCTGCCCTCGGCTAGTGGTACATCCTTGGATAAATCATTTAATCTTTCCATGCCTCAGATTTCTTGCCAGGGAACAAATGAAGTTGGATTAATTGGCCTTCCATATCTAGAATCCTAAGACTCCTTGAACTAGAGCTTGCCAACAAGCTTAGGAGGCCAGTAGCTCCCCATCACTGAAAGTATTTGAGCAAAGATGAGATGATCCTAATAACCATGACAGCCTCCTTTATTCTGTGCTTACTATGTTTCTGGAAGTGTGCTAAGCATTTCTTTTTTTGCATGCTTCCTCTTAAGAATACTATAGAGTAGGTACTAATATCATCCACATTTTACAGGTAAGGAAACTGTTTACAGAAGTTAAGTCACTTCCTGAAAGTCATTCTGCTGCCCAATGGTGGTGCCAGGATTTGAGCCCTGACTAGTGTCTTGCTCTGTGTGTCTGTGTGTTGCATTTCTGTGCTTGGAAAAGTCTGACTGGATGGCTTCATAAGGACCCTTCCCTTTTTTTTTCTTTTTTTTTGAGGTGGAGTCTCACTCTGTCACCCAGGCTGGAGTGCAGTGGCGCAATCTCAGCTCACTGCAACCTCCACCTCCTGGGTTCAAGCCATCCTCCTGCCTAAGCCTCCTAGGTAGCTGGGACAACAGGCACATGCCACCATGCCCAGCTAATTTTTGTATTTTAAGTAGAGTGGGAGTTTCTCCATGTTGCCCACGCTGGTCTCGAACTCCTGACCTCAGATGATCTGCCTGCCTCGGCCTCCCAAATTGTTGGAATTACAGGCATGAGCCACCGTGCCTGGCTGGGACACTACTTACTTATGGAAACTATACATTAAGAAATTGAGTGACTGGGCCAGGTGCAGTGGCTCACGTCTATAATCCTAGCACTTTGGGAGGCCAAGGCAGGCGGCTCACGAGTTCAGGGGATCGAGACCATCCTGGCTAACACAGTGAAACTAAAAACACAAAAATTAGCCAGGCATGGTGGTGGGCACCTGTAGTCCCAGCTACTCAGGAGGCTGAGGCAGGAGAATGGTATGAACCTGGGAGGTGGAGCTTGCAGTGAGCCGAGATCACACCACTGCACTCCAGCCTGGGCAATAGAGCGAAACTCCATCTCAGAAAAAAAAAAAAAAAAAAAAACAAAGAAATTGAGTGACTGGCCTGGAAGGAGAAAGGGAAAACTCCTGAGTGAAAAAGCCCCTCCTATTTTTACAATCTTAGCATTTATAATTGCATGCTGGTCATCAGGCATGGCTCGTGTGGGCCTAAGAATGTTTTCTGAGCTGGGAGGATGAAAGTAAATCAAAGTGTTCTGCCCAGCAACAGCATGTGGGACACCAAGGCTCAACTGAGCTGAGCAAATAGAAGACTTGAAATGGCTTTATTTCAGTGGGGGTTTGTTTAGTAGTAGTTGTTTTTTAATTTTGCTTCGGTTTGGTTTTTTGAGATGAAGTCTCACTCTGTTGCCCAGGCTGGAGTGTAGTGGTGGCACTATCACAGCTCACTACAGCCTCAATCTCGGAGGCTCAAGGGATCCTCCTGCCTCAGCCTCTCATGTAAGTGGGACCTGACTAGCTGGCCAGCCATATCCTGCTAATATTTATTTATTTATTTATTTATTTAGTTAGTTAGTTAGTTAGATAGGAAGAGACAAGTCTCCCCATGTTGGCCAGGCTGGTCTCAAACTCCTGAGCTCAAGTGATCCTCTCACCTCATCCTCACAAAGTGCTGGGATTACAGGCCGGAGCCACAGCAACTGGCCTTGTTTAGTTTCAGTGAATAAAACTGCCTTTTGAGGGAGCTACAGAGGCAATATAGCAGCTTGGAATCCAGGAAGCTTCCTTGGTCTTGTGTTTCTAAGGGTCCCAGGCATATTATAAGCAACTGCTCCTGATGGAGGCGCTAGTGTATGAAGAGCTAGGTTCTGGAGCTAGACCGCCTGGACTTCTGTCTTGATCATGTGCTTTTGGGAACATGACCTATCCCGTCAGTGCCTCACCCTCTTCACATGCAAAGTAGAAACAATGACAGCAGCTGCCTCGTTGGGGTTACTATGATGATGTATGTCATGACTTAAAACACATAAGGTGCCGACAGCAGTGGCTGGTACGTAATGGATACTTAACAGAGCCATTCCTTTCAGGGTCAATGGGGTGATGGCTATTTTATTTTTTTCTTTTTTATCAATTTGAGACCAAGCACTCAAGAAAAAAAATTCAGGCCAGACGTAGTGGCTCACGCCTCTAATCCCAGCACTTTGGAAGGCTGAGGTGGGTGGATCTCTGGAGGTCAGAAGTTCAAAACCAGCCTGGCCAACATGGAGAAACCCCATCTCTACTAAAAATACAAAAATTAGCCGGGTGTGGTGGCACATGCCTGTAATACCAGCTACTCGGGAAACTGAGGTGGGAGGATCACTTGAACTTAGGAGGCGGAGGTTGCAGTGAGCTGGGATCATGCCTCTGTACTCCTGCACTCCAGCCTGGGGGAAAGAACAAGACTCTGTCAAAAAAAAAAAATCATCCTGAGGTCATAAAGCGAAAGAGTAACAAAGGTGGGCAGGCAGGAACTACTCAGCAGTGTAGAATGGGCCCTAGAAGCAAGGATTATTCCAGAGTCATCTGAACTCAGACTCACAGGCATCACCGACAGGCCAGTCCTGCCCCAGCTCAAGCCCTGGTACTAGGGGGCCCAGGCTGGGTGGGGGCGGGTAGGGGTTGGCCCTTGCAAAACAGCCTCTATCCTGTGCAACAGTTTATAATTCAGCAGAGAGTGTTTTGTTTTTAAGAAATGTCCAACTGGATATATGGCATTGCTGTTAAAACTGTTTTTATTACCTTATGGAACTACAAGAAAGCCTAGGGATGTATTAATACATATAGGGTTGACAGGCCCATAACTATAAAGTAATGGCAGGCATTATCCATATATATTCATGGAAGTGGGAGTCCAGGGGCAGACACAGAACATTCCCAGAGGGAGCTGATGCACTTTATTATTTTTATGTAGGTTCAGATATTATTTCTC
Source organism: Homo sapiens (assembly GCF_000001405.40). Taxonomy (NCBI): domain Eukaryota; kingdom Metazoa; phylum Chordata; class Mammalia; order Primates; family Hominidae; genus Homo; species Homo sapiens. Next base: position 25,322,475 of record NC_000024.10, read on the forward strand.
AGGTACAGCATAAAATGATGCTTTATTCCATCAACTATAACCCAGGCACACAGAATCATTCCATTTCCCAAAGGAATACAAGCAAATAAACCTTTAGGCAGCAAACAGAAATGCATTTTCTCTCCTCTCCCTGCCTTCTTTTGAGGAACAGAATTAGCAGGTTTGCCTAGAGTGCACTCTTCTCTCTTGAACCACATCTTCAATCCCCAAAGGGAACACAGTGAGATCTTCCCCAAAGGTAGTTCAAAGCTGGGGGCCCTTTCATTTGCCAGGATCTAACCCAGCTACTCAGGAGGCTGAGGCAGGAGGATCACTTTAGCCCAGGATTTCAAGAGCAGCCTGGACAACATAGTGAGACCCTGTCTCTACAAAAAAATTTTAAAAATTAGCCGAATGTGGTGGGGCATGCCTGTAGTCCCAGCTACTCAGGAGGCTGAGGTGGGAGGATTGCTTGAGCCCAGGAGTTTGAGGTTATAGTGAGTAGTGATGGCATCCGTGCCCTCTATCCTGGACGACAGACCAAGAGTCCAGCCCTAAAAAAAAAAAAAATAATTAAAAATTTTTAAATCTTTAAAAATTAAAAATCTTAAATTTTTCCTTAAGATTTATAAGAGGACTCAGTAAAGGCTGTGCTGGCAATAACATCAAACTACTGAATTCTTTGAGAACTCACTGGAGATTATTATTTTGCATGACATAACTAAACATCTTAATGGTTGACTTAATTACTTAGATGTCAGTCTGTATGTTTTTGGTGTCATAAGTACAAAGCTTAGAAATGTTACTTTTAGGGCCAGGAGCAGTGGCTAACGCCTGTAATCACAACACTTTGGGAGGCTCAGTCAGACGGATCACCTGAGGTCAGGAGTTTGAAACCAGCCTGCCCAACATGGTGAAACCCAGTCTCTACTAAAAATACAAAAATTAGCCAGGCATGGTGGCAGGCACCTGTAATCCCAGCTACTTGGGAGGCTGAGGCAGGAGAATCTCTTGAACCTGGGAGGTGGAACTTGCAGCGAGCCAAGATTGTGCCATTGCACTCCAGACTGGGCAACAAGAGCGAAACTCTGTCTCAAAAAAGAAAAAAAAAATTACTTTTAAAACCAAGTACTAGCTCATCTCTAAGTAATACTATTTAAGTAGGCAAAAGCCCCTGGAGGTAGCCTGAACTTTTTATTCTCTTAGCTGAGGGGACAGAACAGAAATGATATGACACTTACAGAAACCCCTATGTGGCCTGGCCTCATTGGAATTTTTTCTGTTAGTTAAATCAATACCATTTTTTCTATTGATTAAAAACAAAATTATTCATATGATGGGTTCAAGAAAACAAATTATTTCCCTAATGGACAGTGTAGATCCGGACTAGAAGCAAACAAGGATCTTCTATCCCTCACACATCTCAACACTCAAGCAAAAACTCAAAGAAAACAATGATACTAATGGCCACATCATGCACCGTGCTCACACAAGGATGCCAAGAGGCTTAATATGTGTTCCTTACCTGGACCCTTTTCACTGGATCAGAAATACGGATGTCTTAGTCTGATAGGCATCCTCTGCTAATGCATTTTAAATGATTGAATCAATAATTTGATGGGCCACTTTTTATAAGATGCTATGATACCCTATGAAGCACTATTAAAATATTCATTTTTCTGCACACCAGATAAGGCCCAATTGTTCATAACCAATATTGGTTCTCTGGCAAAAGGAGTAAAGGCAGCCCTCTAGATATTCCTCACTGATATTCCATTTCTCAGTGGCTACGGAGACATGAGTAGGAAGGAAATCTGGGTCCCTGCACCCACGATCTTGGTGCCATCAAAGTGCCACTGCTGGAAGGTTCCTGGGCACCATCTGAGACCAACCCCACTGTGAGGCTGAAGGAGGCTGATCAGAACAGTGGTCCTCCACCTCCTCCCTGACTTCCCAAGTCATCTTCTATTTATGTGGAATTATTCCCATAACTGGGGCCAGATGATCCCACCCTGGGAAGACTGGGGAAATTCCCAGAATGCTGACCTGAAAGTCCAATTTTCCCAATATTTCTACTGTTCCCATGTCACAAGCCTTTGGGCAAAATCTCCCAGGCTTGAGAGATTTCAATCCAGCCTGGATCACCTCTCCACTTCCTCCATCCCAGAGTGAAATTAAAAATCCCATCTGCTGTCAATGAGGAGTCCCTTCAGGCCCTAAAGTTTAGGGAGAGGAATCCCTATCTTGACTTCTTCACTGTCATCCTGGCACATCAGTTACTTCAAACAACCCAATTTCAAGAACTGATAGACCTTCATTTCTGGACACACCAAAAACAAGCAAATTCCAGAGGATCAGCTTCAGGGTGGCAGAATGGAATGAGTAAAAGCCAACCACGAGGCCAGGTGCAGTGGCTCACGCCTGTAATCCCAGCACTTTGGGAAGCTAAGGTGGGCAGGTCACCTGAGGTCAGGAGTTCAAACCAGCCTGGTCAACATGATGAAACCCCATCTCTATTAAAAACACAAAATATTAGCCAGGCATGGTGGCAGGCGCTGGTAGTCCCAGCTACTCGGGAGGCTGAGGCAGGAGAATCACTTGAACCCAGGAGGCGGAGATTGTGGTGAGCCAAGATTGCACCACTGCACTCCTGCCTGGGTGGCAAGTGAAAGTCCATCTGAAATAACAACAACAAAAAGCCAACCATGGGATCTGTGGCACAGCTCTCACTTCACCATTAGCTCAGCCAGGACTGGCAAGGGAGTGCCAACTGGAGAATCTTATCCTCTGTTCCTTAGCTGTTTAGATGTATAAAGCCTGAGGGCTTTGCACCTAATTAGGGTTTCAGAGCTTTGTTTTTCTTTCATCTAATTACATTTGCCCTGTGGGGAAGAGCCTCTGTCCAGGAGGCATTGCTCTCCGAAAATCTGTCTCAGCCCAACAACAGGTGCGAGAAAGTGAACAGCTCCTCTCCCCACCAATGTGGTGAGATGCCGAGCCAGGCCCTGGCTTCTTCTTGCTCCTCTCCTTTCATTATCTCTAACTCTAGTGTCAGCCCTCAAGCAGTCCCCTGCTTTGTCACCCCTGGCAAGGTGGGGAATGTTCTCTTAACCTGCAGCTTTCTCCTTCGGGAACAAAGCGCAGCCTCTTAGCAGCTAGCAATCAACTCCTGTGCTCAGGGCCTTCCAGCCAGACCTTCTGCAGTGCACCCTGGTAGGGGGTAAATTATCCTGAGCTTGGAAAATGTGACTGAAATCACCTCCGACAGAGGAAAATGGGTTTTCATAAAAAATGTTTCCTCACCTTTGGTTGCAACTCAATTCAACTGACCATTTCCCACCCTGGATCTCAAAAGAAATTTCTGCTTTGCTTCTGGGTATGAGCCCGGGTGATAATGAAAGGTACTTAGGAAGCCAGGCCTATTGAAGCAGCGTAGCCCTCAGAGGGGCATGGCTGACTTGGCTAAGAGTAGGACAGGGTGTGGGGTTGAGGAATCCATGGGGACTCAGGGCATCCTGTCGCAGACACAGGAGCTGACCCAGCCACAGGGTCACAGGACAGCCTGTGTCACCACAGTCTCTGTGCAGAGTTCAGAGTTTACAAATGAGATAAATGGACATTTGCTGACTGGGGTAACTCAGCATCAATTCACCCTATTTCTGGGAAAAGCCTCAATTTACATGTGGGAATGGACCATCCCCTTATTGTTATAGGAGTTATAAAGAAATTATTTTAGGCAGATAGAGAGGAAAAGAGGTCCTTGGGAAGTTTTTGTTTCTTTTAAAGCAGATCCAGAAACCTTTCTTGTCTAACAGGAGAGCACCAGCTCTAAGAGCCACTGGCAGGTTTGATATGCAAATGCAGGCCACTGGAAACTGAGTCCACCCAAACATGGAGATTTCAGGTTTCTTCCTTGCCCCAACAGGTGGCTGGCAACATGGCTGCCCCCACATATCCCCACGTGTGTAGAACATCATGGCGCCCTGCATTTGCATCTTAAAAGGCTAGAGTGTGAGGGCCAGCTTTTTCTCAGGCTATGTGAATGACATGCCTGGTCAAACCAATCCTCTGAGCCCTGTGCAAGCCAGTACCGCCTCCTCCAGCCTCCTCATATAAGTAGCTGATTACACCACACACACGCCCTCTCCCCACATCCCTTCTCTCCACCGGAGTTTTCTCTCTGTTCAAATCCCCTCTCCCTCTGTCTCTGTACTGGGGACCTGTTTTCTTCTTCCTTCCTTCTTTCTTGTATATTAAACTTTTCGCTCCTTAAAACCATTCCAGGTGTGTCCGTGTCATTTTATCCAAAAGTGTGCTAGACCAAGAACCCTGGTGTTCCTCCAGTCATCTGAGCCATATCATTATCTCATTCCATTTTTGATGGCACTAACCACCAGCATACCATGCTCCATCAGAACAGTCATCCTCCTGAGCTCTGTGAATGGCTCAGGATGCAAAAGTGAGAGAAAAATGTAGCCAAGTGAGGAGGCAGAGAGAAACTGCCTCCTGGTAACACAGTGTGTGCCCCTGGATCAAGCCATGCCTGAAGACAGTTTATTCTGAACTTTTACAATAAGTGCTCTTTTTGTTTAAATCATTTTGGATTGGGTTTTTGTTCACTTGTAAGCAAAAGCACACTATGATAAAAGGGGATACAAGACAAGTATCACAAATCCAGAAATGGGAAGGGCACAACCCCAGAGCCCAGGCCAGTCAGGGAAGTGAAGAAACAGACAGCATCTGAGATGCCTATGCCCAGTATCCAGGGGCTAGGTCCATGGTCTTTGAGCCTTAAGATGCAGGAGATCCCTGTGGGGAACTTCACAACAGCATAGATTCCCACTCATTCCCACAGCCAATTCTCATCCTTAAGTCTGGAAGGGGAATGAGAGGTTTGGTTTTTAACCAATATCCAGGCAATTTGGAAGCAGATAACACAGAGAATACTTTGAGAAACACTTCCCTACACTCTGAGCTGGGAGTTAAAGGACAGGGTTCCAGTCTCTGCGGTGAGGCAGTGGCAAGAGCTCCATGGGCGGGAAGAATATTAGGCCAGAGCTTAGAACAGGACTGCAGAAGCAAGCATGGAATGGAAGCACATCTGATGATCTGTGACATACAACGAGCCTGCAGATCACAGGCAATGATTTTTGGAAACTCATCACACAGTAGTTTGAAGCAGCAGGAACGATTTGATCCAAAGTGCCATGAGAACACTTCCGAGTCTACAAATGCTTTCATAGGTCAATCTAAGCTGTTCCTCCCAACCAACCTGTCTGGCAATTAGAAATTAGGAAATTAAAACTCAGAGTGTCTAAATAGCACACACAAAGCCACACAGCTCACTGGTTCAGTAGCCTAGACCTGGGTCCCAGTCTGTCTGACACCAAACCCCACACTTTTCAAATAATTCTCCCTTCCACTGGGGGAAGGGCTGGGTCTCAGGAAAGGTCTAAGGGACACACAGTGTGGGGATCAGTGAGACCCTACTCAGCAGGCCCAGATGAGGGAAGGGGATGCTCCACCTGACTGCGCAGGAAGGCAAGGCCATTTTAACTTTGCAGCATCTTCAACTCATCTGGCTCAAGAAATCCCAGCCCAGCTTGACGATGGAGAGTGGAGGAAGACAGGGGCACCCTTGCAAGTGAAGACTAAGCTCTGATTTTTTTTTTTTTTTATCTTACCCAAATCCCCTATCTAAAGGGTCTGGGGAGTGATGTCCTACAAACCATAAATTCTCATCAGTTGGATTTTATTTAACCCTATATATTGTGACTTACTTTCCAACCTGACTCTGTCATAACATTATGAGACAAGGAAGAAAATAAAAATATTTTACCCCAAAACATAGACTTTTTTGTCCATATCTTGAAATGGCCCTGCAAAGCTGTCCTTTGTGGGGGAAAATTTGTATCTGTAAAGAATCTCTATTAACATAGCTAGATATTTTTCTCCCTGCCCACCCAATCCTAAAGAGATTAACTGAAAGTCTAGCACTTTGTTTTTTTTTGTTTGAGACGGAGTCTCACTCTGTCGCCCAGGCTGGAGTGCAGTGACATGATCTCGGCTCACTGCAACCTCTGCCTCCCAGGTTCAAGCGATTCTCCTGCTTCAGCCTCCTGAGTAGCTGGGACTACAGACACCCACACACAGCTAATTTTTATATTTTTAGTAGAGATGAGGTTTCACCACATTGGCCAGGATGGTCTCAAACTCCTGCCCTTGTGATCCACACCCGCCTGGGCCTCCCAAAGTGCTGGGATTACAGGCGTGAGCCACCATGCCTGGCCAAGTCTAGCACCTTTTAAAGATCTGAATAGGAAACATTTGCCATCTATTGTCTGTGAGGACAGCCTCTATAAGATTTCAAAAGAACCTTGGTCTCCACCATCTTTTATCTTAACTTGAAAATTTCCTTTCTATGGATCCCAGGTCCTTAGACAAACTCACTGAAACTTACCTATAGCCTGGAAGCACCCCTTTCCTCCTGCTTTGGTCCCACCTTTCTGGACCAAACCAGTGTATTTCTTAAATGTACTTGATCGATGTCTCATGCCTTTCTAAAATGCATAAAACCAAGCTGTACCCCGACCACCTTGGACACATGTTCTCAGGACCTCCTGAGGGCTATGGCAAGGGCCGTGGTCACTCATATTTGGCTCAGAATACATCTCTTCAAATATTTTACTGAGTTTGACTCTTTTCATTTACAAGAGCAATGGAAATGATTTTCTTTGATCACAGTGTCAGCTCCTGACATTGGTTTGCGCCCATCTGTGCTGTGGACTCTTCCCTCGGAATGAGAGAGGGAGATGGCTCCCAGTGTGGTTGGAAGTCACCCCGCCCCACAACAACACAGTGCAACAGGCCCCAGCTTCACGCCCATTTCAGTTCAGGACAAGTTTTTTGGAGCATCTACTCTGGGCCAGGCCCGTAGGATACTAAGATGAAATAGAGAGAGTTCCCGCCTTTGAAGGGTGGTGATTTACCAGTGGGGAGAAAGGAAGAGGCCCATGAAAAGTCGTGTCTGTAGAAGGTAAGAAGGGGCACAACCACCATGGCAGGGGAGTCACAAAGGAGAAGCATTCAGCCTGCCAAGAGGTCCCAGGAATTTCCTGGAGGATCAGTCCCCAAACTGACTGTGACAGGGAGCAATACCCAGGTAACAGCAGAGGCCCAGAATAAGAAAGAGTCTGTGAGTGGGCAGAATTCCCTCCAGGGCCATGAGGGGAGCTGACTTCTGATTAGGGCATTTCATCCTTCTCTGAAATGCAGCTGAGAACTGGTCAGCCTCACTCCCTTGCTGAGACCAATAGCAATCCCTGATGATCTTGCCACAGGTCCAGCAGGTGCCCCATCCACACTTTGTCCCCAGCCCCTACCTGGAAGCTCCAAACACCTACCTGAGGGGCCAACTCTGATTCCCAAGGAGGTGACACCTCCTGCGCCTTGTTGATAGAACATTGATAAGGAAATAGGACTGAGTTTTAAGCTTCTTCCCATGTCAAATATTTAAAGGCAATATAATGTTCATGTTTAAATAATATTTCATGTGTAATTAAACAATCCCTTATTGTTAAATAGATGGGTTCCAATTTTGAACTGCTATAATCTGTGTATGTGTCCTTGATTAAATCCTTAAGAGAAATCCCTAGAAACATTATCTTAGGGTCAAATGGCTTGGATAGTCTGTAAACTGCTGATAATTATGGGAAATTGCCTTCCAAGAAGGTTATAACAATTTGCCTGATCCCCAGCAGCAACAGACTTTACAAAGTACTCAGTATCTAATATTTAACTTTGATAAAGATAAGCTTCTCCCTTCTTTTTCACTTAAAATGCTGTGTCCCACCTCACTTTTCAGTGCCTCTTCACACTGACAAGACGGTTGGCTAATACTTCAGAGCTTGCAGAACATTTTCATACACTTTTAATCCTCCTAACAACCGTGAGAGATGGAGCTTACTATTACCATCCTTGTTTGCAAATGAGGCCCTGAAAAGTTGAGTGATTTCTGTAAGGTCTCAGAGCCAATACACACTGGTAATGAAATAAAATGCAAGGCCCCTTATCTTTGGAGCCCAGTGTTCCTTCCACATAGGTGGTTCTCCACCCAGGCTGCCCAGGAGAATGTGGAATCTCCAGCAGTTCTGACTTAACTGGCCTGGTGTGGATGTCTGTGATGGGTGAACATTCCCAGACCCTTTTAAGAACCTGATAGAAGTGGTGGACCCACTTCCCAGAAAGAGGGACGCACAACAAAATAATTGTCCTGAGTGGGTCTGACAGAATCAAGTGAACCCTTTAAATCTGGATCTAGAGGTCAGAGACTGAGAATGTCAGAGATGCAAAAGAGATTCAGTGCAAGAGAAATCCTCCTACTGGTTTTGAAGATAGATGTTGGCACCCTGTGTCAACAACCTGAGAGTGGCCTTGAGTTGCTGGGAGCACCCCAGACTGACAAACAGCAAGAAGAATATGGGGACCTCAGTCCTACAACCACAGGAGCTGAATTCTACTGACAACCAGTGAGCTTGCAAAGAGGACTTGGAGCCCCAGATGAGAAGCAACCCTGGCTACCCTGATCTCAACCCTATGAGATCCTAAACAGACAATCCAGCCATGCAACACCCAAACTTCTGACCTATAGAAACCCTGAGATAATAAATGGGCATTGCTCTAAATCACCAAGTTTGTGGTAATTTGTTACACAGCCATAGGAAGTGAATCGACCTGATGTATCTGAGCACCTGCTAGGTTATCATTAAGATTACTCTTCAAAGGTAAAAATTATTTTTCAAAATGTTTCTGCCCTACCTTCCGTGAGCATCTGGTGATGGATGGACACACACACGTAAAGGTAGACTGTGTTTAGGTGGGCATGGTGGTGCATGCCTCTGGTCCCAGCTACTCAGGAGGCTGAAAGAGGAGGATCACTAGGGCCCAGGAGTTCAAGGCTGTAGTGAAGCTGTGATTGAGCCATTGCACTCAAACTTGGGCAACAGAGCAAGACACCAGCTCTAAAAAAATAAATAAATAAATAAATAAATAAAAACAAAAATAATAATAAAAAAAACTGCTGAATGCTATAAATAAGATTGGAACTTGCTCTGCTTTTACAAGACCACTGTTAGATGACCACTGACAAGAAGACTGTGAGCTGGTCTCTGTAGGAAGCAGGGGCCTGGGCAGCTCTGGGGGCAGAGGAGACAGGCCTGGGGCAGAGACACCTCAGGGCATTTTCAGAAGACAGCCAAAGCAGCCATTCCAGCTTGCCCAGGTAGATGGCAAGTCAATGGGACATGATTCCAGGAAGGTAGGGAAAGATGGAATTCTGGAGAGCATTGGACCTCAGATTGGGAGTCTGAACGTCTTTCCATATGCATCAGGAAGCCATGGAAAATTCACAGACTGGAGTGACTTTGGCAAAGGTGGGATTTAGGAAGACAGATCAAGGCACGGGATAGACCCATGGATGAATAGCCTTCTGGTCAGTTTGTGCCTGTGGTTTTCTATGCTGAGGAGGTGGGAATGTGCTGGGTTAGTCAGCTGTGGATTTGTGTCCCTGCCTCACCTCACTCCCCACTGTCGTGGATTTGTCAGCTCATCTGTAGTGCGATCCCTGAAGAAACACTCAGCTCACTCAGCTTGTTTCTAACCCAAAACACTCTGCAGGGCCCATCCTCTCGTCTTTGCCTGGGGATGCCAGACCATGCACTGCGGATGCCTTCCACCTTAGCACTAGTGGGCTAAATGATGACTGCCTTGCTGTCCCAACACCACCCATCAAAGGGAAGACATCACCACTGGGGTCAGTACAGCCCAAGTGACAAACTCTATTCCCTCCTTTCTCTCCATCCCATGGACCCTTGATTTGCTAAGTGGGAAGACACTTTCTCATGGTTCAACATCACCTAATCTGCACAATTGCTTCTGTAGGCTAACTCAGCCAGAAACCCTTGATATCTGGGCAAAAGTGCACATAACTTTTAAAAGGATTACTACTGCTTTTAATATTCCCTCTGTCTTAAGTCAGACCACCACCAAGGGCAGATCAGAGTTAATATTATATATCAAAGTCCTGCCATCAGCCTGTAGGATTTATTACTAACATCTGTCCACTTCAGAGCTATGGGAACCAATGGAATTGGATCTAAGGTTTTGAGTTGGCTCTTGTGCATGGAAATTTGATGCAAACACTCTAATTTATTGGCCCTAAAGGGCTTTGGCAAGTCATTTTGGCAAGTCACCCACTGAACACAGAGTGAAATTTGCAGAGGTTTCCCCTCTGCTCGAACAGTGGTGTTCTCAGCACGTACAGGGAAGTTCTGACCCCTTCCAGCCAGGTGAGCTAGGGGATTTTGCCTACCCTTTCTGAACCTCAGTTTTCTCATCCATAAGATGGGAATAAAAACATGGTCCTGGATACATGTCTCATGCTAGGCACTGAGGCAGGGTACTCTCTCCCCTGAATGCCTTGCTATTGACGCATCACCAGTAAGGCATGCATTCATTGCACAGAAACTTAGGCATATGCCTACCAACATGCCCGATGTTGTGTGAGGCCTGACCCCTGTGAGGATGGACTTCCATCTGTGTGAATGGATTCATGAGACCAGCCCTCACTCTCAGGACTGAGGGCATTGGTGCTCTAACTTGTCTGAATATGGAATCAGCTGGAGAGATTCTGTAAATTACCAGTCCCATTCCCCCCCTGAGATGCTGATTTCATCGGTCTGATTTCATTGCAGCCTGGTCGTTGGGATGTTTAAAACTCTCCCTAGGAATTCCAATGTGCAGCCAAGTTTGCAACTACACGGAGCCAGGTTAGTGGTGCGGTCAGCATGGTGATAATTGGGCTCATGAACCCATGACCTCAGCTTCATCAGGAGACCCACTGTAAGTACTGGCCCAACAGGAGGGAAAGGAGCTGAGTCAGATGATACCACTGAGGGGCATGAGCAAATGAAAAAACAGGAACCCAGCCATGAAGCTCGGCCTGAGTGTTGGAGATGCCACTATAGAGACCCTGGTCTTAGCAATCCAGAATTTTCCCCAGTAGAAGGGAGAAGCAAAGATTATCCTGGCCGGGACTGTGTAAGGCCTTTGAAGGTTGACCATCCACCTCACCCTGCTGTTTCCCTCCTTCCCTGCAGAACAGCCATTCACCTGAATGTTCCAGGCTTTTGGTTAACAACCCCTGGTCTTTTATACCCATTCACACTCAAAATCAGGGGGAATTCCTTGAAATGGTTAAAATGCAAAAGTGAAATTTAGAAGCCCTACGAATGAACTAACAATCCAACAAAAAATTCCCAACACTTTAAGCAAATGCTTTTCAGGCAGAGCCTTCAAATTGCTACTGTCCCACTATCTTCTGGAATCGTGTGTGTGTGTGTATGTGTTTGTATGTGTGTGTAGAGGAACAGGTGAAGCAGCAACCATAAGATAGCCTACTTCAGGTCTGGCACCTGTTTTCACTGCTGTCATGCCCTCTTCACTGAGATCCTGACTTAAATATGTACACATGTGAATGCTGATTTCTTAGCATGAATTTTAACTCAGCTTCTGCTCGAGCATCAATGATTCCCAATTCCCATCAGAGTGAATGGCCCCTTCCTGGTCTCTACAGTCAGTCCTCTGAAGCTGCTCAGCTGCACCCCTGGGAGCTGAGGGGCCAACTCTGACTCCCAAGAAGGTGACCTCTGTCTGCCTTCCAGGGCCAGAGATGCAACATCACACACACACACTGCCTTTGGAACGTATGATTAAGCTTTTGCCAGTAGCCTGACAGCTTCCAGCAGCTTTGTCTGACACTGTGTCTGCTTCTCTGTGCCAAAGTCACTGAAACAAAGGGACTGCAGATGTTGCTGTGAAGTCCTTCCAATTCTCTAGGACAGAGGAAAGCACTACATTGGGTGGGGGGTGGAGTGGGGATGATGGACTGTGGGAAACCGGCATGATGGGCATGAAACAATAAAAATGAAGCTGATTTTCTTCATACCACTTGCTGCCATAGAGATACATTTGTTTCTGTGTCCCTCTCACTGGAATGTAAACTCCCTGAAAGCAAGGACTTGGCTTATTGCTGTATCCCAAGAGCCTGACACAGTGCCTGGCACATGGTAGACACTCAATAGATGTTTGAGATAGGGAGGAAGGGAGAGAGAGAGGGAGGGAGGCAGAAAGGGAGGGAGGCAGAAAGGGAGGGAAAGAAGGAGCAAGGAAGGAAGGAAGGGAGGGAGAGAGGGGTGGAGGGACATAGACTGTGGAGTTGGATAGACTTGGCTTTAATCCTTTCTGTAGCAATTCTAGCTGTGTAAAAATACACGAGTGAGTCATTTATTTTCTTTGAGTCTCTTTCTTCATCATAGTACCAATTAACAGGGCTGAGGTAGAGAGTGATACATGTAAGGTTGCTAGCACTATTGGCAATCAAAACATGAGAGCTACTTATTTACATTGTGAGTATTGCTACTACTGATATTATCAGTTCTGGACATTACTAATGATGTGAGCACTGGTCTTTCATCAGAGATTACTGGATAAGGAACATTTACCGTCTTGTCTCTGCTCATTGTGCTAAAGTTCCTTCTTTATCCAACAACACTTTCTCCTGTTTTCCCAATTTAGTGAAAGGATTAATCTTTTCACTCTCATTCTTCCTGTTTTGTTTCCCATAATATGGGTCCCATCCTTCCTCATGAGATGGGTATCTCAGCAATTGAGCCCACCCCACCCACATATTTGACCCTGATCCAAGACCCTCATTTCTGGGAATGAACCCCAGATCAGCCATGATAGAGGATAGCCTGGTTTTATCTTGCTTCTGAGCAGGATCCAACAATTCTCATAAAATTCTCCCCAGCCTGTTCAGTGGAATTGTCAAAGCATCATTTTCAAAAAGTGTAAACATGATTCTTATATAAGTCTATAGGGAGTGTGTATAAAGATCTGTTTACTTCACAAAAGAAGGAACCAGAGGATGGTAAAGCTGTTTGAAAAGAGAATTGGAAGGAGAAAGATTTGGATAGACCATCAGAAACAGCATGCTGACATAAGTTTGCTAATTTGGAAACCTCACTCATTAATGTCCTGTAGAGTAATAAAATCTTTTTACAGGACAAAAATCATTTGTATCTCTACCAGACAAAAATTAACAGGTAACTTGGCAGAGTCTGGGCCCTAATCAATAGTAAATAGTAAGTCAAACAAAAGTACCTTCCCTTAGAGAGTTAAAAAAATCTTTGGTGGTTTGTTAGGCAACCTTCCAGTATGGCATTAGAAAGACGTGCAGTCATCCTATTTTTAATTCCAAGTTTGGGTTACTTTTTTTTTGAGATGGAATTTTGCTCTTGTTAGCCAGGCTGGAATGCAGTGGAATGATCTCACCTCACTGCAACCTCCACCTGCCCGGTCCAAGCAATTCTTCTGCCTCAGCCTTCCCAGCAGCTGGGATTACAGGTACACATCACCACGCCTGGCTAATTTTTGTATTTTTTAATAGACACAGGTTTTCGCCACGTTGGCCAGGCTGGTCTCAAACTCCTGACCTCAAGTGATCTGCCCACCTTGGCCTCTCAAAGTGCTGTGATTACAGGCATGAGCCACCATGCCCGGCCAAGTTCAGGAGACATTTTTAAAACAAAATTGGTCTCTCTCAGCGTGGTGGATGTCCCTGCAGAATTTAAAAATTCTATTATGTTCTAGATGTCTGATGCTGTCAATTCTCAATGGCCAGAAGAGGGCATCTGCCCAGATCAGTTCAGGTGTCTATCCCTGGTCAATCGCCTGTGCCCAGGGCAGCATATCAGGTACACAGGACTGTTTCTTCCCTGCTATTGGTAGAAGAGCTTTTCTAAGAAGGGGATAGGCTGGAATGGAAGAAAAGAGTCCAAAGAGGAAGGAACCACAACAGAAAGAGAATTGCTTTCCTTTCAGTTGTGGGAGCACCAGCTTAATGCCTCTTTTCCACATTTGCCCAGCAGAGGAAATGTTTGGGCCGAATGACAGAAAACCTAGGGTAGCCTCTTTGGTGCCTCCTGACAATCACAGAAGCAGGCTGGGATCCTACCCAGGTATGGCAGAGCAAGTGAGCCCACCTAGGTGGGAATCCTTACCCTCCTAATCCTGCAGGTTCACTTCACAATCTTGTGTAGACCTTAAACCGTTGTTTAGACAGTTATATGAAATGGGGTATTTCCTGGAGAAAAGGACAGTGAATGGGGATATGGGGATTTTTTTTTTTTTTTTGAGACAGAGTCTCACTCTGTCGCCTAGGCTGGAGTGCAGTGGCACAATCTCTGCTCACTGCAACCTCCGCCTCCTGGGTTCCAGTGATTCTCCTGCCTCAGCCTCCTGAGTAGCTGAGATTACAGGCGCCCACCACCACACCCAGCTAATTTTTGTATTTTTAGTAGAGACAGCGTTTCACCGTGTTGGCCAGGCTGGTCTCAAACTCCTGACCTCAGGGTATTCTGCCCGCCTTGGCCTCCCAAAGTGCTGGGATTACAGGCATGAGCCACCGCACTGGGCTGGGGATTTCTAAGTCCACTTGGCTCTCTCCCCTCTGGGCCTCAATGGGCAGCATTTTATCTGTAGCCTTTTTATCTTATAATAGTTTAACTAATGGATCTATTTTGAGTAAGGGATATGTACAAATTCTTTTGTGATTCCAGGAGGAGATGAGAAGAACAAAGTGCAATTATAAAAATATCACTGTCACCATTATCTCCAATCAGCACATCATTCACAGTGACAGTTCTAAGAGCTTTATATGGGAAAAGTGTAATCTATTGCAAATAGAGGGCCATCATTACTACTCTTAGGCTCCCTTTAGGATTAGGGATGCAGGTTATCATCTAGGTCCTGCGGTCTCCTGGAGAGAGCAGGGAGCACCATCTCCATTAGTCGAAAGAAAGAAACGTAAATGTTATGAGATGAGACTAGGGCAATGATTCCCTGTTCTTGAGACAACCAGTCGATTCGGTGTTGAAGAAAAACTCAGTAAGCTTTGATGCCTTGCTCTTAACCTACAAACTTGGTAGAGCCACAGAAAGAACATGGAGCAAAATGAAGACATGGTTTAGTTCCTCTAAGGATCCTTTCATACTTAGGCATTGCTTAATCCAGTTGACTGATTTTTCAAAGAATCTTGCCATATCTGATTTGAAAGCACACAAAGTAGGTGGCTACTTCACGCCTCATCTCTTGGCTCTAGGATCATATTGGGATCAGGCTTTGGGATCAGGTTCTTTGCAGATCAGAAATGGCATAGGGGAGTGTACCAGGAATCAGACAAACCTAAGCACACATCCAGATTCTGCCATTTTTTTTTTAGCTGTGTGGGAAAATCTCTTTGCTACTGACATGGTTTGGCTCTGTGTCCCCACCCAAATCTCACGTTGAATTGTAATCCCCAGTGTTGGATGTGGTTTCTAATGGTTTAGCACCATCCCCCAGTGCTTTCTCATCATAGAGTGCTCATGAGATCTGGTTGTTTAAAAGTGTACAGCATTCCCGCTTTAGCTCTCTTCCTCCTTCTCCAGCCAAGTAAGACATGCCTCCTTCCCCTTCACCTTCTGCCATGATTGTGTTTCCTGAGGCCTGCCAAGCCATGCTTCCTGTATGGCCTGTGGAACTGAGAGTCAATTAAACATCTTTCTTTCTTTCTTTCTTTCTTTCTTTCTTTCTTTCTTTCTTTCTTTCTTTCTTTCTTTCTTTCTTTCTTTCTTTTTTGTTGAGATGGAGTCTCGCTCTGTCACTCAGGCTGGAGTGCAGTGGTGTGATCTTGGCTCACTGCAACCTCCACCTCCAGGATTCAAGCAATCCTCCTGCCTCAGCCTTCTGAGTAGCTAGGATTACAGGTGTGTGCCACCACACCCAACTAATTTGTGTGTGTGTGTGTGTGTGTGTGTGTGTTTAGTAAACACGGGGTTTCACCATGTTGTCCAGGCTGGTGTCTAATTCCAGACCTCGTGGTCTGCCCACCTCAGCCTCCTAAAGTGCTAGGATTATAGGCATGAGCCACCACACCCAGCCCACCTCTTTTCTTTATAAGTTACCCGGTTTCAGGTAGTTCTTCATAGCAATGCAGACTAATACAACTACTTTGAGTCTCACCTTTCCTTATTTGGAAAAATATTTCCATTGAAGTGTTATGGTGAAGATTCAATACAATTAAATGATATAACATATGTAAAGGGCTTAGCAATAATCCAATGGCTAATAAGCAGCCAAGGAGTGGTAGCTCTCAGTATAGTCAGCCTCTAAGAAGAGAGCAAATGTTTATTTTCAAGAAGAATTATGCAGAAAGGGCCACTTTCAGTCTACCATCCCCCCAAATTCCTTGAAGGAAGGATGATGTGAGCAGCAAGGGAAGAAAGGGGAGTGGGTATGATATACTATAGAACCTGCAAGGAATGAAGTCCCTCTGTCTGTGTGTGCCTATATCAATAATTTAAACTTACACATTCATGAGATGCACTGTGTTTATTAGGGTGTACATGTGTCCCTAAGAATCTGAGAGTTCCTGAGAGACAGAGATGGTGTCTTACTCATCTGCTCTCCCCAGGTCCTGGCTTACTACCTGGCACTTATTGGGTAATAAATGTCTGTTGAATGCATGGAAAAAGGAAGGTAGGAAAGGTATGAAGGAGAAGATGGAGGTCACGACCAGTAGAAATCTCAGCTGTTCTGCCTGGGCTCCATGTCATCTCCCAGCTATTAGGCCCATTAGAATGTAAGCACAAATGCCTAGAGAATGACTAGCTTCTTTGGGACTCTGCTGACTAGACATGACATAAGACTGGACGGCTCCTGGGGAACTTCCAAGAGCTGGCTCCAGGCAGTGACTAATCCTAGCAGCTGCTGGCTTGGATGCCTCTCTCCCTTCCTTATTTCCAAGATTGGTCACCTCCTGCTCTGAAATAGCAATTGATTTTCAGACATGAGTTGATAGAGCCATGATTTTCTAATACTGTTCCAAAGGGGCTAAAGTACCTCTGAGGAGCAGTGCAGGCTAGGATCAAACTCTCCCTACCTTCCACTCCACTCCCTACCTTGCCCCTCCACCTCTGCCCACTTTCTATTTCCTCAGGCACAGCAGCTTCTACCTTATGGATTACAAATTCTGGTCATCCATCTATGGTTGCATTAAGAAAAGAGTACTGCTACTTTCATTTTCTTTTCTAACCACTGCCCTAGAAGAATAACACCTCACATTCTCTGGTAGACTGAAGCCTGCAGCTGCAAGGATGCTCAGAAAACCAGACTTCTATTCATTGGCCACTTGCTGCACTTTCTGTCCCTCGATCCTTGCAACGTACCTTTGAGGTAGGCATAAAAATCCCCATTTACAAGTGAGAAAACCAAGGCAAAAGAGGTTCAGTTTATTTCAGGCTCAAATGTGCTTCCAATAGCTTATAGCCTCTACAGCTAGTGTTTGAACCCAGGTCTGAAACAAATAGGATTGACAAGGGGAGGGAAAAGAGGAACAGAAATTCTTTTTCTATAAGACAATTGTTTATGCAGCCAGGATTTCTTAAAGTCCAGTTTGTGCCTAGGACATAATCTTTGAATTTGCTTTGTTTCTCGATGAATAACTTGGAAGCTATTCAAATAACTTGGAAGCTTCCTTTAAAAGGAACATCAGGAGGTGATTTTTGACTAACTCTAGGTGTACTTTCTGAGCCAAATAGATTTTTAAATAAGAAAATGAGAGGACGTGAGCTTGAGGAAAATGATAGGCATTCCAACCTCACCTGCTTGCTGACGACCTCCACGAGATTTCAACAATGATTTCAAATATTACACTTTTTAAGTCAGTGTGACTTAAGTATGAAATTGCCTCTCCCTAAAGCTCCCCTAAGGCCTAAACAGTCATCATTACCATAGCTGTGACAGGGAGGCTGTTGAATTTATAATCTATTGGCCATTCACAGCATAGCGTATAAACCTAGCTCATGATTTCTTTGCAATAGAAGTGCACTTTTTCATCATATTCCCTTCAAAACTTACTCACCATATCAGACTTTGAGCTCTCCTCCTGGCTTAGCCTGGATCATTTGAAATTGTCATCCATCCTTTGGCCTCAATACCTAAACTAAGGTCTATGAACAATAAGATGATTTTCTTCAGTGGGACTTTTTTGTTTCATATAATATTAGATATTTCCCCTGATACAGGGCTCAATCTTTTTCTTTTTAAAGCAATATTTCTCAAAGTACTTTTCACAGAACTTAAGTTTCATTAAGCACTTCACTAAAAGAAAAGTCTGTGATCTAATAAATTTGGAAAATATTGAGAATTAGAGCCCCCATTAGATATGTACCGTAGCTACTCAGCTTGCTACAGATGAAGTAAACATTGTAATATTCACCCAGCTTTTGAGTGATGTCTATTAACGTCACCCAAATGAGTATTCCATGGAATGCACTTTGCAAAAACCTATTATTCAAGAAACTTCTGGAGCATGAAAGCTATTAACGATAAATCCATTCACAAAATCACACCAAATATCTAAAATCATGTTTAAAATCTCCTAGAAATGGGTTGAACTGCCCACTTCAGAGACAAAGTGATTCTTTTGTAATAACGAGTTTTGTTTAGTGAGTACTTATTATCTCATTGAATCCTGAGGACTACCTCACAAGGTAAGTATAGCTCTTTTCATTACACATGACAAACAAGACTCAGAGAGGTTAAGTAACTTGCTCAAGATCACAAAACTGCAGAGTGACAAACCTAGAATTTTAAATCTAAGCTCAAAGGGTCACCAAACCAAATTTGGGTCCACCCACCCAGCCTATCAAAGTCAAGCACTGATATCAGCATTGCTGAGACAGAAGTTGAGGAATTTATTGCAGGCAGCAAGCAAGGAGTATCAGGCAGCTAATCCTTAAGGCCTAATCTCCCTGATGGCTTATGTGTAAGGGTTTTTAAAGGGGGGAAGGCAGAGGTTGCAGGCAAGGTCATACAATACATGGAGGCTACATATTGGTTTGGCCAAAAAAGGCAAAATATCTCGAAGTGAGGGCCCACAGGATAGGTGATCATTAGATGAATTAAAAGATTTTCTGATTTGAGACCAGGTGCAGTGGTTCACACCTGTAATCTCAGCACTTTGGGAGGCCAAGGTGGGTGGATAACTTGAGGCCAGGAGTTTGAGACCAGCCAGACCAACATGGCAAAACACCATCTCTACTAAAAATACAAAAATTATCTGGGCGTGGTGGTGTGCACCTGTAATCCTAGCTACTCAGGAGGCTGAAGCATGAGAATCGTTTGAACCTGGGAGACAGAGGGTTCAGTGAGCTGAGATCATGCCACTGCACTCCAGCCTGGGCAGCAGAGTGAGACTCTGTCTCAAACAAACAAACAAAAACCCAAAGATTTTCTGATTTGTGATTGGTTAAGTTTTGGCTACAAACTTGGGGTCAGCAGAAAGGAATGTTCTGCTCTGGCCTGTGGGTGTGACTTCCTCCAGGTCCCTCAGGAAGAAATTTAGAACAAAGAACAGTTGTGAGAGTTCAGTCTTCAGTTCCTCCTTATCTGAGATCTATGAGTCAAGAGGTGGTATTTTCCATTTAGCGGGGTCTGGATTTCTACAAAACAACTCAGGGACATATGTTAAGATGTTATCTCTAGTTTCTATAGGGAAACAAATATTTTGTGGCTCTACTTTTCTTTTTTTTTAATTTAACTTTAAGTTTTAGGGTACATGTGCACAACGTGCAGGTCTGTTACGTATGTATACATGTACCATGTTGGTGTGCTGCACCCATTAACTCATCATTTAAGATTAGTTTGTGGCTCTAATTTTCTTGACTATTGTTTTAGGCTATTATTACCTTCTTACTTATCACGGTGCTCATCTACTTCTTGAGCCTAGGCAGGTGGCTGGAATTTTCCTTGGAGGGACTCAAGAGTTTCCTTTATTTTTCATGCCTTAAATGGGTCTGTTCTCCCTCTCCAAAGCTCAAGCTTTTAAGGACTATGCTATGGTTAGATTTTTTGTATTGGAGCCAACCTTCCCTCCTACTCAAGAACACCCCTTCTTCAGACAGCCTGGCTGGGTCTTCATCCTGGGAGAGCTCATGAAACACAAACCAGATCTTGGCCCTCACATGTGTCTAGGTAGAGCTGACCCTGGGCAACACCAAGCGTTCCCCCAATTTTGCATGCCCCAGCCAATTCAGAGTCAAGATCCATGCTCATCTCCTTCCCTGCAAAGTGCTAATGATGAAGGATGGGGATCAAGTCAGCAAACTCCAGAAATGCTCTTAGACTAGGAGTCAAGCCTTGAGATCCTATTACACACCAGATTCATTCCCTGATTAGAGCTGCTGAATTCTTTTACTGTCACTGCGCTCATGCTAAAATTTCTTTCCTCTAGCCTCCTAGCCCCAGAGGAGGCTGAGCCATGATACCCATTGTCAAGCAATAAATATTTAAGGAGCCCCTGAGATATGTCAGGCACCATCGTAGGTGCTGGGACAAGTGAATGTGACCAGGAAAGTCCCTCCCCTCTCAGAAGTTCTTTTCAAGTTGGAGGACAGCAAATACAGAAATATAGAGTCTAACATAACAACAGGGAGTAATAAACACTTTGAAGAAAAATAAAGTGGAATAAGAGGGTAAGGTTGCCATAGGGTTCTCTGGGCAGTCTTCTATGGGAAGGCCACTTGTTGGGGCAGAGAAACAAAAGATGTCTGAAAGGAGGACTACGGGCCCCCCATAAGTGTGCTCCAGTCAGTGCACAGGGCAATGGGCATGTAATTTCCTATGATTAAGACCTACAGTATGTACAATATTACTGCAACAGACACTGAGACTGACTTAGCATTGTTTCATAGCATCCGAGTTGCTCTGTTGGAGGAAAGTGCATGTGATGGGCATTCATTTGCTTCCGCCATCAGACAGATTCTCTACCTTTGTCCTTCCTACAAGATTCCCTAGGAAGGCAGGGCTCAGTGGCTCACGCCTGTAATCCCAGCAATTTGGGAGTCCGAGACAGCCAGATCACAAGGTCTGGAGTTCAAGACCAGCTTGGCCAACATGGTGAAACCCCGTCTCTACTAAAAATACAAAAATTAGCTGGGCATGGTGGCACGTGCCTTTAATCCCAGCTACTCAGGTGGCTGAGGCAGGAGAATTGCTTGAACAGAGACCCGGGAGGCAGAGGTTGCAGTGAGCCAAGATCGCACCACTGCACTCCAGTCTGGGCTACAGAGTGAGACTCTGTCTGATAAATAAATAATAAATAAATAAATGATTCCCTAGGAAGCTGACTCCCACTGAATGTGCCACTCAGGAGTCCCTGCTCTCTAGATTACAGTTGAGTTTGCTCAATGCAAGGCCCCAGCAGAAATGTTGAAAGTAAGAGCAAATAGATAGTTAACCACTCTTTAAGACAACAATGGATGTATACTTCTCTGGCCTCAGCTCCTGTGGGGAAGCTCCAGTGCCAATCCCTGGGTGCTTCACCATTTTCAATTAGTTTCTGAACCTTGTAAACAGACCCTTCACTAAATTCTTCCTAGTTAACCCTTTGAGAATGAAACCATTTCCTGCCAGGACTCTGGCAGATACAAAGAACCCACAGCTGACTGCTGGGTCCCCGGCAGACCTAGTGCATGGCTCCACACTGCCATCTTGGGGGCTGGCACATGCTGGCACTGAGTCTGGGGAAGGGAGCTGGGGCTGGAGGTGTGGAGGGGAAGACCGTGCATAGTTGCTTCCTGATCAGCTCTTTATTTGATTGAGAGTGAGGCAGGGAAGATTAGAGGGGAGCTTACAGTGGAATTCAGGGCTGAGGCTGCTATTCTTTTGCTCCTTGTAACTTCCTACAGTGTTGTCAGCATCCACATACTTCTCTGTGGGGTTGGTCTCAGAGCCAGGTTACCTTGTCTTAGGTCCAGTGGCACCCTGACTGGCTTGGTGTCCTTGAATAAGTTAACTAACCTCTCCATACCTCAGTCCCTCAGCTGTAAAATTAAAAAAAAAAGAAGAAGAGTACCTACTGTATAGCATTGATTTGAAGATTGAATGAGCTGGTATTATACAACGTTTAGAAGCAGTGCCTGACACGCAAAAGGCTCTCAACAAATACTATCCTTTACTAATATCCT
Source organism: Homo sapiens (assembly GCF_000001405.40). NCBI lineage: Eukaryota > Metazoa > Chordata > Mammalia > Primates > Hominidae > Homo > Homo sapiens. Next base: position 25,344,584 of record NC_000024.10, read on the forward strand.
GTGTGTCTGTATCAGAGCTGGTGGGGTGGAGGGACAGAAAGAAGTGGGAGAAAGGTAAAGAGATGGGCAAATGATCTCTAAAGTCTCTCTGGCACTAACACAATTCTTTATTATGTGTTTTGTCTGGCTCTTTATATTGATAGCTGTTCCAGAGGCAATCAATACCTATTAGTCGGTTTTATTCTTATTTTTCTGTCTGATCTTACAGGGGAGCAAACTGTGGCAAAACATGAACTTACTTCTCAGGAAATTAACCATTATGTTGGCAATCACTGTGATTATTTGAACAGCAGCATCTGGACAAATTTAGTCACATGAAGTACAGAAGAGAGATTTCTCATGGTTAAAATGAAGCTCTCTTTATTTGCTTCTGCTAATTAAAAAATCAGAGCTAAAGATACTTAAACACTACAGTTAAAATGCCATGGTTGTCTATTGGCTTAATGAATTCTCTTATGAAATCAACTCTAATATGTTATCCATTATAAATCATGAAACACAATTTTTCTTATTCTCTTTAGAGCTTTACAATTCATCTTAAAAACCAGTGTTTACACTCTCTTCTGTAGGTAGTACAATAACTTTTAGCGAGAAAAAATAAAAGTCTGGCTTTCTGACTCATAGGTGTATTCCCTTTAACAGAAAAAGAAAATATATCCTCTTTAAAACTGATGATCATTGGTCACCTCAATTTTATCAAAGTTCACTTCTGACCTCTTTAGATGTAGTTCTCTACATAAAACTGCCCAACAGAATTCTCTGTCTGAATGCCTCCTCCACAAACAAAATTTTAAGAACTAAAATCATCATCTTTCCTTCCAAATGTGCTCTCCCTATGTCCCCAGGGCTCTCCACATGTAGAGCTGAGACCATTTGCCACTCAGTTTCCTCACCCAATTAATTACAAGTCCGAACAATTTTCCTTTTTTTTTTTTTTTTTTTTTTTTTAGACGGAGTCTTGCTCTGTCACCAGGCTGGTGTGCTGTGGTGCAATCTCAGCTCACTGCAACCTCTGCTGCCTGGGCTCAAGCGATTCTCCTGCCTCAGCTTCCCAAGTAGCTGGGATTATAGGTGTGTGCCAATACATCCAGATAATTTTTGTATTTTTAGTAGAGAGGGGATTTCACCATATTGGCCCAGATGATCTCAATCTCTTGACTTCATGACCTGCCCACCTTGGCCTCCGAAAGTGCTGGGATTACAGGCGTGAGCAACCATCCCTGGCCCAGTTTTGCCTTTTTAACATCCCTCAGCTCTTCAAATCCATTTTCTCTTCTCTAACACCTCCCCATTCCCCAGCTCGTAATGAGCTCTTAAGTAGATTACTACAATCACCTCCCAAATGGTCTTCCTGGCTCCATCAGCCTTGTGACCTTCAAGTTCATTCTCCACATGGATGTCAGAGTAACTTTCTAAAATGAAAATCTGACCACGTTACTCTCTTGCCTAAATCCACCTATGGCCGGTGTTAGGATCAAGTCTAAACTCCCGACCCTGGAACATCAGGTCTTCATGCTCTGTTCACTGCTTCTCTACCTCACCTGCAACCAACACCACTCCCACATCCATATACTGCTCACCGTGTATCAACATGAACAGGAGGTGGGTGTTTCAGTCCCCAGGAAGACACTGGGCCTTTTCAATCATCTACTGCTATGTAATACCCACCCCACAAACTGACCACATGATTTCATTTTGCAAGGGTTCCTTCCTTGGGCTGTGTTCAGCAAAAGGGTTTACTGAGCTGGCAGGTCCAAGATGGCCTCACTCACAGGACTGGCTGTTGATGGGAGCCTTGATGCTCTTGGGCTCACCCCTTATCCTCCAGTAGGTTAGAGCTTCTTACAGTGGTTTCAGGCAGCATCTGAAGCCAGTAAAAGCAGAAGCTCCAAGGCTTCTTACATTCTAGCCTGGAAAATCACATCACATTGCTTCCTTCATATTTTTTTGGCAAATCAGGTTGCAAGGCTTGCCCAGATTAGGGTAAAGAGGCTCCTTTTCTTTCTTTCTTTTTTTTTTTTTGAGTCAGAATCTTGCTCTGTTGCCCAGGCTGGAGTGCAGTGGTGCAATCTAGGCTCACTGCAAGCTCTGCCTCCTGGGTTCATTCCATTCTCCTGCCTCAGGCTCCCAAGTAGCTGAGACTACAGGCACCTACCACCACGCCCGGCTAATTTTTTTTTTTTTTTGTATTTTTTAGTAGAGACTGTGTTTCACTGTGTTAGCCAGGATGGTCTCCATCTCCTGACCTCGTGATCCGCCTGCCTTGGCCTCCCAAAGTGCTGGGATTACAGGCGTGAGCCACCGTGCCAAACCAAGAGGCTCTTTTTCTTGATGAAAGGAGTAGTGAAGTCACATTGCATGTCCTTGCAAAGGGACATGCAGACCACATTAGTGAGAATATGTGCCTGTATTTTGCAATCTGTAACATGGGCATAAACTAAATGTTTTCCAAAGGGAATAGGGCAAAACAAAAAGGACCTTGACCACTCCTTTGGCCCTGAATAAATCCAGGTAGCCTAAGAGTATGACTATCCTGAGGTAGAAAGAGGGTCACATGCTGGATAAGAGGTACCTGGGCTCTCCACTTACAAGAAGAGAGCATGGTTACATTTATAATCACCATTCCCAACATGCTGTGAGTGCAGGCAGCTACCAGGTGGAGAACAAAGGAAATAACCAGGACACCCATCTCTAAACCTGTTAATTTAATCACATGGAACACTTCTATTTAAAATTCCCGAGGGTTAAGATGTAAGAATGCTTATCAAGGTAGATGCTGTTCACACTGCTTGGAGTGTCAGGCCTAGATCTCTATCCATCAGAAACAACAATATCAATAACAACAACAGCAACATGATGATGGGGCAATTTCTGAAAAGCACCATGTATTTTATTGATACATGTCTGTTGCAGAAAATCCAGGTGAATCCAAAGAAGAAATAAATGTCTTCCACAATCCCATAGCCCAGAGCTAACTAACCACTATAAAGAACCCAGTGTGGTTTTAACTAATGGATCAAAAGATGCTCATCAAAGATCTGAGCTTTCCTGAGTGCTAACAGGAAACATCCAGCATCTCTGGTCTCTACAAGGCTGCAGGTGTCTTTGACCATAGTGCCTGTTTTGTGTCAGGGAAAGAATCAACCTGGGAGCCAAGCCCAGGAATCAGGATGACCAAGACATACTCGACAAGGAGGGAACAAAGCCATCCAAGGACAATCAAGGACAAATCAAGCAAATGAATTTAAGGGAGACCTGCTCATGGTATGCTTTGCTGCTCAGCATGGCTGGGAGGCACAGTGGAAGATCATGCATCCTTCCCCTGGGACTCCTCTGCCAGAGCCTGAGAGATTTCTCCTGCCCACAGGCTAGGGGTAGGACAGTTGGAATTGATCCATGCCTTCTAGCTAGACTGTGGGTCCCCTCAGTCTTGGGCATGGTGACAGCCCAGCATCAGACAGAGGTCAGTATCAAACTAGAAAATTTAATAAACGCTGTCAGATTTGTAGACCCAAGAAAATATAAACTGGCAATCACGGAGGAAAAAAATCTCTCAATGATCTTATCTTTATATGATTCCCTTGCTGTCTGGAAATTGACATTTCCTTGGGGATAATCTGGTCATAGGATTGGTGAACGTGAAAGGGAGGCAACCTCCGAAGGTGGGGCCCTCTGCTCACCTGGGACAGGGAGGGCCTGAGGTAGGTGTCTGTGTGAGCTGGGGAGGAGGATGGGAGCAGTGCTTCTAGATATTTCCACTTTCTCCTCATTAGATAATAACGAATGGGTGATTTCCCTAGTCACTGCAGTATGAGGAAATCTACAAAATCAATTTCCCAATACGCTTTACAGGATAGGTGGAGACACCCATGAAGCACAACTGCAGTGGGTTATAAAAAACGGCCTTTCGAGTTGAGCAATAAATTCGTTCAAGCAGCCATTCTGAAGGACAAACGTGGCTCTGTATTTAAGAGGGGCATTCCAGCACTTCTCTAGCCACTGGGTTGACAATGACTCACCAAAGCCTCTGGTAGCCACCACAGGACGCCCAGAGCATATGTTTTAAAGCTGAACACCAAACTGCGGACTTCGGGAGTAAGTGAACTGACTGGTTTTTATTTTGTTTTACTGCTTTTAACATTACAGTAACTGTTACAGGTTCCAGCAGGCTAACTGGGTGGAAATGAGTTTGGTTTCACTTAGTCTCTCTAAAGAGAAAGCAAGTCGGTAGACTAATACCTAATAAAAGCAAAGCTGCCAACAATTGAAATTGCCTGGGCTGCTCTGTGTGTCCCACATGCATGGGTGTGGGTGCCAGTGTGTGTGCGCGTGTGCATGCATGTGCATCTGTGTCGGGATAGAGTGGTAAGAAAATGGGAAATAATAAGAATGTTCAGTACATACCCTTTCATTATAAAAAGGTGAGCTATAATAAATACTAGTGCCACATTTAGTCAAAACTTTACTCCAGCCAAAGGTGATATTTTCATGATAACATCCTGTGATTGCTTTGTTGTTCGTTTTTTATGTTCTTCCTAGATGGGCTCAGAACATACAAGAATTAAGTACACATCTTATTTTCCAGTGATAATGCTACCAGCAAATCCTGTTGTTTGTATAAACATCAGCCATGTTTATATAACTAAACTAGTGTTTTGTTTTGTCAATTCAGCAAGAAATTAGACCAAATGGTGGCTTAATGCTGCATTGATTTGTCTATCAATTTGTTTTCACTTTTCTGCAAAATATTTAATACATTATTAAATTGAATTATGTTGATGCCACAGTTGTTCTTATCTCAATTGTCTTAAAATTCATTTAATTTTTTTCCTTTGGTTTCATTATTCAAATTTTAACTTCAGTTCTCAAGATTCTATCTGATGGAAGAGATGGAGTCCATTACTAAGGACTCCATTGTGCTCCATCATGCCAGAGTTGTAAAATAGATCTTTTAAAGGAAATTTACTGTGATTTTTTTCTATTTAAGAGCTGCCTCTCCAGTTGAGCATGTAAGAAAATTGTAGCAGGAGAATACAGTAAACTCTATGAGACAAGCTATAAACATGTAGCATTGTGATTAGGGCTGGTTCTCCTTCTAGAGGCATGGTAGGATTGCAATTTCATACCATCCTTGAAGTTAGAGAGAGCCACGTGACTCATTTAGCCAATGAACTGTAAGCAGAATGACATGTCACTTCCAGCAGAAGCTTTAAGAATCTGAGAAACATTCACACGTTTTCCATGTGCTGTAGCCTTATACCAAAAGCCTGGGTCCCAAGTGACCATGACAGGCAGAGCTCCCTTTTGAGCCACAGAGATTTAGAGAATGGCTGTTAACACAGCATAATCTAGCCCATCCTGACTAATCTGATATTAACATGTATAATAAAGAATTCTATCAATGCTGAGGGAAGATGACTAGTTAAGGTCCTAGGTTGCAAGTCTCAAAACCTCTTCTAAGGATTGTAGACAGGAAATTAAATGACTTCTAGTCCCTAGAGTTCCCAATCTCCTACCATCCCATCCTAATATGACAGAAGTAATTCCTGAGTTGCTTCTGAAACCAGAGCTTCCCTCAGAACCGTTAGCCTGCCAGATGGCTTCTTGGAGAGCTCTCACTCACTTTTCTCCTTCTGCTATTGCTGTTCATTCATTCCAGCTTTTAAAAATTCATCTTTATCCAGGAACCTCGCTTCTAGAAAAGTCATACAGGTGCTTCCAGGAGGCTACACGTGCACCCATATATTTCTAGCCACATTCATTAGACCAATGCAGCAGAGAAGAAAAGCCTCAATAATTATTATGACATGGCATGTTAGGATACCAAGTAAATTGCATTTGTAAAATGTGATTTTCTGTTGGTGTTCACTTCTGCTCTACTGACATTTGGTAAGTATTATTGACTGACTGACTAACTAATGTGGTCATTAGTCTTCATAAAGAAAGGCTCTCTACAAAAATGGAGGGATGCCCTTTTTCTGGCATTTAATACGTCAGAAATTGCCTCCGATAGAAACCAGAGTTGCCTGCTTACTATCAGCACAGGAGAAATGTATTAATGTGACTTTATAGTAACAGGCTTTTAGAAAGTCAAATATAAACAAATTTGTCTATTTGTGTGTGTGCATGTGGTGGTGGGGAGGGAAGAAAAAAGGAGGGGGAGAGAAAGAGAAATAAGAACCAAGTTTATTATACTGTATTCAGGGGGAACAAAATTTCCCAAGGTCCTAACAGAAGAGCAAAGTGCCACTGTCAATAGCCTCCGTAGTGTTAGGGTTGCTTTTATTTATTTACCTATTTATTTACTTTTCCTTTTTTTTTCTTTTTCTTTTTTTCTTTTCTTCTTTTTTTTTTTTTTGGACAGAGTCTCACACTGTCGCCTGGGCTGGAGTGCATTGGCACAATCTCGACTCACTGCAACATTTGCCTCCCAGGTTCAAGTGATTCTCCTGCCTCAGCCGCCCAAGTAGCTGGGATTACAGGTGTCTGCCACCATCCTAGCTAATCTTTTTGTATTTTTAGTAGAGATGAGGTTTCACTATGTTGGCCAGGCTGGTCTCAAACTCCTGACCTCGTGATCCACCCATCTTGGCCTCCCAAAGTGCTGGGATTACAGGCGTGAGCCACCGCCCCTGGCCAGGATTGCTTTTATAGCCAGTCTTCAGGTGCCCACTGTAGGAACAATGTCATTTAACCCTCGAGATTATTCTGTGCCAAATACGGATAATGACTAATATTCAACACAGATATTCTCAGCTCAGAGGAGCAATTAGCAAATTCATAAATTAAGTGCTTGCTTCCTTTTTAGTCAAATACAAACATTTGTTAAAAGATATTATTTTGCTTTACACTTTTTCTCTCAGAAATAAACAGATGCTTGAATTCCCACAGTGCTGCTTGAGCCTCACACCATGTCATCCTGCCAGGCACCCAGATCCAGTTCTAGAGTTTCACATGATCATGAGTGTTGGTTAATAAGTCAATGTGAACTGGGAGGGGAGATTTTTCAGGAGTGCCACAGGGCTCTCCCTTTAATCACATACACTCCCTGCTTTCATTGGAAAGTGTACAATGATGTCAGAGTGCCCCAGAATGGAGCTAGTTGGAAGACTGCCATCATAGGGATGCCTTAGTGAATTAATAAGGTTTTAATTTCTGGCTCTCAACTTTGTAGATGTAAAAGTTGATTTATCAGTATGTGAGAAAGGACGAATCTTTCTGAAGGTTATGTCATCACACTCACTAAGCACACAGAGAATAATGTCTAGAATCTGAGTGCCATGTTATCAAATTATACTGAGACTCTTGCAGTCACACGGGCTGACATGTAAGCATCGTCATGCCTAGTACAGACTCTCCCTGCAGATGAAATTATATAGGATGCTAAATTATAATCAGAACAATGTTTGGTGAGCCAAAACTACAACAAGGGAAGCTAATTGGATGAATTTATAAAAATATGCCTCAACCAAAATAGCTTAATTCAGTCTCCCTTATCATAAGGATAATCTTGCCTAAAGGGACAGTAATATTAAAGACACTAGGAATAACCTCTGTACTTTGGACAGTAGACCTGCACAGCCCCTTAGGCCTCAATGAATTCTTATGCAAGACCAGAAGCCAATTTGCCATTTTAAGGAGATTCTCCATGTTTCTGCTCTAACTGTGATTCACAATACTCAAGACACCGAATCAGGAAGTTTCCGGGAGTGCAGGGAGCTGTCCGTGGTACTGAGCAGTTCTCAGCAACCCAAAGATCCTACTGACTCCTCATCAGACTTCTTTCTCACTGGAATTTTACGCCTGGGCTGTTAACACCAGGCCAGGTCAAATTCAAAGGAGAGAAAAAAGCTCATTATGAAGGGTAAAATCCAAAACACTGTGCATAAAGATATGTGTGCACAATTTTTATACATAAAGATTTCATAAAGCCAAAGCATCAGGAAATGAAAAGAGATATAGAAAGAAAAATGATGGTAAATGAGACATTAATTTACCCTTCTAATCTCTATCACAGCAAAAAGATAATTAAAAAATCTATATGAGAACCACAAAATACACAAAAATTATGTAGCAAAGCCTATAGCCTGAAAAAGTAAACATTGAAATTTGTATGTCCATAAAATGTTTACAAAATTGAGTACATATTATACACCCCACCCCAAAAACATCTAAGCAAAGTAGAGAATGTAGAAATGCTACAGATTATATTCTCTGATTATGACACAACAAAACTAGAAATTACAGCATGGAAATTTAAAAGCTTTCTCTTAAATAATTCTATGTCAAAAAGAAATCCAGGCCGGGTACAGTGGCTCATGCCTGTAATTTCAGTACTTTGGGAGGCCAAGGTGGGCAGGTCACTTGAGGTCAGTAATTCAAGACCAGCCTCGTCAACATGGCGACACCCTGTCTCTACTAAAAATACAAAAATTAGCTGGGCCTGGTGGTGCATGCCTGTAATCCCAGCTACTTAGGAGGCTGAGGTAGGAGAATTCTTTGAACCCAGAAGGTGGAGGTTGCAGTGAGCTGAGATTGCACCACTGCACTCCAGCCTAGGTGACACAGCAAGACTCTGTCAAAAAAAAAAAAAAAAAAAAAAAAAAAAAAGAAATCCAAATAAAATTTCTAGAATATGTGGAAAACAGTGACAATAAAAATATTACACATGTGTAATCCCAGCATTTTGAGATGCCAAGGTGGCAGGATCACTTGAGACCAGGAGTTCACAACCAGCCTGGACAACACAGGGAGACTCCACCTCCACACACGCCAAAAAAAATTTTTAAATAGCCAGGTATAGTGGTACTTCTTGTAATCCCACCTACTTGGGAGGCTAAGGTGGGAGAATCACCCAACCTCAGGAGTTCAGGGCTTCAGCAAGCCATGATCATATCACTGCACTCCAGCCTCAACAACAGAGCAAGATCCTATCTCAAAAAAATAAAAAATCACATGTGGGAAATAGCTATAGCACAATAAAAATAAATGTATTAAGTGTGAACAACAAAAAAGCTAGTAAAGGTTGAACAACAACTATCCTTAGGCAAGTGGAAATAATGTATTAATAAATATGAAAGCAGGCTAAGCACGGTGACTCACATCTGTAATCCCAGCACTTTGGGAGGCTGAGGCAGGCAGATCACCTGAGGTCAGGAGTTCCAGACCAGCCTGGCCAACATGGTGAAATCTTGTCTCTCCTACAAATACAAAAACTAGCCAGGCTTGGTTGCGCACTCCTGTAATTCCAGCTACTTGGGAGGCTGAGGCAGGAGAATCTCTTGAACCTGAGAGGCAGAGGTTGCAGTGAGCCAAGATCATGCCACTGCACTCCAACTGGGGCAAGAGAGTAAGACTCCATCTCAAAATAAATAAATAAGAAAGCAGAAACTAATAAATTAGAAAACAGAAACAGAACTAATTTATAAATCAAAGCACTATGCCTTGAAAAGAGGGAGAAAAATTGTGAATTAAGGAAGGGAAGAGATGGTTGGAGAGGAGGTGGGAGAAGGCAGAGATAATTGAAAGAGCAAAAGCATCTGGAGAAGCAAAGCCACTGAAAGATGAACAGGGCTCTGAAAGAAATGCTTGATTGCTATCTTTTCAAATGACTGCAGTTCCCAGTGACATCATTTTTCTCCTCCCTGGAAGTCTGAGGGGCAGTTCACTTATCTCCTCCCCTCCCCTACTCCTCACCCCACACTCAAAACCTGTCTATGCTCCTTTCATTCTCATATGACAGATTTCAGATGGCATTCTTATTTCCCTGATTTCTTTTTGAGATAGCTTGCATTTCCCTCCTCTATATAAAGCCACCATTTATCAAATGCCTACATGGACCAAGCAGTCCACAAGGGCTTCACAGACAGTTTTACTAAACTCATGCCAAAATTTTCAGGTTTTATACCTACCTTATAGATAAAGAAATTGAAGCTTATAGAGTTTAAGTAATGTTTCCAAAGCCTCGTGGCTACTAATTCAAACCTAATTTCTGCCTACTCCAAAGTCTATTTTTCCTCATGATACTATACTGCTTCTCCATGGATAAAGACAGAGATCACATGTTAATAAAATTTGCACAAAGTCAGCAAATAGCTGAAAGGGAAGGCTAAGATGATTAATAAAATCAAGAGCCAGATGATCTCAACAACCTGAAATAACTGGCTGACAACCAATTTGAATAACTCCCTGCAGGTGAAGTTCAAAGTACTATTTGGGTTTTTTTTTTTTTTTTTAAAGTTTGGCTGGGTACAGCGGCTCATGCCTGTAATCCAAGCACTTAGGGAAGCCAAGGTGGGCAGATCATGAAGTCAGGAGTTGAAGACCAGCCCTGTCAACATGGTGAAACCCCATCTCTACTAAAAATAAAAAATTAGCTGGGCCTGCTGGTGGATGCCTGTAGTCCCAGCTACTCGGGAGGCTAAGGCAGGAGAATCACTTGAACCCAGGAGGTGGAGGTTGCAGGGAGCTGAGATCGCACCACTGCACTCCAGCCTGGGTGACAGAGCGAGATCCGTCTCAAAAAATAAAATAAAATAAAATAAAAAATAAAAGTTTGATATATTCAGAATCAGGGAGGTCTGTTGGGTGCAGTTCATTTGAAAAATTCCTCAGCATTTTAGTGATCTGTATGGTCCCTCTATCTGTCAGGGTCCTAGCAGGAAATTGTTGCACTCTCAAAGGATTAAGCAGAAAGAGTTTAACGAAGGTTCTCTTTCCAGGGTTAAGGGAACTGCTAGGGTTTGGATATGTGACCACTCCAAACTCATGTTGAAATGTGATCCCCATTGTTGGAGGGGGGGCCTAATGGGAAGTGTTTTGGTCCTGAGTGTGGACCTCTCACGAATGTCTTGGTGCCATCCAAGTGAGTTCTTGCTCGCTCTTTTTTTTCTTTTTGAGATGTAGTTTCACTCTTGCTGCCGAGGTTGGAGTGTAGTGGTGCGATCTTGGCTCACTGCAACATCCACCTCACAGGTTCAACCCATTCTCCTGTGTCAGCCTCCAGAGTAGCTGGGATTACAGGTGCCCACCCCTATGTCCAGCTAATTTTTGGTATTTTTAGTAGAGACGGGGTTTCACCATGTTGGCCAGGCTGGTCTCAAACTCCTGACCTCAGGTGATCCACCTGCCTCGGCCTCCCAAAGTGCTGGGATTACAGGCATGAGCCACCGTGCCCACCTAGTTCTAGCTCTCTTAATTCCCACAAGAGCTGGTTGTTAACAAGAGCCTGGCACAAACCCCTCTCTCTCGCCACATGATCTCTGCACATGCCAGCTTCCCTTCCCCTTCTGCCATGAGTGGAAACAGCCTAAAGCCCTCACCAGAAGCAAATGGTGGCACCATGCATCTTGCACACCTTCAGAACAGTGAACCAAATAAACCTCTCTTCTTTAAAATTACTCAGCCTCTGGTATTCCTTTATAACAACACACACACACACACACACACACACACACACACAAAGGCAGACTAAAACAGGAACTAATTAGAAATGGTGATGCACCGAGGGATTGGCACCGAGGCTCCCCAACAGGAAGTGAGGCTGTGGATAGAAGGACACATTCATGTTATGTTTTTTCTAATGGTTAAGTAATTATTTGCTCTTACTCTCAAAATTTCTGCCAAGGCCTCCCATGGACCAAACTCAACTAGAATCTAGGAAGCAGAGAACCTGAGTGTTGCATTCAGCAGAAGTCAGCTTCCTAGGGACTCTTGCAGGAAGGGCGAAAGTAGAGAATCTGGTGGGGAAGCAAGCAAATGCCCATCACATGCACTTTCCTCCAACAGAGCGACTCAGATGCTATAAAACTTGCTAACTCAGTCTCAGGGTCTGATCACAGTAACATACAATCCAGGTCTTAATCATCAGAAATCACAGTCCTATTGTCTTCTGCACAGATCCAAACACACTTGGAGGTCATGTTCAATATGAATACCTCACAGCGAAGGAAATTTACACACGAGAAGTACATCTGCAGAAAGCCAGCTGACATGTCAACCATTCAAAAACTCAGGGTATTCGGGATTAAAGAAGACTCAGGAAGACAAGTATGAAGCATAATCTGTGACATTCCATGTGGCAGACGTTAGACACATACAAGAAAGTTGTTGGAAAGTGGAATTTATCTTCATATAAACAACACTGAGCTAAATCTCAATGTTTCAGATCTCTAGAACTATCCATCAGTGAAATGGATTGCAAATAGAAAGAGTAATACCATGCCACTTAAGAATATAATCATGGACGAGGCTGCCACCTGCTGTTGGGGGCCACTGCAGAAGAAATTCCAGAACACTGGACTGGAGAGCACCTCACTTTCCTTATAGCTCTAAGTTTCTGACTCAGTGACCTGATTCAGTACCATATACACAAACACCCACTTACACAAATGACTGTTCTTCACACTTGGCCCATGGAGACAGGGATAAAATTCTGAATTTGCTCAGATACCTTCTCCGCTACTGACATCTAGGCATTACACAATTCATCTCTTCATACTTAACCTTTGAAGTTTGCTACTTCTCAGAGAGACTAATGAGTAGTGAGCACATATCCTGAAGCTGAGAATGCTTCTACCTCCTCTCAAAACAACGGAATATTCATCAAAACACAGCAGTTCTGCACTTAACTTTAGGCCTTTTCTAACACTTCATTTCTTGGCAGTAACTGTGGCCAGAATAGCTCTTTCCACAGAGAAAGGACCTTTTGAAAGGATAGGTTCTCTAGATAGAAAAGCAAATGCCTCATTCCAGAAGGTCTTCAAGAAGAAAATGTTGTGGTGATAGCAAACATAACTGATTATAATCTATTCTGTGAAAAAAGCTTATGAAACAGTAGATGTGTGTATCTAGTACATAAGAGCTGAATGTCAATATATATGTATAGATATATACACACCCTCAAATAAATAATAGTTATCTCTAACTAGAGAAATTCTAGTTGCCTTACTATATTTTCTACAATAAACATGTGTTTTTAACAAGAAAAGTCTTTTCTGGTGTGCTTTTAAATTTTCTTTGTTTAAGTGAGAGTGAGGCTACATAACTACATGGCTAGGTAGACTTTTAGAAAACTTGGCTGCTCTAGAAAATTGACATATCCTGATTTCTTCCATAGCTTGGATCTTGACCTAGAGGGAGATATAAAAATGTTGACTTGAATCTGAGGGGTGCCATTTTCACTGCTGAAGTAGTTTCATGGATCATGAATTGGAGAAATGACTTCAGCAACAGGGTGTTAAAAACAGAAAGCACAAGTGACCCACAACAGATGATGGAGAACAAAGAGCAAGCTGGGAAAAGCAGTGGCCTTTAATATAGAAAAGAAGAAGTATAGCCAAAATAAATATTAGGCAGACAGCAGTTCACAGTTTATACTATTAAGCTGTTGTTTAGGGGAATGGTAAACCGACATGACCCTTGAGGTAGGTATATATAGGTAAATCCTATGTGTCCCTTGAAATAGGTGTATGACACAACTTCTGGCATCTACATGGATTTGGTCACTCTAAAGTAGCCATGAGGCTTAAGATAGTTCAGCTGTTTGGGGATAAGCTACATCATTTGCAGTTGTCTTTCTGCAATTTGCATATCCTACAGTTATCATTGTCATTACTGAATGGCACAGAGAAAACTGGTCTAAAGTGGTTCTCAAACCTGGTTGCTGGAGGGCCACCCTCAGTGATGATGATTTAATCTGTAGAAGAGTAGAACATTGATAGTTTTTATATATCTCCAGGTAATTTTAATATATAACTGGGGTGAGAATCATTGACCTAATTGTAAGAGGATAATATTCAAGAAATGTGGAGATAAATAATTTTCTTCTCAACATTAAAAAAATCTAATAGAAAGTTTTATCTTTTCCCCTAACTCAGGGTCATCAGCCTTAAAGCTTCAGTCTTTGTGTGTTCACAGGTGCTGTAAACACATGCATCACTACTAATATCCCACTTCAGTGCTATTGCTGCTCCCAAAACTCCAGGTATTTTTAACCTTATAAACCTCCAGAATAATGAGACCACTGGGTTCAGTAAATTGCTTTGTTTTGAAGCAGTGTTAGACAAAGTGGGAGACTAGAAGATAAATCTGTCAATGACATGTCCTTTAAGACTACTTAGATATTGTTGAATTTGTGGATCATTCTTTACTTGAGCATGGTAAATTAACTCTCTCTTTTCTCTCTCTCTCTAGCTGGCACACTTTTTCCAGTAGCCATTCTACTTGGTATGCTTACTTATCAGCTGTCCTCCAGGGGCCTCACATTAGATGTTTCTCTTGACTAACAAAACATGACACACAGCTGAAGTCTGAAAAACCAGATTGATAATTTCACCCAAACTATTTTCTTCATTCTAACAGTTTACTGGAGTACACAATTGTGACTATTTTTAGCCATAGGAACTCATAGAAAGACCAACTTCATTAGACCTACAAAATCGAATTGTGTGACATTATATGCAGTATGTGTAGGAATAAAAAGCATTTCTCAAATATGCAGTACTGGATTTTGCAAAAGCACCTTACACTTAGCTATGAAGGAGTGAAAAACACAGAGATGAGTAACTGCACCTTTCAAAAGACTAGAGCTATACCAATAATACAAAGGTGTAAACAAATAATGATGAGATGACAAAGGCTGAGTGTTTTCTATTTGGAAGCTATGTTGTTGAATTATTTATGTATATAATTTCATGCAATCTTCATGTTATGGGGGTGTTCTAATCCACTGTGACTCTGTCCTTAAATAAAAGGGAGATTTGGACATAGAGACAGGAACACAGGGAGGATGCCATATGAGAATTGACACTGTGCTGTCACAAGCCAAGGAACTACTGGAAGGAGAGAAAGAGGACTGGAACAGTTCCTTCCTTAGCACCTTTTCAGGCAGCCTAGCCCTTCCAGCTTCTTGATCTGGACTTCTCACCTCTAGAATTGTGAGGCAATAAATTTCTGTTGCTTAAGTTACCCAGTTTGTGGTACTTTATTACAGGAGCCCTAGGAAAATAATTCATTATATAATCTGCTAAGGTAGATATGATCATTGTCTCCAATTTCCATATGAAGAAACTATGCCTCAGGCATTGTGTCAGTTGTCCAAAATCATACATTCCTGACTCACTTCAATGAATTCTTCATTCAGCAAAACTTTTAAGGTACCTTAAAAAAATTATGTTAACTCTTAGGTCCTTGCTATAAAGCTTCAATGGGGTTTTCCTTTGCAAAGAATAAAATCCTAATACTTAAGCATAGCTCTCTTTCCTGGCTATGTTTCTGATATCCTCTTGTACCATGCTCCTCCTTAATCATTCTGAGTTTACATCTTAAGTCCTTTCCCCTTGCCATTCCCACTTCTTGGAATACTTTCCCATCAACTCTTCAAAGAACTGGCTTCTTTAAGTATTTGCTCTCAGTTCAAATGTCACTTCCCTGTAAAATCTTCCTGGTCATCAAGCCTTCTTTACACACTGTATTTTATTTTTTCATGGTTCCTATAACCACCTAATATATTCTCAATTGATTAACTGTTTTGCTGACTACTGCCTTCCATAAGAATGGAAAGAAAATATGGCCAGGTGCAGTGGCTCACACCTGTAATCCAACCACTTCAGGAGGCTGAGGCAACATGGCAAAACCTTCCCTTCAAAAAATTTTTTAAAAGTTAGCTGGATGTTGTGGAGGCAAGAGGATCACTTGAGGATCACTTTAGTCCATGAGGTCAAGGCTGCAGTGAGTCATGTTTGCACCACTGCACTCTAGCCTAGGTGATAGAGCTAGTCCCTATCAAAAAAAAAAAAAAAAAAAAAAAAGAATGGAGAGAATGCTACATGAGAGAAAGGATCTTATTTATCATGTTCACCTCTATCATGTTCACTTCCAAAGAGGTGAACATATCCCCCAAAGCCTGATAGAGAGAAGAGGCTCATTAATATTTAATGCATGACCATGTGCAGACTTGGGAGGAAAAATATGTCTCAGCCTATCAAAATTGAATCCTTAATAAACAAGGGTGCTTCTCCATCATTTCCCCACAACACCAAACAAGTGTGGCTCACTGTGGATGTTTAAGCAAATGCATTGTTTTTCCAGTTATATATCTGGTAGAGATGAGGTCATTGATAGGAATGGGAAGATGATCTCCTTTTATTTTGATGACCCAGCATGGCTGAACACTCAGTGACTACCACTGCACTTTGTTGTACTTTCAGCATTAGAGATGTCAGCCCTGTAGGATATAAAACAGGAACATCTAGTCCTCAATTATATTCAGAATTACTCAAGTCTTAGAAGAACCACTTGTCTTTTTTCAAGGAAGAGAAATGCTCAAGTGATGGGCTGAAGTGAAGGGAGGGAGTCACTCACTTAAACGGTTCCCTTAGGCTGTGTGGATGCAAACAGCATTAGACAATGACACTGACAGTGGGAAATGCACTGAAGATGATGAATGGCAAAGCCCTCCTTTTCTCCCCATCCACTTTAGATACTGACAGCAAAGGGTTTGTCACAATGACAACTATACACTCCCAATATCACAGAAGAAGGAGGAATAAAAGGGTATATTATGAGTGACTGAAGTTTAGAATAAATCAATAAATATTATGTCCCTCATCCATAGAAACCACAAAGGTCTAGTAATGCTAAGGATATAATAAGAAAATAATATGAATATTTGCTTCCCCTTCCTAGTGTAATAGAGTAAGTTACAAATGGCTTCAGGAAGGGGAGAGAGGAAGAAGAGTGGATGAGATATGTAAGAGTGCCTGAGGGTTAATTTTATGAAAGCTTTGGGAAGTTTTAAGAAAAAGAAAAGCTATGTTTCAAGGTACATGTGTGTATGCGTGCGTGCGTGTGCGTGTGTGTGTGTGTGTGTGTGAAAGACAGAAGAAAGAGGGAGACCTAAAAAGACTATGAGACACTAAGAGAAAAATTAAGGTAAAAAAGACACACATTAGAAAAACACAAATAGGGAGGAGGGAGGAGGTTAAGGCATTTTACTATGTGCTGTGAATGGAAACTACAAACCATTTGTGATATATGCAATATATATACATATATACACACATATACATATGTATTTAAATATTTAAATTACATTTTCTCTTTTTTTAGAGATGTGGTTTCACTATGTCACTCTGCCCAGGATGCAGTACAGTGGTTGTTCACAGTCATGATCATAGCACATTATAGCCTTGAACTCCTGGGCTCAAGCAATCCTCCTGTATTAGTCTCCCCAGTAGTTGGGATTACTAGCATATGCCACCATGTCCACCCTTATGCTTTTTAAAGTGAAAAACCATACTAAGAATGAGGCCGCTCAACTTAATAATAAAAACATTTCTAATGTAAAGAAATTTACAAAAGAAAAACAATCAACCCCATTAAAATTGGGCAAAGGGAATGAACAGACACTTTTCAAAAGAATACATGTATGCAGCCAACAAACACACACAAAAAAAGTTCAACATCACTGATCATTAGAGAAATGCAAATCAAAAACATAATGAGATACCATCTCACACCAGTCAGAATGGCTATCATTAAAAAGTCAAAAAATAACAGATGCTATTGAGGCTATGGAGAAAAGGGAATGCTTATACACTGTTGGTGGGTGTGCATATCAGTTCAATCATTGTTCAAAGAATAGTGATTCCTCAAAGAGCTAAAAGCAGAGCTACCATTTGACCCAGTAATCCCACTACTGGGTATATACCCAGATGAATATAAACCATTCTACCATAAAGACACATGCATACAAATGTTCATTGCAGCACTGTTCACAATAGCAAAAGTATAGGATCAACCTAAATATCCATCAATGACAGATTGGATAAAGAAAATGTGGTACTTATACACCATGGAATACTATGCCGCCATTAAAAAATGATATAATGTCTTTTGCTGGAATATGGATGGATCTTCTATTATCCTTAGGAAACTAATGCAGGAACAGAAAACCAAATGCAGCATACTCTCAGTTATAAGTGGGAGCTAAATGATGAGAACTAATGAACACAAAGAATAAAACAGACACTAGGGTCTACTTGAGGGTGGAGGATGAGAAAAGGAAGAGAAGCAGAAAAGATAACTATTGGGTACTAGGTTTAATACCTGGATGATGAAATAATCTGTACAATAATCCCCTGTGACACCAGTTTACCTATGTAACAAATGCCCCTAAACTTAAAATAAAAGTTAAAAAAAAGAAAATTAAAATCTCCTTATCATCTACCTGGTAATATGAAAAACACATATCTTTCATTCATTCCTTTCAATTGATGAGGAAACTGAGGTATCGGGAGTTAGTAAAAGTCCACATTGAGATATGAGACCCACCACTGGCTGGACGCAGTGGCTCACACCTGTAATCCCAGCACTTTGGGAGGCCGATGCTGGTGGATCACCTAAGGTCAGGAGTTCGGGACCAGGCTGGCCAACATGGTGAAACCCCCATCTCCACTAAAAATACAAAATTAGCTGAGTGTGGTGGCAGGCACCTGTAATACCAGCTACTAGGGAGGCTGAGGCAGGAGAATCGCTTGAACCCAGGAGGTGGAGTTTACAGTGAGCCAAAATCACGCCATTGCACTCCAGCCTGGGCAACAAGAGCAAGACTCGTCGGAAAAAAAAAAAACAAAAGAAACAAACAAAAAAAAACACCACCATCATTTTGAAAGTGTTACCACTATTGTGTGTTAATATTGTAGAAGTATTCCTAATTATGATTTCTTTGTATTCCTAATTGTAATAGCTTTGTATTTGAAAAATTATTGATTCATACTCTATATGTTATTATTTTGTATGCGATGACGACAGAACATATTATCATGCTCCTTTTGTGAATCTCATTCATAATATAAAGTAAATATTTGTTATTTTGTTTTAATTTGAAATATTAATTTCAAATATGTTATCAAAATTTGATACAAACTATTGACAATAAATCTGTGGATTAAGTAATGTCTTAGTAGGTATTGGGAATATTTGAAACAAGTAACACGGAGGACTATTGTTATTGTTTATTTCAAAGCCAGTTAAAATTCTGCAAAGCAGTGTAAACAAAAATAATTTCAAGAAATTTATAAAATACCGAGATTATGGTGTATAAACAACTTTAGATTCTTTGTTTAAGAAGTTCTGCCAGTTTGTAATATATGCTTCATTCAAAGTAGCTAAGGGCTGTACCTGGCTAATAGTAGGCACCTAATATTTGTTGAAAAGGAATACTGAGTAGCTGGGACCTCCTGAGTATCTGGGACCACACACATTTAACCTGTATTTATAAAATTACTGTTTAGAGAAAACATTTGATGGAATCATGCTTTTACTTTCTGCTTATAACTCAATTGTTTGTACTGACATTAACATCCCAAATCCTTAGCATGGCCTACAAGGCCCTGAGCAATGTGGCACCTGCTGAAGCCTGCTGCCTCATTTAATAACTCTTTGTCTCTTTCCCAGATCCAGCCACTCTAACATTTTTTAGTTCCTGGACCAAGACAAGCTCTTCCCAGAACCTGATCTTTGTACTTGTTCTTTATTCCTGGAATATTTTTCCCCTGACAAATTACTTATCATCTATCATAAATCAGGTTAAATGGCACTAACTCAGGGAAGGCTTCCCTAACTGCCTCCCTTCTCCAACCAAATTAGGAACAATTATATGGCCACATAGTATCGAATCAAGTTTATAATTTTAAAATAATTGGGAGATTTTGTTGTTTAACACTTGTTTTCACTATAAGACTGTACTTACATGCAAGTAAGAACCATGCCTGTTTGTTCACTCCTGCCACAGTCAGAATAGTGCCTGGAATATGCAGTAAGGGCTGAACAAACACTAAATAAATGAACAAGTGAATAAATGGATATTGTCTCATTTTTAGAACAGAGTACTAAATGGATCATGAACACTATCTGGTATGTCATGTAGGTAATTTACAAGGGATACAATTTCAGCTCAGATTTACCTTTTCCTGGATACAGGTCTTGATAGGTCTCTTGATGTCATTTCACTTCAGATTCTTCTTTAGAAAACTTGGACAATAGCATTTGCTGTCTTGTCCAAATTGTTACTAAGAATCAAGAGAGATATCTGACATGAAATGACATTGGAAAACATTAAACACGATTGAAATAATGCTAGCCAATATGGTTATTATTAGAAACCAATTACATTTTCAACTTAAAAATAGTAATACTTATTGCAGACTCAAATGTGCTTATTCTAAAACAAGTAAATGTTTGCCTATGGTCTGAGGTTCTAATCCACGGAGTTCATTCTAATCCACATTCAACACTATCATGTACCAGTGGGCCTCATAACCCACCTAGTCCTGTGATTTTTCAGGTTCACTTTTCTAAACTTGTGAATTAAATATGTATTTTCTTAGTTAAGAAAAGGAAAAAAACTCTTGTAATTGTTGTCCATTTCAGGAGAAATCTTGCATATGAAAACAAGAGATAAATATACACAACTGAGGGCTGTGGTTTAAACAAAATCTTCAGAATGTTTTTTGACCTTATACATTTGTGCTTTAGTATAACAAAATGATATAGACAAAGGTAACTTTTAATAGAACCAGTCACTAAATTAAAAAAATGACAAATTCTTCTGCTTAGCTAAGCAACAGAGAAGGTAAAATACTAATTCAATTCATCAATTTAAGCAATACTCATTAAGAGCCAAGTATGTGCTTACTGAATAAGCTGCTAAGGTTTGGTGGTTACAGAGTGTGTGGTGAAATGATGTCTACATCACAGTCCAACATTCACAGAGTTTAAAAGCCTACCAAGAATCAAGACAAGACAGTCAATACCTAAAATAGACATTTGTATGTGATTAGAGAGCCAGAGTACAATTTAGGAGAAGAAATTGTATGGAAGGAAGGTTCATTTCCATTAGACCAGAAAATACAGCACATTTGAAGGCCTGAATAAGAAATATTCTGGATAAGATATTGTGGCTGCTACCAGAATGGCTCTTGATGATCTCTACCTCTTGGTATTTATACCCTTATATAATCTCTTTCCTATAGTATAAGCTGGTCCCAGGTACTTGTTTCTATTGAATACAATAGAACAAAAGTAATGAGATACCACTTCTGAGATTAGATTACAAGATACTGTGAATTTCATCTTGTGCCCTCTCCCTCTCTCTCTTTCTCTTGCCCTCTCATTTGAATGAAGCCAACTGGCATGCTGTCAGTGGCCCAGTGTAAGTCCTGTTACAAGAAATTGATGATTGCCTGTAGCCAACCCTAAGTGAAGAACTGAGGTCCTCAACCCTACAAATGGAGAGAAACTGAATCTAGCTAAGAACCATGTGAGTGAGCTGGGAAGAAGATCCACCCTCAGTCGAAATTTAAGATGACCATAGCATCAGCAGACATATTGAGACACACTGAAAGTAAGAGAGCAGGAGGAAACAAAACCAGGGTCATACAAAGAACACAACTGATTTTGAGATTCTCACATAAGTATTACACCTTCAGTGAGCACGTGTACTAGAAATTAAAAAAATAAATAAAATAAACCTGCAAAGAGAGCTAGCAAATAAATTTCCCTATGGTCTCAGCTCTGAGTGCAGAGAGAAAATGTTCCCTGTAGAGTTTATAGCCAGAATCCAGCTCTCAAACAGGTTTCAGCCTGAACTCACACAATCTGTGTGGCTTCCAAATTGGCAAGCTGAGAATTTAATTCAAAGTGGTCTCAGGTTGATAGCAGTCCAAAATGCCAGGTAGGAAAAAAAATCCTCTCTGGACAAATAAATCATCAAAGCAAGCTCATAAGAGCAGGTTTCAAAGGTCATGAGCTTCTAACACACACACAAAAATCACACACACAAAATGGGGGTAGCAGCAACATGGGTAGCATATTCACACTTGAAAAGACTTTAAATATTTGTATTATTAGATGTAGATTATGAAACATATTTTAATGTGGTTAATTTTTTTAAGGAATCAAAACTATGAGTAAAGACCAAGAAAATTGTGCTGGATAGCCACTTCCACCATGGCTCCCCTCCTATTTAAGCCTGGGTACTGTGTCACCCGAAGTCTTCAGGCACATTGTTCCAGGTTTGGGTTTGCCTATGAAAGAAATTCATGAGAGCTGGAAGTGAGGAGTGAAGAGGAGGTCTTCACATAAAGCAGGCTTAAGGATTAGACATAGCAGGTTTGACAGATGTGATGGCTTGCAGAATTCTTTATGAGCTCCCACTGTCCATCTGGATAAGATTTACAGACCTTTCAGAAATTCCTATAAGCTTGGGTTCTGTGCCCACACTCTAGACTGTCAGGCTAAGATCTCTCATATAAAACAGACCTCTTCTGATTTTGTCTAACTGCTTTTCTAATATCTTTTCACCAAGCTCTTCCAAT
This sequence comes from Homo sapiens, assembly GCF_000001405.40. Classification (NCBI taxonomy): domain Eukaryota; kingdom Metazoa; phylum Chordata; class Mammalia; order Primates; family Hominidae; genus Homo; species Homo sapiens. Next base: position 25,366,963 of record NC_000024.10, read on the forward strand.
AATAGCATAAGGCCCTAATTAATATTAAACTTTTATCATTATAATACATAGGATGTCTTCTGTTTTCCTGATCAAATTCTGACTACTATTAAAATATAAAGAATTGTCCAGAAATATATAAAAAAGAATCACACATTGATCTTCTTTAAATGAAAATATAACAATTGTATGGACTAGGATGATTACAGTTGTTCAGTTCTGACTGTTATTTGAAGAAAAAAGCAATAAGAAGCCTCAGCAACTTAACAGAAGGAGCTGCCATTTACTAGGAGAAAAGATTGTGGATGAGAGTGTAGCAAACAAAGGTCAGAATTCTGTGAAGCTTGAGATGTCAATTATAATGAATTATCTTTTATACTCACTACAATTTCCTAACAATTTTGGGGTTTATATTTTTGAAAGAGACATACCTTTAATTTTCTTTCTTTGTACTATTGTTAGGTAACTTTAATGTGCAAATTATACTACAGTGAAAGTTGCCAATGACAAGGCAAAGTCACTTACATCAGACCCAAAGCAAAGTGGAGCCGGGTCATGAAAAAGGGGATCTGTGTGTGTGTCCACAATAAGCACTATCACAAGGACTTTCTATAAACTCACAAGAAATTTCTGCCCGCCCAGCACACTCTGTTTGTCCAGCTCATCCTGTAGGTGTCTCTATAATAGGACCTTTCATAAAAAATTCCTCAAGACTGTAGCATTTCAGATAAGCCACCCTCACAAGAACACTTGCCTAGCAATGGCTGTTTCTGCCAGTAAGTTAACACCAGCTCCTGCTTCAGGCCCTGTGACCAATGATGTTTGTTTCAAAACAGCTTGCATAGACTTCTTTTTGTCTTTAAATATTTTCCTTACCTCAACCTCTTGGGATGCACCTATGATTGATCATAGCACAAATATCTCAGATTATAATCCTTGTTTATTTCCAAATAAATTTATTTCTTTGGAGATCCACTTTTTCTGTTATTATACATTGACATTGTTATCATGAAATTGGTTGGGTGATGTGTCTTATTTTCTTGTCTCCAGAAGAATTTCTGTAACAGTGCAATTAAACGTTCTTTGCATGTTTGCTAGAACTCACCTGTAAAATTGTCTGAGCAACCAAAGCCTGGTTTTTGTGTTCAGTTTTTCTTTTGTGATTGGGGAGGGGGGTTTATCATACTGATTCAAGGTGTGAAGGTAACATCATTTTGATTTTATACATCTTCTTCAGTCCATTTAAGCATGTTACATAGCGTTGTTTGTTCTTTTCATGATATTCTTTACAGTAGCCTCCTAAATGTTCCCTCTGCTTCTGCCATGAGCCCCTACAATCTATTTCAATTCAGAAGCTATAGAGTTTGTTTAAAACATGTAACATATTATGCCACCTTTCTTACTGTAAAACATCCCATGGTTTCTCGTAGTATTTATGGTAAGTGAAATTTTTATGATGGCTTGAGAAACTTTTCCCATTAGATGCCCAAGTGCTGGTCTGGTCTGATCTTCTCATCTTCCCTTGGGTGATTCTGTGGCAGTCACACTAGCCTCCTTGCTACTGCACAAAAACTCCAGCATGATCTTACTTCAGGATATTTGCCATTGTTACTGCATCTGCCTGGAACCTTTTCTCCCATATAAACATAGAGATTGCTCTTGCCTGTCCTTCAAGTCTATTCTTAAATGTCCCATTCTCTGCGAAGCTTTCCTGTCCACACTATTTAAATTACAGACTTCACTCCCAATTCCCCATCTACTTTAAGAGTCCTCATTTATCATTCCTTGACAAACTGTAAATATACATGTTCACTTTTTTATCATCTGTCTCCAAATACTGGAATGTTAAGTTCTGTAATGTCAGATATTTCTGTTTGGTTCACTGGTGTATTCTTAAAGCATGTTACATACTAGGTATACTCAATGAATATTTGTTGAATACATATCACATTGGGCTTATTCCAGAAATTCAAGCTTGTTTCAATAGTTAGAGCAATCTACAAATGTAATTCATTACATTAACTAATTAAAGGAGCTAAATCACATCACCACCACAATAATGCAGAAAAACACATTTGATACAACTCAATATTCATGCCTGCCTAACAAACATCTCATGATACTAAGAAAAGAGGAAGGGATATATTATTTTCATGTATAAAACACTAACCATTGTAGCATGCCAATATATTCAAAATTCAATGAAATTCCTATCAAAATCTTAGCATTCCTCTTAGTCCTCAACAAAGCATTTCTAAAATGTGTATAGAAGACCAAAGGGCCAAAAGAGTCAACTTCTGAAGAAGTGGAAAAAGAAAGTTGAGGAAATCTTAAAACATGTTATTGAGCTTAAAGGTGCAAAAATAAATGCATGTACCATAATTCATGAGTAGAAAAATAGACTAGTGGAATAACATAAAAATAAAAACAATGCTTACATAAAATGTTGTAACTGATTTGGATGTCATTAGAAATCAGTAAGTAAATAGATGGACAATGTAATGAAAGATGCTAGGCAAATAATGTGGTAGGGAGAATAATGGCCCTCAGAGATGCCCATGCCTAACCCTGGAAGCTGTGAATATGTTACACTGAATGCAATAAAGGCTTATCAGATGTGATTAAGGATGCAAACCGAGATGGAGAGATCTTCCTGGGTTATCCAGATGGGCCCAGTCTAATCACATGAGTTCTTAAAAATGGAGAACCTTTCTTAGCTGAGTCCAGAGAGAGATGTGACAATGAAAGAATGGTCAGAGAGGAGGAGGAGCCAAGATGGCCGAATAGGAACAGCTCCGGTCTACAGCTCCCAGCATGAGCGACACAGAAGACGGGTGATTTCTGCATTTCCATCACAGGTAGCGGGTTCATCTCACTAGGGAGTGCCAGAGAGTGGGCGTATGCCAGTGGGTGCACCCACTGTGCGTGAGCTGAAGCAGGGCGAGGCATTGCCTCACTTGGGAAGCACAAGGGGTCAGGGAGATCCCTTTCCGAGTCAAAGAAAGGGTTGACGGACGCACCTGGAAAATCAGGTCACTCCCACCCAAATATTGCGCTTTTTGGTAAGGCTTAAAAAACGGCCCACCATGAGATTATATCCCACACCTGGCTGGGAGGGTCCTATGCCCATGAAGTCTCACTGATTGCTAGCACAGCAGTTTGAGATCAAACGGCAAGTTGGCAGCGAGGCTGGGGGAGGGACGCCCACCATTGTCCAGGCTTGCTTAGGTAAACAAAGCATCCAGGAAGCTCCAACTGGGTGGAGTCCACCACAGCTCAAGAAGGCCTGCCTGCCTCTGTAGGCTCCACCTCTGGGGGCAGGGCACAGACAAACAAAAAGACAGCAGTAACCTCTGCAGACTTAAACGTCCCTGTCTGACAGCTTTGAAGAGAGCAGTGGTTCTCCCAGCACGCAGCTGGAGATCTGAGAATGGGCAGACTGCCTCCTCAAGTGGGTCCCTGACCCCTGACCCCCGAGCAGCCTAACTGGGAGGCACCCCCCAGCAGGGGCACACTGACACCTCACACGGCAGGGTATTCCAACAGACCTGCAGCTGAGGGTCCTGTCTGTTAGAAGGAAAACTAACAAACAGGAAGGACATCCACACCAAAAACACATCTGTACATCACTATCATCAAAGACCAAAGTAGATAAAACCACAAAGATTGGGAAAAAGCAGAACAGAAAAACTGGAAACTCTAAAACGCAGAGTGCCTCTCCTCCTCCAAAGGAACACAGTTCCTCACCAGCAACAGAATAAAGCTGGATGGAGAATGACTTTGACGAGCTGAGAGAAGAAGGCTTCAGACAATCAAATTACTCTGAGCTATGGGAGGACATTCAAACCAAAGGCAAAGAAGTTGAAAACTTTGAAAAAAATTTAGAAGAATGTATAACTGGAATAACCAATACAGAGAAGTGCTTAAAGGAGCGGATGAAGCTGAAAACCAAGGCTCCAGAACTACGTGAAGAATGCAGAAGCCTCAGGAGCTGATGCGATCAACTGGAAGAAAGGGTATCAGCAATGGAAGATGAAATGAATGAAATGAAGTGAGAAGGGAAGTTTAGAGAAAAAAGAATAAAAAGAAATGAGCAAAGCCTCCAAGAAATATGGAACTATGTGAAAAGATCAAATCTACATCTGATTGGTGTACCTGAAAGTGATGGGGAGAATGGAACCAAGTTGGAAAACACTCTGCAGGATATTATCCAGGAGAACTTCCCCAATCTAGCAAGGCAGGCCAACGTTCAGATTCAGGAAATACAGAGAACACCACAAAGACACTCCTTGAGAAGAGCAACTCCAAGACACATAATTGTCAGATTCACCAAAGTTGAAATGAAGGAAAAAATGTTAAGGGCAGCCAGAGAGAAAGGTCAGGTTACCCTCAAAGGGAAGCCCATCAGACTAACAGCAGATCTCTCAGCAGAAACCTTACAAGCCAGAAGAGAGTGGGGGCCAATATTCAACATTCTTAAAGAAAGAATTTTCAACCCAGAATTTCATATCCAGCCAAACTAAGCTTCATAAGTGAAGGAGAAATAAAATACTTTACAGACAAGCAAATGCTGAGAGATTTTGTCACCACCAGGCCTGCCCTAAAAGAGCTCCCGAAGGAAGCGCTAAACATGGAAAGGCAGAACCAGTACCAGCCGCTGCAAAATCATGCCCAAATATAAAGACCATCGAGACTAGGAAGAAACTGCATCAACTAACGAGCAAAATCACCAGCTAACATCATAATGACAGGATCAAATTCACACATAACAATATTAACTTTAAATGTAAATGGACTAAATGCTCCAATTAAAAGATACAGACTGGCAAATTGGATAAAGAGTCAAGATCCATCAGTGTGCTGTATTCAGGAAACCCATCTCACAAGCAGAGACACACATAGGCTCAAAATAAAAGGATGGAGGAAGATCTACCAAGCAAATGGAAAACAAAAAAAGGCAGAGGTTGCAATCCTAGTCTCTGATAAAACAGACTTTAAATGAACAAAGATCAAAAGAGACAAAGAAGGCCATTACATAATGGTAAAGGGATCAATTCAACAAGAAGAGTTAACTATCCTAAATATATATGCACCCAATACAGGAGCACCCAGATTCATAAAGCAAGTCCTGAGTGACCTACAAAGAGACTTAGACTCCCACACATTAATAATGGGAGACTTTAACACCCAATGTCAACATCAGACAGATCAATGAGACAGAAATTCAACAAGGATACCCAGGAATTGAACTCAGCTCTGCACCAAGTGGACCTAATAGACATCTACAGAACTCTCCACCCCAAATCAACAGAATATACATTTTTTTCAGCACCACACCACACCTATTCCAAAATTGACCACATACTTGGAAGTAAAGCTCTCCTCAGCAAATGTAAAAGAACAGAGATTATAACAAACTATCTCTCAGACCACAGTGCAATCAAACTAGAACTCAGGATTAAGAATCTCACTCAAAACCGATCAACTACATGGAAACTGAACAAGCTGCTCCTGAATGACTACTGGGTACATAATGAAATGAAGGCAGAAATAAAGATGTTCTTTGAAACCAATGAGAACAAAGACACAATATACCAGAATCTCTGGGACGCATTCAAAGCAGTGTGTAGAGGGAAATTTATAGCACTGAATGCCCACAAGAGAAAGCAAGAAAGATCCAAAATTGACACCCTAACATCACAATTAAAAGAACTAGAAAAGCAAGAGCAAACACATTCAAAAGCTAGCAGAAGGCAAGAAATAACTAAAATCAGAGCAGAACTGAAGGAAATAGAGACACAAAAAACCCGTCAAAAAATTAATGAATCCAGTAGCTGGTTTTTTGAAGGGATCAACAAAATTGATAGACCGCTAGCAAGACTAATAAAGAAAAAAAGAGAGAAGAATCAAATAGACACAATAAAAAATTATAAAGGGGATATCACCACCGATCCCACAGAAATACAAACTACCATCAGAGAATACTATAAACACCTCTACGCAAATAAACTAGAAAATCTAGAAGAAATGGATAAATTCCTCGACACTTACACTCTCCCAAGACTAAACCAGGAAGAAGTTGAATGTCTGAATAGACCAATAACAGGAGCTGAAATTGTGGCAATAATCAATACTTTACCAACCAAAAAGAGTCCAGGACCAGATGGATTCACAGCCGAATTCTACCAGAGGTACAAGGAGGAACTGGTACCATTCCTTCTGAAACTATTCCAATCAATGAAAAAGAGGGAATCCTCCGTAACTCATTTTATGAGGCCAGCATCATTCTGATACCAAAGCCGGGCAGAGACAAAACCAAAAAAGAGAATTTTAGACCAATATCCTTGATGAACATTGATGCAAAAATCCTCAATAAAATATGGCAAAACGAATCCAGCAGCACATCAAAAATCTTATCCACCATGATCAAGTGGGCTTCATTCCTGGGATGCAAGGCTGGTTCAATATATGCAGATCAATAAATGTAATCCAGCATATAAACAGAGCCAAAGACAAAAACCACCTGATTATCTCAATAGATGCAGAAAAAGCCTTTGACAAAATTCAACAACCCTTCATGCTAAAAACTCTCAATAAATTAGGTATTGATGGGACGTATTTCAAAATAATAAGCACTATCTATGACAAACCCACAGCCAATATACTGAATGGGCAAAAACTGGAAGCATTCCCTTTGAAAACTGGCACAAGACAGGGATGCCCTTTCTCACCACTCCTATTCAACATAGTGTTGGAAGTTCTGGCCAGGGCAATTAGGCAGGAGAAGGAAATAAAGGGTATTCAATTAGGAAAAGAGGAAGTCAAATTTTCCCTGTTTGCAGATGACATGATTGTATACCTAGAAAACCCCATTGTCTCAGTCCAACATCTCCTTAAGCTGATAAGCAACTTCAGCAAAGTCTCAGGATACAAAATCAATGTAAAAAATCACAAGCATTCTTATACACCACCAACAGACAGACAGAGAGCCAAATCATGAGTGAACTCCCATTCACAATTGCTTCAAAGAGAATAAAATACATAGGAATCCAACTTACCAGGGATGTGAAGGACCTCTTCAATGAGAACTACAAACCACTGCTCAAGGAAATAAAAGAGGATACAAACAAATGGAAGAACATTCCATGCTCATGGTTAGGAAGAATGAATATCATGAAAATGGCCATACTGCCCAAGGTAATTTATAGATTCAATGCCATCCCCATCAAGGTACCAATGACTTGCTTCACAGAATTGGAAAAAACTACTTTAAAGTTCATATGGAACCAAAAAAGAGCCTGCATCGCCAAGTCAATCTTAAGCAAAAGAACAAAGCTGGAGGCATCACACTACCTGACTTCAAACTATACTAAAAGGCTACAGTAACCAAAACAGCATGGTACTGGTACCAAAACAGAGATATAGATCAATGGAACAGAACAGGGCACTCAGAAATAACGCTGCATATCTACAACTATCTGATCTTTGACAAACCTGACAAAAACAAGCAATGGGGAAAGGATTCCCTATCTAATAAATGGTGCTGGGAAAACTGGCTAGCCATATGTAGAAAGCTGAAACTGGATCCCTTCCTTACACCTTATACAAAAATCAATTCAAGATGTTCAAGGTGGATTAAAGACTTAAACGTTAGACCTAAAACCATAAAAACCCTAGAAGAAAACCTAGGCATTACCATTCAGGACATAGGCACGGGCAAGGACATCATGTCCAAAACACCAAAAGCAATGGCAACAAAAGACAAAATTGACAAATGGGATCTAATTAAACTAAAGAGCTTCTGCACAGCAAAAGAAACTACCATCAGAGTGAACAGGCAACCTACAAAATGGGAGAAAATTTTCGCAACTTACTCATCTGACAAAGGGTTAATATCCAGAATCTACAATGAACTCAAACAAATTTACAAGAAAAAATCAAACAACCCCATCAAAAAGTGGGCGAAGGACATGAACAGACACTTCTCAAAAGAAGACATTTATGCAGCCAAAAAACACATGAAAAAACGCTCATCACTGGCCATCAGAGAAATGCAAATCAAAACCACAATGAGATAGCATCTCACACCAGTTAGAATGGCAATCATGAAAAAGTCAGGAAACAACAGGTGCTGGAGAGGATGTGGAGAAATAGGAACACTTTTACACTGTTGGTGGGACTGTAAACTGGTTCAACCACTGTGGAAGTCAGTGTGGCGATTCCTCAGGGATCTAGAACTAGAAATACCATTTGACCCAGCCATCCCATTACTGGGTATATACCCAAAGGACTATAAATCATGCTGCTATAAAGACACATGCACACGTATGTTTATTGCAGCATTATTCACGATAGCAAAGACTTGGAACCAACCCAAATGTCCAACAATGATAGACTGGATTAAGAAAATGTGACACATATACACCATGGAATACTATGCAAGCATAAAAAATGATGAGTTCATGTCCTTTGTAGGGACATGGATGAAATTGGAAAGCATCATTCTCAGTAAACTATCGCAAGAACAAAAAACCAAACACCGCATATTCTCACTCATAGGTGGGAATTGAACAATGAGATCACATGGACACAGGAAGGGGAATATCACAGTCTGGGAACGGTGGAGGGGTGGGGGCAGCGGGGAGGGATAGCATTGGGAGATATACCTAATGCTAGATGACGAGTTAGTGGGTGCAGCGCACCAGCATGGCACATGTATGCATATGTAACTAACCTGCACAATGTGCACATGTACCCTAAAACTTAAAGTATAATGATAAAAATAAATAAATAAATAAATAAATAAATAAATAAATAAATAAATAAAAAAGAATGGTCAGAGAAATGTGACATTGCCAGCTTTAAAAAGAGAGAGGAGAGGCAATGAGAAAGGGAATGCTGATGTTCTCTAGAAGATAGAAAAGGACAGGATATGGATTCTACCCTAGCCGCCATAAAGAAACATGCCTGTCGACAACTTGATTTTAGTTCACTAAAATGCATGCCTGATTTCTGACTTGTGTACACTGTAAGATGATAAGTTTGTGTTATTTTAGGTCACTTAGTTTGTAGAAATTTGTTACAGCAGTAATAGAACAAGTGGTTATCCATATGAGGCAAATTAGATTGGATAACTGTCTCCAATAGAAATCAATTCAAGGTGAATTCCAGGAAAATACTTAAAACATTTAGATTAAAAATAAATGAGAATTTTTGTTACTTTTGGTAGGTCATAGAACCAAGAAAAACAAACATTAAGGAGGAAAAATGAACATATGACTACATCAAAATATAAAGCTTCTCTATTTGGATGATATCATAAGGTGACAAATCATAAACTGTAATATTTGCAACATATATATGAGTGAATAAATATACATTTAGAATATATATGAACTCCCAAAAATCAACAGGAAAAATAAGACATAGAACAAGCAAAATGCATAAACAAAAGAAGGCAAAACAAAAATTATGACTCATAATTATATGAAAAGAAGCTCATCTTCATAGATGAGCAGATAAATGCAAATTAAAACCACCCTGAGATGCTTTTTACATCCATGAGCCTGATAAAAGTTAGAGTCTAAAAGTAATATTTAACAAAGATGGGAAGTAACAGAAAATCTTGTCCATTACTGGTTAAAGTATAAACTGATACAGCTAATTTATAGAATATTGCATTATAGAATAAAGTTGTGAGTATGTATACGCAGTGACTCAGCATCTTCATTGCTAATATGTACTCAAGAGAAACTTACAGGAGTGGACTAGGAAGTAAATACAAAATGATTACAACATTGTTTGTTATATCAAAAAATAAAAAAGACACCCAATTTACCAGCAAAAAAAAAATAAGTAAAAATAAATCCTGGTGTATTCTAACAATGGAATAGTATATAGCCATTAAAATAAATCAACTATTACTGTACATATGAATGTAAGTATCAGCAAAACATATTGTTTAGTGAAAAAGTAAGAAGCTGAAGAAGAATATATACAATATGGTTACATTTATATGAAGTCCAAAAACTTGCAAAATAAAGAAATGTATTTAGAAATAGATTCACATGTGAGAAAACTAGAAGAAAATTAATGAAAGGATAAAAGGGATAGCAGTAATTCTGAGTAGTTGAGGGGATTTCAATTGGAAAAAAATAGTATCATATTCTTTAAGTCAGGTAGTGGGTATTAGCATTTGTTTTACCATCGTTCTTTATTCTTATAGCTACATTATGTATTTTCTATGTATTTAATGTATTTTTTGCATAATTAAATATTATGCGATAAAAATGAGAAAACAAAAAAGTAGAAAATGATAAATAACATACAATAAAGAAATGGAGAAAAAATTATAATCTAGTTGAGTAATGGTATATTACATAGCTATTTTCTTAAGTAGATGTATGTACATGATGTATGCATGATTGTACATACATGTTCTTAATTATATATAAATATATATGTACATATTTTTAATATAAAATACTAAACAAAGTACACCAAAATATTAGCTCCTATGTTAGTGAGATAATGTTTTTTTTTTGTATTTTAAGTTTTACATAGTAGGTGTATTTGTCTGTTTTCATACTGCTATAAAGAACTGCCCAAGACTGGGTAATTTATAAAGGAAAGAAGTTTAATTGGCTCACAGTTCAGTACAGCTTGGGAGGCCTCAGGAAATCCACAATCATGGCGGAAGACAAAGAGGAAGCAAGGTAGCTTCTTTGCAAGGCAGCATGAAGAAGTGCTGAGCAAAGGGGAAAGAATCCCTTATAAAATCATCAAATCTCGTGAGAACTCACTATCACAAGAACAGCACAGGGGAAACTGCCCCCATGATTCAATTACCTCCACCTGGTCTCTCCCTTGACATGTGGGGATTATGGGGGCTATGGGGATTACAATTCAAGATGAGATTCAGGTGGGGATACAAAGCCTAACCATATCAGTAGGCAAGTGTTGAATTTTAAACTCAGAGAAAAATACTAGTGTTTTTATAGGATTCTTACTAAAGAAAAACGAGAAAGTAATAAACCATCTATGCTAAGACATAAAATTCAGTTGTTTAGTTACAAGATAGAATGTGGCCTTGTAAGAAAGCAAATTAACTTCTAACATACAAAGCCTTAGAGAAGATTCAAGTGACTGACGGATCTTAAACAGAGCTATTATTACAACTCAAACTGCAGTAAAATATCCTAAGCAACATAGATGTGTGTGTTTCCCTAGTCAGAGCAATACAAATTTAATGAAACTCCATTGGTGGTGTTTTTAATCAGACAATTTCTGAAGATGTCCTGGCTTATTCATAGACGCAAGCCAAATCTCTAGAAGAGTACCATAATAAGAAAAAAAAAAGAATACAGGCAATTGAGAGCTGTTCCAAAGTTTAGGGAGTATTTGTAAGGAATTAATAAATAAAAATGTTCTTGAAAGAGAGAAATTAATATGCAGTTCATACTGCCAGAATTGCAGGCAATTTATCAAAGTCCCCTAATCCTCCAAAATCGCTAATTTTTTCTGACACACACTTTACAGTACAGAAGAAAATGTCTCCGGCAATAAATCACAAAGTTAAAATTACCTAGTCTACAATTAACTAGACAGTGATGGTAAATCATTTTCTACCAAAAGAAAGAAATGTCTTGTCTATTCAGGTTCTGCTCTACTTAAAAGTTTTCCTTGTTGGCGAGCAAGTGGTTAGAAAATCATATTTTATACTTACATTCAGCTTAACTATCATTCAGTTCAAGATGATGACTCAGGGCCTTATCCATACCTTCAAGTTTGCTCTTAGCAAGTAATTGTTTCAGTATCTATATCAAAAATGGCTTAAGCCTGCAACATGTTTCTGAATGATTAACAAGGTGATAGTCAGTTCTTCATTGAATCCTGGATGCTTTATTTTTCTTAATAAGAGGAATTCATATGGATCAGCTAGAAAAAAAATTAAGAGGAAAATCACATGGAAAGTTATTAAATATTATATATATATTATATATAATATTATATATTATATATCATTTCCAAATTCCCCAGCGTTCATGTTTGTCAGTGCAAGTAAAGAGCCTTAGTGCTGATTAGGTTTGAGGTATGACCATTTGGCCAGAATTTATGAACTCTACATGTCGCTTGATATGTGCTTCAGGGTACACTTTTTTTTTTTTTTTTTTTTTTTTTTTGAGACGGAGTCTTGTTCTGTCACCCAGGCTGGAGTGCAGCAGTGTGATCTCAGCTCACCGCAAGCTCCGTCTCCCGGGTTCATGCCATTCTCCTGCCTCAGCCTCCTGAGTAGCTGGGACTACAGGTGCCCACCACTATGCCCTGCTAATTTTTTGTATTTTTAGTACAGACGGGGTTTCACCCTGTTAGCCAGGATGGTCTCTATCTCCTGATCTCGTGATCCACCCACCTCAGCCTCCCAAAGTGCTGGAATTACGGGCGTGAGCGACCACGCCCCGCCAGGGTACACTTTTAAGCAGAGACACTATTTTGAAGGTCATAAAAAATATAATAAGATATAAGGCTAATTTCCTTTAATAATAATAATAATAAATTCCTTTAATAAAAATACAAAGGAATAATATAATAATTTTCTTTAATAAAATATAATAAGAGATAAGGCTAATTTCCTTTAATAAAATATAGTAACTACATACCAACACAGAATTCCAAAAAAACGAAATGGAGAGGAAGACAGCATGGGTCATTAATCTTGTCAAAAATATAAAATTATATACGAGGAATTCCTAGAAACTGTTTTCCTTGTCTGCGGCCATTGTGCTGCTGCTAGACAACTACCGCAAGCAGCCCTTCATGCCCTCCTCCCAGTACAAAGCTAATTGATTTGTGAGAAATGTTAAGCTTGGAAGAGTCAGCAACGCTGCACTTATTTTTTATTCTACTCTGACATTAGAATAATTCTTGAGTGGGGGAAGGGTTAAAACCCCCCCTGGATAAGTGTTACTAATTAATGATGATTGTTTTAAACAATGTTTGGATAATTTTTCCTTTTCCCTTGACATAAACTTGATAAATAACTGAGAAGTGAGAAGGAGATTAGTGGGTTGATTAAATTCCATCAGGTACTTAAAGTTAGCTCCAAAAATTTAGCTATTTATAAATTGTCATACATTGTTAATGTATAAGAGATGTAGATTTCATTTATCTTTGGTGGAGCGAGATGAAGCAGTGAATCATTGAAGACTGAAAGAAAGAAAAAGGTCTTTTCCCTTTTCTTTAAGAAGCATCGTTAGTTAAAAATATGTTAGTTGATACCAGAGAACTATATTTAAAGGGTCAGCAATAAGCAAATTGATTACTCTGGTGATTATTGGAGTGACATTGCCTTTTAGTTGTACTTTCACAAAAATTCACAATATTTGCCAAAGTCAAGTTATCCATTACACTATTAATTTGTCATTCTTTTGTTTATATAGTCAATATCTCTATCTCAATTGGATCTATCTCAACTGCTTCTAAACAAGCCACCATAGTCTCTCCCATTTCAACAATCTCTTCCAAGTACCATTTCATTTCTTCTTTTCATATTTTTGAAAACTTTTGTAAAACTACCTATTTTCCTCCTCCATTTCTTGTTCATTCCATTCTAGTGGACATGGAATCTGTTCCTCCTCCAAAACGGAATTTGGTAACCTTTAAATTACTAAACCCAAAACAATATGTTGTTTTTATCTTTACCTCTCTGTGGCATTTAATGATAAGACCACTACTTTCTTCTCTTTTACCCTTCTTTCTTGAATTCAGTCAAACAATGTACTTACATTTTTCATCTTATTCTCCATCTTAGAAACCACCTCAGCTTTCTCCATTCAGCCATAAAATTGTGCTTTTCCTCAAAGATTAATCTGCCTCTCCTTTCACTCTATACTATCTCTGTTAGCTAATTTTATTTGTGCACATTGCTTATACTGGGCATTATATACACATATGCATGTGTGTACATGTGCACACACACACTGTATGTGGACATGTATATATATGTGTGTGTGTATATATATATTATATATATAAATTACAATAACATAAAGGTGGCATTTTAAATTAGTGGAAATTACCCTGATTTGATCACTACACATTCTATACATGTAAAGAAATATCACTCTGTATCCCAAGAATATGTACAATTATGGTTTGTCAAGTGAAAAAGTTCATACCTTGAAAAATTTTAGATAAATATCAAACTTTCTCTGAAACCATAACTGTAAAATGTAAAAAACAGTAATTGCTATATTGCTTATTTCTGAGTAGAAGAATATGAGACATTTCCCTAATCATTAGGTGTAATTACAATTACATATATATGTATGTTATTTATATATTTATGACATACATACATATATATGTAATTGTAATTACACCTAATGATTAGGGAAATGTCTCATATTCTATATATATAGACAGAAAGAGAGAAAATACATGAGGTAGAGAAAGAATATTTCCATCTCCTTTGAGTTCCACGGTGTTGAGAGTCAGGACAACTACAATTGCTTCATCATGCCTGCTCGCAATTATAGGGCTTTTGAACCATTTGTTCCCTCCTTAGATATCCTCATTTTTTTCAGATTCTTGCTTAGAAGTCACTCCTCCGTGGACCTCCTCTGACATATTAAACATTGCAGTCCATTATAAGCTGCAAGAGGACAGGGATTTTTGCCTGTTTTATTCCCTACTGTATCACCAGGGGCTACAGCAATATCTGACAAACAGTGGGCATGTAATGAATATTTGTTAAGTGAAGTAATAAATTCAATCAAATCACATCACCTGTTTAAAGCACTTCATTGGCTTCACATTGCACTTAGAATAAAGAGAAATTCTTTTTATACAATATAAGTTCCTGCAGAATGGAGACACTTTCTACTTCTCCAGCCTCTTTTCAACTCCTCTCCTACTAGCTTCTGTATTTAAGCCACATTAGACCTTTCTTCAGTTTTTTATATAGACTTTGTTGCATCACACCTCAGAGATTCTGTACATGTTCTTCCTCCTGCCTAGAAAGGATCGTCCCTCCACTTTCGCCAACTAATCCCTGCTCAACTTTTCATCTCAGCAGGAGGCCCATTCTCTTTGGCAATACTCTGGCCTCCAGCCCATTTATTACATGCTCACATGTCATCATGTACTTCGTACAGCATGTAACACAATTGCACTTTTATATTTTAACAAATTATTTTCCCATATTGAACTGTAAGTCTCCTGAAAGGAGGAATTTTGTTCTTGCTCATCATCAACTTTTTCAACATCCAGTGCACCATTTAGAACTTAGATGTAGTCAATACAGGTTTGTGGAATGAAAGAGGAAAAGAAAGAATTAATATTCCTTTAAATTAGGATTGCAAAGATCGTATATAGAAAATTGGCTAAGTTGTGGTCCATTCATGTTTGCTCCCAATTAAGGAGCACAGCTATGAAAAGGAAGGCTTCAAATTAATAACCAATAGATTTTTTAAAAAAGAAAACTGGCCAGGTACTGTGGCTTATGTCTGTAATATCAGCATGTTGGGAGGCCAAGGCAGGATTACTTGAGCCCAGAAATTCCAGACCAGCCTGAGAATTTGGCAAAACTCTGTCTCTACAAAAAATACAAAAATTAGCCAAATTTGGTGGCATGTGCCTGTAGTACCAGCTACTTGGGAGGCTAGGTTGAAGAATAGCTTGAGTCTGGGAGGTCAAGGCTGCAATGAGCTGTGATCGCACCACTGCACTCAAGCCTGGGTGGTAGAGTAAGACCCTGTCTCAAAAAAAAAAAAAAAAAAAGAAAAATTACTAAGCAAAATAAGACATGTGAAGGATCATGTCAAAGGTAAGAAAAATTAGGGGAACATTAAAAGCTTTCTTCCCAAGCCACTAAATCAACTTGACTAAAAAAATTACCACTTGATTTAGCATTAGAAAATTACATTACATATCAAACATAAACCCATTAATCAAATACTAAAGAAATTTCTGAGTTAAATGGTATAATGTTAGCTTATGCCGGAGCTGACCTTGAAAGATTGTTCAAATATGGCTCAGTGTGATTGAAAGTTCTGTGTGAATATGTTTTTGGAAAGATCCAATAGCAACATCTTAGTGTATGTTTTTGAAATAAAATGTATCTGAGTAGCAGCAAAGTTATTCTTAAATTTCCATTTTATAGCTGGAGATGTTATACCGTGACATATATGATAGGACCCAATATGGATTAATCCCTTTTAGAAGTCAATCAGGAAGAGAGGAGCAGTTAAAACAGTTGCTTCATTTACAAACATTAGAACAATTTTCTTATTCACACCATCTGATTATTGTATTTTATTTTTTCCCCAATGTTTATACTACACAATGAGTTAAGAATGATAAAAATAAGCTCACCAATATACTAGGTACATATTTACCAAAATCTGTGCATGCCTATACATATAAACACAGCTGATAATTTATTAGTTAGGCTCATTTGTAATTTTTGTCACTATAGACCAGTTTTTTATTTAAATTGAAGATTAGTATACATTTTAAATGATTAGTCAAAATAAAAAATCTAAAATGTGCTCTAAATACTTCTTAGGTCAGAAAAAAAAAAGTCAAAAGCTAGAATATAGAGAAATTAAGAAATGCCCTAAATTTCTAACCTGACAAAAATTCATACAAGAGTTAAATATTTTAATGGAAAATAGAACAGAACTAATCATGGAAGAAATTATAGAAAGGAAACAAAATAAACAGATTATATGGAGGATTTTTAGAAGATAAGTAAATAAATTAATATACTAGGAAAAAACAAGGGAAATATAATTGATAAATACAGGTAAGAGTTCTTTTGAAATAATGATAAAATAGAAAATCTCTGTCAAAACTAAAAGGAAAGATGCATAAATATATAAATAAATGATAAAAAGATGTTGCATACATATATGACTTTTTCAGAATCAAAAAAATTAAATTTCTGTAATAAAATTTAAATGTTTATAAATTTAAAAAACTAGAAGAAAGAATGTTGACTGTTCACAATACAAATAAATGACAAATATTTGAGGTGATGGATATGCTAATTATCCTTATTTGATCATTGGACATTGTATACATGTATCAAAATATCACTCTGTATCCCATGAATATGTACAATTATTTGTCTCAAAAACAAACAAAAAAAAAGATAATGGGAGAATGTTGAAAACTCAGAGAGAAGAGCAACTGTCACAGATAGGGATCCAGATAACATTAGCAGCTGATTTCTCAGCAGAAACCTTGAAGGCCAGTAGGCAGTGGATTATATATTTAAAATAATGAAGAAACCTGTCAATTGAGAAATCTATAGCTGGAAAACTTATCCTTCAAAAATGAAGGAGAAATTAAGACATTTCCGGATTTTTTTTTTAAACTGAAAAAAATCCATTTATCCCTGAATTTGCCATTCAAGAAGTGTTAAGTCCTTCAGGTTGAAATAAATGAACTCTAGGCAATAACTATATAAGTAAATAAGCAAGCTGTGTGAATATACAAAGCTCTCTGGTAAAGGTAAATACATAAACAAACATAAAAACAGTCCTATTGTTATTTTGGTTTGCAACTCTGCTTTTTATTTTCTACATAATTTAAAAGGCAAATGCATAAAATGTAATTGTAAATCTGTTAGCTGGTATACAATGAATAAAGATATAATTTGTTACATCAATAACATAAAAAGAGTAGAGCTATATATATAGCAGTCGAATTTTGGAATGCGATTGAACTTAAGTTGAAATAAATTCAAATTAAAATGTTATAACTCTAGGATGTAATTCTCATAGTAACCAAAAATGAAATATACATAGAATATAAACAAAAGGAAATGAGACTAGAAACAAAATGTGTCACTACAAAAAAATCAACTAAAGATAAAAAAGAAATAATTGAGAAAATGATTGGCAAAAATCAGTAACTCTGATGTATTAAAACTTTCCATGCTACATAAAACTGAAAACTCTATTTCACATAAAACTGGAGCTGAAAGAGACAAATATTTACCTATAAAGTTAAAAGTTATATAGGGAACAAACACTAATTTTTTTTAGAAAAAATTATAAAAAGAGTAAAAATATGCCTTATACTACCATAATTTCATGTTTTACAGCTCTGGGAAAATAGAAAATAAAATGTTCTGTTAGCATGAATCCCTCTGTGACCCCAAAAAACCCTATGGATTGCATCATTATTACCTAAAAAGTCTATTCTCAAATGCAGCAGAGTGATTTTTTTACAAGGTAGATATTAATTTTAGATATGGAATAATATTGGTGATTTCAATTTTATAACACTGGGTTAAGATGAAAGAATGAGAAGTTAAAGGTCCCTCAGCAATATAACCCACAAACATGTTCAGAAGCAGTAAGAAGTTACATTAATTATCTTTTGAAAGTCGATAATCTACATCTTTAATGTATGCATATAGCATAGCTAATGTACTATCACTGGGTCCATTTATTCAATGAATAATTGCTGCTATGTGTCAGACATTTTTCTAGGCCTAGGAATGGATACATAAGTGAACAAAGCAAAGATTCTGGTTCTTGTAGAGTTTCCATTAAAAGACCATTTAGTAAAACTTTTCTTCCCCCAAATTATAAAATCTGTAAGATGATTTAACAACATGTGTAAAAGTCATTGTGGGCCAGGCACGGTGGCTCATACCAGATGTGGTGACTCATAGCAGTCTGTCACCCAGGCTGGAGTGCAGTGGCACAATCTCTGCTCACTGCAACTTCTGCCTCCTGGGTACAAGCGATTCTCCTGCCTCAGCTTTCTGAGTAGCAAGGACTACAGGTGCACACCATCACGCCTGGCTAATTTTTGTACTATTAGTACAGACGGAGTTTCACCATGTTGGCCAGGCTGGTCTCGAACTCCTGACCTCAAATGATCCGCCCACCTCGACCTCCTAAAGTGCTGGAATTACAGATGTGAGCCACAATGCCTGGCCTTATTTTCTACAACTTTGGTAACTTTAGCATATACCCCAAATCTGTAAGACATAATATTATAATTCAAATGCAACTCATGGCTTCTCATTGTACTCTTTCTCTAGCTTTTGAATTATTTATTCTAATATCAGTTTTAATTC
Source organism: Homo sapiens (assembly GCF_000001405.40). Classification (NCBI taxonomy): domain Eukaryota; kingdom Metazoa; phylum Chordata; class Mammalia; order Primates; family Hominidae; genus Homo; species Homo sapiens. The sequence goes on from NC_000024.10 coordinate 25,386,041, forward strand.
TGACACAATAGCATGGGAGTTCTAATCAAAATCCAACCTTTTATCATAAAAACTATGAAGAAATTATGAGTAGAATTTAAAAAGGAAAATAGGCCTATTAATTAGATTTGTCTTTGTAGCATTTAACTCTATAATAAATAATATTTTATGCCTATGAGTCCCCAACAAAGCCTCCAGCTTCTATTTAGATATAAAACGTAAAAGTCACTACTGGATCCACAAGCAAGACTATGGTAAAGAAATTTCTCCACCTAACCAGCTTCTTTTACATGATGTTACATGTTTCTTTTGTTTTTTTCATTTTGGCAAATATTGATTGTCATCTTCGTGTTTGTCTATGTCCTAAGTGCTGGGATACAGAATCTGAAAACATGGACACAGGACCTGCCTTCAAGTTCACCCTTTCTTTTTTTTTTTTTTTTTTTTTTTTTTTGAGATGGAGTTTTGCTCTTGTCACCCAGGCTGGAGTGTAATGGTGAGCTCTCTGCTCACTGCAACCTCCACCTCCAGGGTTCAAGTGATTCTCCTGCCTCAGCCTCCCAAGTAGCTGGGATTACAGGTCCCAGCCACCACGCCTAGCTAATTTTTGTATTTTTAGTAGAGACAGCGTTTCATCATGTTGGTCAGGCTGGTCTCGAACTCCTAACCTCAGGTAGTCGACCCACCTCGGCCTCCCACAGTGCTGAGATTACAGGCATGAGCCACCACGCCCTGCTAGGAGTTCACACTTTAGTTGGGGAAAATATACAATAAGCAAGCCAATTTTTAAAATGAGAACTGCAATTAGAGTTAAATGCTACAAAGACAATCTCACAGGAAGATGGGATGCAGAATGATAAGGCTTTCAGAATAGTAAGAGAAATTATTGTTTCTTACGATGTTTGTCTTTCTTTGTATCAGTGCTCAGCTGAGTCTGCAGTGCTTCAGAGGCAGCTTTCATTTTATAAAAATCTATGATTTCTCCTTCCAGTTGTTTTTTCTCTTCCTCGAGCTTCCTTATCTCCTCCTGCTGAATCATTTTAAGATGCTCGAACTTGTCCTGCAGCTGTGAAACCAATGTGCAGTTGTGACACCAAAGCAGTGTGGCTGAACACCCAAAAGAATATGCTTTTTTCTGATTATCAAACAAACCCAAATCATCACAGTAGAGCATGATCTTACTAATAATCTCAAAAACTCAGGAGTAAACACTCAGATATGGAATTTTTCTTTTCTTTCTTTTTTCCTTTTATAAGATGGAGTCTCACTCTGTTGCCCAGGCTGGAGTGCACTGGTGCGATCTCAGCTCACTGCAACCCCCATCTCCCAGTTCAAGTGATTCTCCTGCCTCAGCCTCTTGAGTAGCTGGGACTACAGGCATGCACCACCACTACAGGCGTGTGCCACCACACCTGGCTAATTTTTGTATTTTTAGTAGAAATGGGGTTTTGCCATGTTGGCCAGTCTGGTCTTGAACTCCTGACCTCAGGTGATCCTCCCACTTTGGCCTCCCAAAGACTTTTTTTCTTTTTTAATATAGAGACAAGTTCTCAGTATATTGTCCAGGCTGGTCTCAAACTCCTGAGCTCAAGTGATCCTCCCACCTCAGCTTCCCAAAGTGCTGGGACTGACTGGATGCAGTGGCTCATGCTTGTAAACTCAGCACTTTGGGAGGCCAAGGTGGGAGGATCGCTTGAGCCCAGGAGTTCAGGACCAGACTGGGTGATATAACACAATAGTAAACTTCAACAGGAGAGAGAATCTGTAAACTTGAATATAGATCTTCTGAAATTATCCAGTCAGAGGATAAAGAAAAAAAGAATAAAAAAGAGAAAAGAAGGCTGGGCATGGTGGCTCAAGCCTGTAATCCCAACACTTTGGTAGGCCAAGGCAGGCAGATTAAGAGGTCAGGAGTTCAAGACCAGCCTGGCCAACATGACAAAACCCCATCTCTACTAAAAATACAAAAATAAGCCGTGTGTGGTGGCACATACCTGTAGTCCCAGCTACTTGGGAGGCTGAGTCAGGAGAATCGCTTGAACCCAGGAGGCAGAGGTTGGAGTGCAATGTGAGCCAAGACCACACATTGCACTCCAGCCTGGGTGACAGAGCAAGACTCTGTCTCAAAAAAAAAAAAAAAGAAAAAAGAAAAAAGAAAATAAAAGAGACAGAGAAAAGAAAGCCCACAAGACACCATTAGGCAAACCATTGTCAGGTTATGGGAGTTTGAGAAGGAAAGTAGAGAAAGGACAAGAAAGCTTATTTAAAGAATGGCTGAAAACTGCCTAAATCATAGGAAAGATTTAGACATCTAAACCCATGAAGCTTAAAGATTCCTAAAGAGGTTCAAACCAAATAGATACTCACCAAGTCACAATATAATCAAATAGTCAAAAGTTAAAGAAACTTTGCAGGTCAGGACAGAATCGAATAATACATTCAAAGTGCTGAAAGAAAAAAACTGCCAGCAACTAATACTATGTCTGACAAAGCTGTCCTTCAGATAGAAAGAAGAAATAACATGTTTCCTCGACAAACAAAGCTGAGGGCATTCAGGACCACTAGGTCTACCTTAAAAAAAATGCTTAACGGAGTTTTTCAAGTAAAAATGAATGAAGTTAGGAGCGGTGGCTCATGCCTGTAATCCCATTTTGGGAGGCCGAGGTGGGTGGATCACCCGAGGTCAGGAGGTCAAGACCAGCCTGGCCAACATGGCAAAACCCCACCTCCAGTAAAAATACAACAAATCGCCAGGTATGAAGGCCACTGAGATCGTGCCACTGCACTCCAGCCTGGGTGACAAGAGTCAAACTACATTTCAAAAACAAAAAACAAAACAAACAAAAAAACAAAACTTGAGGTCTGTCCTTCTGCTCCTCTCCAACCCCCCCTTCTCTGGGCCCAAGCCACCTTGGCTGAGGAGGGGGCAAGGAGGTGTGGGCCCCTGCCAGGAACCCTGTGCCCAGACCAAGTACTCAGCCCCCAGGCCTGCGTTCAGTGAGGCCTCCCGTGGCGTCAGCATGTTCGTGTGGAGCAATGTGGAAGGTCACTCTGTGGCCATGTTCCCCTGGTACTCCATCCCCTTCCTGAACCCTCCCTGCAGCCACACGAGGCCCAGCAACCTGCCAGTCACTCAGTGGCCTCCAACCAGAGAAAACAACCTGCCAAGTTGGCAGCTGTTGCTCACGAGCATCCACCAGGTGGGACAGGGAGTGTTGACCCTGGGCGGCCCCCTGGAGCCACCTGCCCTGAAAGCCCAGGGCCCGCAACCCCACACACTTTGGGGGTGGTGGAACCTGGTAAAAGCTCATCTCCCACCATGGAGGAGGAGCCCTGGGCCCCTCAGGGGAGTCCCTGCTGGACAGTGAGACAGAGAATGACCATGATGATGCTTTCCTCTCCATCATGTCTCCTGACACCCAGTTGCCTCTACCACTCAGATGATGTCAGGCCCAGTTCCTCAGTGCCCTGCACAAGGAACAGGGCTCATCTTCTGAGAAGGATGGACGCAGCCCCAACAAATGGGACAAGGACCACATCCGGTGTCCCATGAGTGGCGGTCATGATCTTCAGCAAGCGGCACCAGGCCCTGGCAGGGCACACCAGGGTCACCCCAACCAGGATAACTGGACCGTCAGCCAGATGCTGAGCAAGTGGTGGTACACCCTGGGGCCCAATGAGAGGCAGAAATACCATGAACTGGCCTTCCAGGTGAAGGTGGCCCACTTGCAATAAGGACTGAAAGAAGTTCAGCTCAGAGGCCAAGCCCACAAGCCAGGGGCTAGCAGGAGTGTAACAAAGGCTCGTGGGAGTGGAGCATGTCAGAGACTGGCACTGCCACTGCCCCTGGGGTGTCCTCTGAACTCCTGTCAGTTGCAGCCCAAACACTCCAGAGCTCGGATACCAAGGAGCAGCTTCTGTGGGGCAGAATGGCTGCACACAGTCAGGGAACCTGGCTCAGCCTGGCCCAAGCCTTCTCCCACAGGGGGGTACACAGCCTGGATGGCAGGGAAATAGACCATCAGGCACTACAGGAACTGACACAGGTGGTATCTGGCACTGCATCATACTCTGGCCCAAAGCCTTCTACTCAGTATGGAGCTCCAGGCCACTTTGCAGCCCCTGGTGAGGGAGGTGACCAGTGGGCAGCCCTGCTGCTGCCCACCTGAGCTGGTCATTCCCAGCACATGGCCAGTGAGGACATAGCGAGTGACAAGGAGCACACGGTCATCCATGAGGAATAGGGTGTGATGATGTCATTGCTGATGATGGCTTTAGCACCACTGACACTGATCTCAAGTTCAAGGAGTGGGTGACCGACTGAGAGTGGGGACAACTCTGGGGAGGAGCCAGAGGGCAACAAGGGCTTTAGTGGGAAGGTATTTGCACCTGTCATTCCTTCCTCCTTTACTCCTGCTGCCCCTTGCTGGATCCTGAGCCCCCAGGGTCCCCCGATCCACCTGCAGCTTTTGGCAAAGTCTATGGTCCCACCCTGTCCTCCTCCTACACATACTCGGATGCTTCCTCCTCAATCTTGGCACCCACCTCCTTCTTACTGGGCCCAGGAGCCTTCAAAGCCCAGGAGTCTGGTCAAGGCAGCAGAGCGGGCCCCCTACAGCCCCTACCCCTGGGGATGTGGACCCAGGGATGCCTTCCAAGGTGACCTGTTTCCTCCCAATGGATCCTTCCACCTTCTGGTGCAAGAGACCTGAAAGTGTGGGTGACCTGGAGCTACCAGGCTCCTCAGTCATCAGGGTCCCTCCCAACACTAAGGCTTTCCTAGGCAGGAGCTGGGCTGAGCCACCTGGGGGGCAGAGCCTGAAGAGAAACTGACTGGGCTTTTGGGGTCGGGGAAGAGGGAACCCCACAGACATGGATCCCACACTGGAGGACCCCACCACACCCAAATGCAAGATGAGAAGATGCTCCAGCTGCAGCCCAAAGCCCAACACCCCCAAGTGTGCCATGTGTGATGGGGACAGCTTCCCCTTTGCCTGTACAGTTGGAGAAGCCAAGGACAGGCTCAGGGAACTGGAGACCGAGTAGGCGCTGTCCTCTTCACTGCACGCGCCCTGGACCAGTGCCAGCCCTGATCATGCAGCATTTCCAGGCCCCCTTCTTCTTCCTGTCCACTAGGCCACAGCCGCCCTCCAGGCCCACTATGTACACATCTTCCCCTCCAAGGTTTGTTCTGCCCCTGCCCTGACTCCCAGCCCTGTGGGGGTCCTGACCACACCTCACCTGGCTCAGACTCTTGACGCTGCCCTGGCTGCCCCACCACTGCCTCTGCCTGAGAGTCACATGAGGCTGAGAGTAGGGGCAGGGGCAGCAGTGGTGCCAGTTGGGGGGTGGTCCAGTGGGAGGAGCCTCAGCCTTGTGGGCTGCTCCATGGGACTGATGACTGCATGATCTTCTGGGCACCTCATGGATCTTCAACTGCAGGTGAAACAGATGCTGGTGGTGGCTGCAGGGCCGCTGGGAGCTGCTGCATGGGTCCCAGAGGCTGGACTGGGGCAGGTGCCAACTGAAGCTGCTGGGGCAGCAAGGGCAGGATGTTCTGCACACAAACCTTGGAAAAGAAGGTGTGTGCATAGCGGGTCCACTGCTGCTGCCCCTGCCCTGACTCCCAGCCCTGCCTGACCCCACCTCACCCTGCTTAGGCTCTGGCGCAACCCTGGCTGCCCTGCCACTGCCTCTGCCCCAGAGTTGGGGCCTTGACAGCCTGGCTGGAAGGGGACACCCTAGCCTTGCCTCAACACCTGGGGGTCTCCATAACTACCACAGGCAGGTAGGCGACCCCAAAGAAGATCCCAGGACTCACAGTACAACCTGAGAACATGGACAGTATGTGGGGGTAGCAATGGAGGGCAAGATGGTTATCTTCTCCCAGGTAAAGAGATTTAATCCTTTCAGTTTGGGATGGAATAAGGCCTGTCTCTTTTTTTTTTTTTTTTTTTTTTTGAGACGGAGTCTTGCTCTGTCGCACAGGCTGGAGTGCAGTGGTGCGATCTTGGCTCACTGCAACCTCTTCCTGCCGGGTTCACGCCATTCTCCTGCCTCAGCCTTCCGGGTAGCTAGGGTTACAGGTGCACGCTACCACGTCTGGCTAATTTTTGTATTTTTAGTACAGACGGGGCTTCATCATCTTGGCCAGGCTGAGTTCGATCACCTTACATCATGAACTGCCTGCCTCCACCTCCCAAAGTGCTGGGATTACAGGCATGAGCCACCACGCCTGGCCAAGGCCTGCTCCTCTTATCTATACCCCCTACCCCTGCAGCTGTGCCAGGGGAAAGCTGGGCAGTTTCCCTCCTCCGAGCCCCTGTACATTCCATGAATTGTGGGACCTTCACAGCTTTTCACTTTTCAGAAAATAGTTCCTGCTGGGGCTACAAGATGGAGTGTGAAGAGGGCTTTGGGCCACAGGGAGGCGACTGTGGACTAGGGGGAGTTCATGCACCCCTTCTTTCCCCAGAGGGGCTGGACTCAGGTGAGTATGGGGGTGGGGGCTCCTGCACTTCGACACAGGCGGCAGGAGGGTTTTCTCCCCATTCCCTCTGCACTCCCAACTTGAGCTGTACTTTTTAAGAAAGTGATTCACCCTGCCTTTGCCCCCTTCCCCAGAACAGAACACGTTGATCATGGGCGATATTTTTCATTGTGCCAAAAAGTTGCCATGACCATCATTAAACCTGTTTAACACCAAATAATAAGGAAAATAAAATAAAAAATTCAGGCTTGGTGCAGAAACTCACTCCAAATAAATTACCTACCAAAATATTTATATAATGGTGGAAATATTCCAAAATTCCATATTTTGGGATTTATACACAAAAGATAAACAAATTAGAGGCCAAGAGGCTGCCGGAAGGGAAAAACGGGGCCTGGAAAGGCCGCTGTGAGGAATGAGCTGGGCCTAAAGAGGCCACTGGCAGGCAGGAGCTGGACCTGCTGAAGTGGCCGAAAGGCAGGAGCTTTGGACCGGGGAGGCCGCAGTGAGGCGAGAGCTAGCTGGGCTTGGAGAGTCCGCTGTGAGGCCAAGGCCGGGCCCGTGCAGGCCTTCAAGAGGCAGGAGGCCAGGCCTGCAAAGGCTGACTGGAGGTCAAGTTCGGGGCCTGAAGAGGCCGCCAAAAGTCAAAAGCAAGGCCTGGGAAGGCCGCCGAGAGCCATGAGCTGGGCTGGGCCAAAAGAGGCCACTGGGAGGCAGGAGGAGCTGGGCCTGGAGAGGCTGACTCGAGGAAGTTTTGCACCTGGAGAGGCCACCGAGAGGACGGAGCTGGGCCCAGGGAGGCTGACTTGCAGCTCTTCCAGGCCCACTTCCAGGCCGACTTGAGGAAGACTTGGGCCTGCAGAGGCAGCCAGGAGGCTGGAGCTGGTCCTGGAGAGGCCAACTTCGGGACGATTTGGGCCTTCAGAGGCTACCAGGAGGCCCAAGCTGGGCCTAGAGGAGCCCACCAACCGGAGGCTGTTTGGGGCCTGCAGATGCCATTGGAGGGTAGGAGCTGAGCCTGAAGAGGCCACCGTGAGGCCTGAGCTGGGCCTGGGGAGCTTGGCTTCGGAAAGTTGTGGGCCTACCAGGGCCCCTGGGAGCTGGGCAGGAGCTGAGTCCAAAGACGTTGTTGGGAGGCCGGAGTCGGGCCTGGAGACACAGCCGGGAGGAAGAGCTGGGCCCGGAGAGGATGCCAGGAGGCTGCAAGTGGGTCTGGAGAGGCTGACTTGAGGAGGCCCGTCCTCTGCCTCCCGCATGGCGGCCTCTGTAGGCCCAGCTGTTCCTCCTGGCTGCATCTCCCAGCCCAGCTCCTGCCTCCCAGCAAACAAGCTCTTTTGGCTCAGCTCTGCCGGCCTTTGTAGACCCCGAAGTTTCTGCAACCAAGCTCTTCAGGCCCACATCCCACCTCCCAGAGGCTTGAACAGTCCCAGCTCCGGCTGGAGAAGAGCGTCTGCAGGCCCCACTGTTGCCTCCCAGGGGCGTCTCCAGGCCCAGCTCTCACCCCACTGTGGCCTCCCAGGCCCAAGTCCCTGCCTGCCTCCCAGCAGCCCGCATGTGACCCTGCTCCTCCCTCACGGTGGCCTGTTGAGGAAGGGGCTCACACTGACCTCTCTCAGTGTGGGAGGGGCCGGTGTGAGGCAAGGGCTCACGCTGACCTCTCTCAGTGTGGGAGGGGCCGGTGTGAGGCAAGGGGCTCCCGCTGACCTCTGTCAGCGTGGGAGGGGCCGGTGTGAGGCAAGGGGCTCCCGCTGACCTCTGTCAGTGTGGGAGGGGCCGATGTGAGGCAAGGGGCTCCCACTGACCTCTGTCATGCCACTGCACTCCAGCCTGGGTGACACAATGAGTCTCTGCATAAAAAAAAAAAAAAAAATTCCTGCCCTTATGACTTACTTACAGGAGACAGATAATAAACAAAACAAGTAAGTAAAATAAGTAGCATATCATATAGTGATAAGTAAAAGAAAAAGCAGGGCAGTGGGGTGGGGTGCAATGGTTTGTGCCTGTAATCCCAGCAATTTGGGAAGCTGAGGCAAGAGAATTGTTCCAACCCAGGAGTTTGAAACAAGCCAGGGCAACATAGTGAGTCGCCACCTCTACAAAAACATTTAAAAATTACCTGTGCATGGTGGTGCATGCCTGTAGTCCCAGCTACTCAGAAAGTTGAAGCAGGAAGATCACTTGAGCCCAGGAGTTCAAGGTTACAGTGAGCTATAATTGCACCACTGCATGCCAGCTTGGTGACAGAGTGAGACCCAGGATCAACACACACACACACACACACACACACACACACACACACACACACACACAGCCAACAACCAAAAAAAAAAAAGGGATGGGGACTAGGCTGACTGGGCTGGAAGGAATCACAATTTAAAATACAGTCGTCAGGAAAGACCTTACTGAGAAAGAGATAGTTAAGCAAAGACATGGAAACAGTAAGTTGTATCAGAATGTCATTAACCCTGACGCTCCAAGGGTTCGTGGGAGAGTGACGATTTTTGAAAAGTCATTGTGTCAGGACTCTTTTTGTTGTAAATGACAGGAAAATAGGCTCACCATGACTTCAGCAAGAAGGGGGAATGTATTAGTTCAAGGAATTGAAAAGTCCAGGTCAGGCTGGAGTCAGGGGTCAAACGACGTCATTGGGACACGACCTAGTTCATTGTGCATTTCTGCTTTTTCTGTGGTGGTTTATTTTCTAGTTCCATATGGAGGTAGAATGGCTATCAGCAACCCCAGGCCAACATCCTGCAGAGTTCAAACCTAGAATGGAAGAGAGAGTGCCTCTTTACCATCAGGCCAAGCAAAAGACTCAGTGCACCTTATTGGGTCACAGGCTCATCTGGGCTCATCTGAACACTTGACTATGATCGGGAACATATGGTTCTGAACGGCTGGGCTCAGTCACCTGCCTAACCCTGGAGTCACAGGGAGAGTTAACATACTGACAGTAGTGGAAGGTGGGGCCCCAAGGAAATATGGGGTGTTGACTGCAGAGTAGAGAAAGCAGCAAGTATACATGATATCACTGATCTAAAAATAATTTCTTTTATGATATTGCATAAATTGTTGATGCAGTTTGCTCCATGCCCAAAGGGTGGTTAATAACAGATTACAGATTTCTCCCTAAGAGACAATCTACAGACAGCGTAAGCTCCTTCAGTGGGAGTCCTAGACTGGGGTCCCCTGTCACTACACAGGACATGTGAGCAGCACATTCACAAGCTCTCAGAGCTTCAAGGGTGGCTGGATGTTTGGTTTTATACTGTGACCTCTTGTGCTTCCTCCGTGGGCTTTAGTGGGCCACATCACAAGTGCCTGACATCTCCAGTGTCAGAAGCTCAAGGCTTTTAGAGTCTTGTTCCACTTAGGCTGACCTGTTACCTATGGGGCCTGACAACATTCTAGAGACATGGTCCTAAATTCTGAAAACCTAGTCCACTACTTGAGTAAAATCTTGGTGTTTTTCTAGGAAACTGCGTTTTCACGCTTTGATGTTAGACAGCCCTGGGGCTAGATTTTGACTATCACTTACCTGCTGGGGGACTCTGAACAAGTCATGTGACTGACTTCTTGAGTCTCAGGTTTAATATTTGCATAATGAGGTCATTAAAATGAGTAAATAAATGACCAAGTATAAAGAATCTAGTAACAGCCCGGCATACAGTGGGAGCTCAGAAAATTTGTTTCATTTTTTTCCACTTCCCTGCTCCCTTTTTCCATGAGGCCATTACCAGGCTTCCCTGGAGTCCATGTTATGCAACTTGAAGATAAACCTGTCAAATAAAAAGGAAAGGAATGAAAGGGATGGGTAAATGAACCCTGGGGCAGAGCTGGGGGATGTGTAGTTGAGTGGAAAATCATAGACTTTGGAATAAAACTGAATTTTAAATACAGGCCCCATCCCTTGTTAGATAGAAGGCCTTGGAAAAATTACTTAATATTCCAGAGTCCCAATACCCACAATGAGAAAACAATTACTGCTGTTTACAGAGGCTGTGAAGGTTAGTTGAAATAATGTAACCTGGCACACAGTAGGCCTTCGATGAGTCCTAGTTCTCTTTGTTTGCAAAAGTAATTTAATACTTGGGTGAAAGTGATTGACAATCAAGACACTTACACACAAAAATGCCCAGAGAAAATTATTTTCCTGAAGGCTCAAACATCCAGACTTTTGCTTGTTCTCCTCCCTTTTTGCTTGTGCAATTTTTTCCCCTTATGTTGGAGGCTGGGAAATAAAAGTCAGTCAACAAAGCCGTACTGACAACCTGTCATGCCCGAAGAGAATACTATGTGTTATGGATGGGAAACCAAATCAGACATAATCCTTGTCCTTGAGAAGGTTTGACTTAATTGGGGGAAATAAAACATGCAAAAGAGGTTATTTAAAATGCTTATGAATAGCCTGCTGACCAAATGCCAAGGTAGACCATGAAGGAGTGACCAGGTTTGGATGTGAAAAGTCAGGAGGGTTTCTAAGGACAGAGATTAGCAGGGAGGAGAACCCCCAGCAGAAGCCTAGGGGTGGAATGAAAAACCTCCTGCCTCTGGGATGGTGACCTCATTGACTTATCTGCACACCAGGAAGGCATTGTGTAGAGGTCATGAGATAACAAGTCAAGAGGCTCTTGAGCAATCAAATGAGGTCAATCACAGGCCTATGTTATTACCTGTTACTAGTGCTGGTAACACAAACAAATCCAGTCTCCCAAACTGACTGGTTGGAAAAAGAGCTTAAACTTTCATCCACTATAAGGTGGGGACCATTCCTCTTATGAGTTTTTTATGTACATCTGAACTTCCTGGCAATTCTTACATAGAAGTAAAACTACACATCTCTGTGTAGTGTTGCATTGAACAAGACTTGAAACTCCATCAGGTACCTCATGTCAGTATAGTAATGGTGCCACCTCTTACTGGAGCTTAAATCACTGGATCTTCCCACGTCCACAATTAAGGACAGAGGATGCTGGTCTATGCTCCCAAGCCCACCTTAGTGTCTGAATAAAACCCTCCTCCGTGCCCCTCTCTACAGCTGGGTGTTATTGTGGCATGATGGCTATGAGCTGGCTCTGTTTCTCACTGGCTGTGTGAAACTTAGCCAGCTAAATAGGAGGATGATAATACTAGTGGTAATTCTTTCCTGTAATTGTAATTAATTGGGAGGTAATTAATTTAAAAGGCTTAGCATAGTGTCTGGCACACAGTAATCACTTACTAAATAGTACTTATTATCTTAAACTAGCTTGAAGTTTGGACACTATTTTTCTCTAGAGCAGAAAGGGCAGATTTATGTGACCCAGAATGGAGGGGAGCTCCATTCATTAGGAATGGATCTAAACCCAGAGGTGATTCTAGCATGGTAGAGTGGAGAATCTTCTACCTTTACTCTTACAGCATATTTGAATGTTTGAAGCACTCTTTGGTGGGAAGGTTAATGGAAAGACTCAGTGGAGTGTGTGTATAATTTTTTTTTTTGAGTATTCAAAGTACAGCAACTTTTTCAGAGCATTGCTTAGAAATGGACATGTGTGTGTGTAAGTTATGCATAAATGAAAATATAAATAAATATATATATAGTTTTATACATATAAGTAAGTTTATTAATTTTCAATATGATGGATCTGATGCCACTGAAGACAGAAAGACTCAGCACGGCTTTACCACAGACTAAATGTGTGATCTGGAGAAAGTTATTTAACCCCCATCTCAGTTTCCTCAATTGTAAATTGTTATTATTATCGAACTCAGAGGCTTATCGTGAGGATTAAACGAGATACCAAATGAAGTGTGCCTGGCCCACAGATGTTAAATGAGAGTTTAATGGAGACATGGAGCATTGTCATCAAAATCTTGGTTTCTTACCCAGCTCATTTACTCTCTGGGATAGTTTGGAAGAAATTATACATAAGAGACAGCCTGCTTGCGGAAGACTTGATGAGGAGGAGAACTGGTTGGGTGGACATATGTGATCCTTGATGCAACCTAAACCTCCTTTAGACAGATGATGGTAGTCATGCAGCTTGTCATGGTAGGAGGTTTCAAAATAAATTTCCTCTGCAGCAGTGCTAGGTTGTTTGCTTAGGAGATTGTACTTCTGACCTAGATACACCCTCTCTCTCTGGACCACAGCTGATAAAGAGAAACATCTGGATTCTCCAGGTTCACTGGTCTGGGAGGAGGAGAGGGTGGAGATCTGGGCTGAGAGTGAAGACACCTGGATTCTGGTCCCACTCACCGCTTGCCCATGGGCATGTCACTTCATCTCTGAGTCTCAACTTCCATGGGTTCAAACTGATGTTCTCTAAATTATTTCCAAGTTCTAGTATCTCATTATTCTACGAATGTATAACTTACTTTCTAGATGAAGAACATGATCATACTAGACAAAGGCAATGCCAAAATGAAATCGCCTCATTCTGTTATGCAGTTTCTTTGGCTTTCTAAAAGGAGTAGGGCGGGATTCAGCCAGATGAATAATGATATGCAAACATGTTTCTAAATCCAGGATGCAGAGTCTGGTCTTTAATAACTTGGAGGCAATGCCCTCTGCTCTCTCTAACGCCCCCATCCCAGCAGTCCAACACAGGGCTCCTGGTTGGGAGGAATTGCTCTTACTCTTTGGCGAGGTTATTCTATTGGATTTCAGAGCTGGTTTTCAAGTGTCTGTCATTCCAGAGAGACTCTCCTCGGTACTCAGGCACCCAGCAGAGGCAGCTCACACCCTCTCTCCACATGTTACTGTGGATGAATGTGTCAGAGCAAGTTGAGTCATGGGAAAGGCATGAGCTCTCCTACCTGCTCCCCAGGCAGGTCCCTCCAGGGCTATTTTCTCTGGAACCAAGCTTAGTCACTTGCCAAACTCTCAAAACAGAGATGTCTCTAAAATTCCAGGACTGTTTGTTCCCAGGCAAAGTACCTTATTTGGTGGTAAACATAAAGTGGATAGAAAGTCTCTTCTGAGAAAAGCTACCCATTGAGTGATGAGAACTGGCCACCAAGAATATAACTGGGCACTTACTAGCACAAGCAAGTATAATTGCCACTGCTACATCTGTAAAGCCCTTGGCCATTGATGAAGCCCTTTTGTGTGCTTTGCACCAATGTATTGGCCTCACCACAACTCTATGTAATAGGTAGTATTATTTTTAAATTAATTAATTAATTATTATTATTTTTGAGATGAAGTCTTGCTCTGTTGCCCAGGCTGGAGTATAGTGGCATGATCTCAGCTCACTGCAACCTCCACCTCCTAGGTTCAAGCTATTCTCCTGCCTCAGCCTCCCGAGTAGCTGGGACTACAGGCACCAACCACCACGCCCAGCTCATTTTTGTAATTTTTATTAGAGATGGGGTTTCACCATGTTGCTCAGGCTGGTCTTGAACCCCTGACCTCAGCTGATCTGCCTGCCTTGGCCTCCCAAAGTGCTGGGATTACAGGCGTGAGTTACTGCACCCAGCCTTTTTTTTTTTTTTTTTTTCTTTTTTTTTTTTTTTTTTTTTTTTGGGGAGGCAGGGTCTCACTCTGTCACCCAGGCTGTAGTGCAGCAGTGCAATCATGGCTCATTGTAATGATAGGTATTATTAAACCTATTTTACCGATGAGGAAAGTGAAGTTTAGGAAGACTAATTTTTGCCCAAAGTCACACAACAGATAAAGAGTGAGTCTGGGACCTTAACTCAAGTCTTCTGACCCTGAACTCAGTGCTTTTACCATCAATACAACAGAACCAGGAAGTCCATTCAAATCTACATCCCCATATAAGCAGGAAGAACTCTGTGAATACTTCTTGGTCAATGATCTCGTGATTCATCAGCCCAATTTTCTTGACAATATCATTTTTATAGCCGTTTAGTCGTTTTCCTGACACAGTATGGCTCATGCACAACAAAATTAATCAGATAAGATATTGGAGCTGCTCTTGAGAAGTTTACATTCCAGAGAAACAATTCAGATGGGAGAACAGTGTTTTATGATTTTGGTTTAAAGTCAGTGCAGAATAAGGGTTAAGAGACTAAAAAAAAAAAAACTTCTTATGGAAAAATTAGTTCACTAATGCAAGTTAAAATCATCAATTCTTTCTTTTTTTTTTTTTTTTTTTGAGACGGAGTTGTGCTTTGTCACCCGGGCTGGAGTGCAGTGGCACAATCTCGGCTCACTGCAAGCTCCGCTTCCCGGGTTCACCACCATTCTCTTGCCTCAGCCTCCCGAGTAACTGGGACTACAGGCGCCTGCCACCACGCCTGGCTAACTTTTTGTATTTTTTAGTAGAGATGGGGTTTCACCATGTTAGCCAGGAGGGTCTTGATCTCCTGACCTCGTGATCTGCCCACCTCTGCCTCCCAAAGTGCTGGGATTACAGGCGTGAGCCACTGTGCCCGGCCAATACATTCTTTAATTCACCAAGTATTTGCTAAGCATCTGTTATGTGTCAAGCTCTGTACTAGCAACTAAGAACCACTTAGTCCCGACTAGGTAACTTAACAGTTCTCAGGGGTAGGTAGAGATGTCAATACGTCCATTGCAATGGAGTGTAATAAGGGCCCCAGGAAAGACACAAAGTTTTGTAGCACATAGAGGCAGAGAAGGCTTAACAGAAGAGGTAATTTTTTTTTGAGACAGGGTCTCACTGTGTTGCCCAGGCTGGAGTGCAGTGGTGCAATTATGGCTCACTGCAACTTCCACCTCACAGGTTCAAGTGATTCTCCCACCTCAGCCTCCTGAGTAGCTGGGACTACAGGTGCATGCCACCACACCTAGCTAATTTCTGTACTTTTAGTAAAGACGAGTTTTCACCATGTTGGCCAGGCTGGTCTCCAACTCCTGACCTCAAGTTATCCTCCCTCCTCAGCCTCCCAAAGTGCTGGGATTACAAGCATGAGCCACCATACACAGCCTGAAGCACTAATATTTTACCTGAAGTGTAAACAATTAATAAAAATTGCCAAATAAACAAAGGGTACATGATCATTTGAGAAAATCATCATCATCACCACCATCATCATCAGTACAACCACCGTCACTCTATAATTACCTCCTATGTGCCAGACAATCTACTAAGCCTTCTGTGTACATTAACTCATTTGATCCTCTCAGCACACCACAAGGAGGTATTGTAATTGTCCCCAATTTTTCAGATGAGGAAAATGATGAGAGAGATTAAGTGGCTTACCCAAAGTCACCCAGAGTCAGGATATGAAACTGTGCCATCTGGTTCCAGAGATCATATGGTTGATAATGGAAGGAACAACCAGTACCAAGATGAGAAGGTATGCATGGGTGTTTATGTGAAGGATTGAGATTATTTCAGTGCGGCTGGAACATGGTATATAAATGTGTCTACCTCAGTGGCTCTCCCAATCTCTGTGCCTCTTCTCCTCTTTTCTCATCATTCTCTCTATGCAGTACTATTTTAAATACATAGCTTGAGCTTTTGAACCACACTACAGATGCAGACTTGGGCTCCAAATCTGAAAAAGTGCTAGCCCATGGTTATAACCTCTTAGAGATCAGTGTTTTTTCTTTTCTTTTCTTTTCTTTTTTTTTTTGAGACGGAGTCTCGCTCTGTCGCCCAGGCTGGAGTGCAATAGCACGATCTCTGCTCACTGCAAGCTCTGCCTCCCGGGTTCACGCCATTCTCCTGCCTCGGCCTCCCGAGTAGCTAGAACTACAGGCGTGCGCCACCTTGCCTGGTTAATTTTTTGTATTTTTAGTAAAGACGGGGTTTCACCATGTTCGCCA
Organism: Homo sapiens; assembly: GCF_000001405.40. Taxonomy (NCBI): domain Eukaryota; kingdom Metazoa; phylum Chordata; class Mammalia; order Primates; family Hominidae; genus Homo; species Homo sapiens. The sequence continues at coordinate 25,402,255 of NC_000024.10, forward strand.
GGATGGTCTCGATCTCCTGACCTCGTGATCCGCCCGCCTCGGCCTCCCAAAGTGCTGGGATTACAGGCGTGAGCCACTGCGCCCGGCCTTTTTTCTTTTCTTTCTCCCTGACTCTGATTGGTGCCAAGACCTCACTTTCCATCACACCATGGGGTGTTGTGGGAGGGGCCAGTTTACTTCTGCTTCACACGGACTTGAGGAGGTGACTGTGGAATTCCTGGTAATCCCTAGCTTTGACTTCTGTGTTCTTGCTTCCAGAATCCATCAAAACCACAGCTCAGTTTTGCAGCTTGGAGAATTCAGATGGACAAATGCCTTCACAGGAAAGGTGGCTTTGATGTTCCACTTACTTCTCTGGGTTCTTGCTTTCTCTTAGACTTGAGGCTGGAATTTCTTACCATCCTGTCAGCAATTTGATGCTTTTACAAATATGAAAAGAGAATTATCCAGCATTCTTAGTTATTTTCAGCAGGAGAGTTGGTCTAAATTACTAGTCCTTCAACTACAGGAAACTCAAAGTCCCAAGACTCATCCAACTTTCACAACAACCCTGTGATGTAGATACAATTAACTTGATTTTTCCAATGAGGCAAATGTGATTCAGGGAGTTTAAATAACTTGCAAAAGGTCACACAGTTCATTTATGGAATGAATCTTAGGAAGCAGTCTGGTTTTATCAAAATGAAGAGCGAAATTTGGTCTAGTCTAGAATGGTATAGATACCTCCCGATAAAGGAACTGGGATTGTGCTTGGGCTGAAAATCCAGTCCGCCCAATGGCACTACTGACCAAACCAACTGTGGAAAAGATTTCAATGATCTGTTTTAAACTCACCTAGGGCCTCCCAAGTGAGTTTTCAGTAAAGTCTTCCTCAATTAAAGTTCTTTCTCTAAGATTACACTGCTGCTAAGTATAAAGACAAAGGAATTTTCCAGTGCCAAGCAAAGACAGACAGAGAGTAGCCTGGTTCAGCCACTGTGTCTGCCCACCGTGTTAGTGACAGCACTGTTTTCCAGAATGAGGAGAGTGAGGGCCGCGAGTTGGGTGGGAGAGCCCAAATGCAACAATAGTTTGCACGGCATATAAAGAGTTCTTGAAAGAGGTTGAAGATTTTTGTGAGCACATTCAATTGATTGAGACATGTGTATTTCCAAATAATAGATTTGTCCTCTTAATTTAAAGGAGACATATAATAGAAAGCTAGGTGTATTCCCTAACAGTCAATCACTTATGAGCCAGAGGAGGGAAGAATGATCTTTTTCAGAATTTAAGTTGCAAAATACGCCTTATCCTATGATAGACAGTTTACAGTGCCTGACAAAATGAGTAATCTTTTTGTTTTGTCAAATTTTACTCTAGCTAAGTGCCTCCAAGCTTAGGAAAAATAAAGACAACTGTTCTTAAATGTAATAATGCCATGGACTCTCATGCATAGAAGCCTTCGATAACTAGAAAATAGTTATCTTTGACTTTGTGTTCAAAGTATAGGGGTTTCTTATCTGTAAAGCTGGAAGGGGATATAACTGGTTATAGATAAGGAAGGATGTGCATGAATTGAGTACAGTTACTTTCTAAGTCCTAAGTTAGTGCATAGCTGCAGTGTCTAATACCTGATGGTGCTCAATATGTATTAATGGAATCCAAATTTCTTTCTCCACCAAGATCTCTGTCAAGTATATTTGATCATTAAGTTAACTGTTCCATTTTCAGGATCCAGTAGTCACAAACTGTAGCATAATCCTAGGGTGTTTTATCTTACATTTTAAAAAAATACATAATTTGATTGTTTGTGTTTTAAAAGCAATACCCATTCTTTGTTAACAAATTTAGCTGGGATATTTTTATTTTGGCTTCACTAATTTGAATTTCAAAAGTTATACATGCTTATTGTGAAAATCCAGACAATAAAGAAGTGTCAAAATAACAGTCTCCTCATCTTTGCCACCACTTCTCTGATATAACCATTGATCACAAATCACCTTATAGCCTTCCATAGTTTTTCCTATAGTGCTCCCCTCACACACGTGCTTTTGTATTTTTTTTTTCCTACCTCTTTCTTTCTTTTTTTTTTTTTAGTAAAAGTGGTATTGAATGTATTATCAGTTTCGTGCAGTTCAACAGATACGTATTGAGCTCTTGCTTACACAGCGTCAAGAGCCACTGTGCTATGAGTGTGTATAATCTCTGTCCCTGGGCAATTTCTCACATTCTCTTTTGTTGTATTTCAAATTCATTACTGTTGCTATTCTCTTTATAAGTTCACAAGGGCTTTCCACTTCATGGTGTTGTGAAACCCAAATAATGTAATGTTTATTAAAGCACTTAGTTAAGCATAAAGCAGTGAGCTATGACTGCATGATTACTAAGAATTGGTTCCATGAATAATTCTAATTTTTGTCACTGCTAAAGGAAAATATGCTTCCTCTGCTTACATTTTAATTATTTCAGTAGGTTCCATATGTTTTCAAAACACCTGATTTTACTTACTGTATTTTTACTTTTTTTTTTTTTTTTGAGACGGAATTTCACTCTTGTCACCCAGGCTGGAGTGCAGTGACACGATCTTGGCTCACTGCAACCTCCACCTCCTGGGTTCAAGTGACTCTCTTGCCTCAGCCTCCCAAGTAGCTGAGATTACAGGCACCCTCCAACACGCCCGGCTAATTTTTGTATTTTTAGTAGAGATGGGGTTTTGCAATGTTGGCCAGGCTTGTCTCGAACTCCTGACCTCAAATGATCTGCCCACCTCAGCCTCCCAAAGTGCTGGGACTACAGGCATGAGCCACCACGCCTGGCCTGTAATTTTACTTTTACATGCAGTATGCCCAGCTTCTTTGTCTCAGCAGATGTTTTTTTAGAAATTCCTACTAGGTGTATCTTTAACAATTCTTTTTCTTCCATATTCTTGGCTATATTTGATAGATGAGAGTGATATTATAAATTTTATTCCGTTAATGTGTTTTAAAGTCTAAGATTTCTTCTAGCTTGTATTCCATGTTCATTGTTGTTATTTTATCACTAACTAATTAGTTACAGCCAGAGACTTTAACTCAGTCGCAAATATAAAGTTCTTCTTTGTCAGAAAGACCACACACACCTCTTGAAAAGTTACTTTCAGATTTGATCACATAATTTCCAAGTGTCTTCCAAGAAAGTGAGCATGACAGCCCTGAGTGAAAAACGGTGGCACTTGACCAAAACCTCAGTTTGTTTCTAATCATGTATGGATGGAGTGTAATTTGATTAAAGCTGACTGGCCTGAAATGATCCCAGTAAGATGCTGAACTGGATCTGGATGAAAGTCTCACTGTTTTCTGCCCTCATCCAAGCACTAAGGCATCACTGAAATGAATGAGTTTGGGATTTCATGTCCAAATCCATTTTTAATACTACCACCTTATGTTTTCATAGTACCGTAGGCTTTTCAAAATGCTTTTATCTATAGTATTTGATCCGTGCAGTCTGCTTTTAGCTTCTGTATTTCAAAGACCAGTAATGGTTAGGTTGGAAGTAATACCTATCAGAATAGTGACTTTGAAACTTTGAAATCATTTCCAGGTGTTTTAGATAGGCTACATTTGAGTGATGAAACTTTAAACTTTCTTTTTTATAAAAGAAAACTTTACTGCTTGAAGTAATCTTTTTAGAAATTAGTAGCCCCAAAGATTTCAGGGTGTGTTGTATTGTTCTTTTTTACAGTGAATGGGTGTAACTTACTGCAATGTGAATAATGCATAATATTTGTAAGGAAAAGTAGGGAAGTAGGCAAGGAAAAAAGATGGGACAAAGAAAACTGTGAGTTTTCTTTAAATATCTGAGGCAATGGAAAGGAATTTTAAGCAATTTCTTGACAAAAAGACTCTCCTTTTTTTGATTACAGTAGGGATGCCAATAAGATGGAAAAAAAATCAAGGAGAATCGGAGAATAAAATAATACCTGCACAGTATATATATTTTGGGGGCATTGTTGAGGTTGTACTTGTGATCTAATATCCATTTTTAAGTGTTTTGTAGATATTAAAGTTAATTTGCATGCGTACATATATATGTATATATACACATATAATAAATCCAGATATACATGTATTATATATCTATGAATAATACACATACATAACACATGTATAATAGATACTCCTATTAATCAGTATTATCATTTAGATTACTCAAGACCTGGAATATATATTTGGAACAAAAGTAAAATCCCTTATTGTGATTCTACTTGCCAGCTCCTTATTATGGTCAACGTCAGAAGCCTTTTCATGGGCCCAGCAGTCTCAGATGGCCTCTCCGAGGAGATGCAGTGCTGAGCCCCCAGGATGCCTCAGGCTCAGCCTGAGCCACCTCTGCCCAGGCCCAGGCCACCTCTGCCCAGGCCATTCCTGTGCCCTGGCCTGAATCACCCTAGAGGTCACCTATGTGGACACACTCTGTGGCCTCAGAGATCTCATGGGGCCTGTGGCCCAGAGGGTTGGCTCCATGAACTTCACAGTATGGTCACCTGCCAATCCCCATGGCATTCTGTCTTGGGGCTGTGAGGACACAGTGGGATATCAGGGCCCAGTCTGTGCATCTCTCATTCCAGGGAGGCCGGGGCCCTGAATCCACTGTCCCTTAGGCAGGAAGGGGACAGGGACACTCAGTCCAGGGCTGCAGCCATTTGTCACCTTTCATCAGGACTTTTGCCACACTCAGATGCCACTGGAATTCTTCTTTACTTAGCGTTTTTTAAAAATCAGCTTACCTTTAAAATTTAAGTGTGTGATTTACCCTCTTCTTTAGCCATATTTGAGAAATCAGGGTCTGATATACTAGTCAAATACCCGCACACATATACACATACACATGTGCACATACATGCTCACACAGACATATACATATACACATATATGTGAAAATATACACATGAAATATATCCATGAAAGTAAACACAAAGTTAAAATAGCAAATGCTCAGTTCCGTATACCATCTAATCCTGTTTTAGGTTTAGAGTGGCTCTAGTCTTTCCCCTATTATGGGTGATTCCTTACTGGTGATACAAAACAGGTTCAGATGGTTCACAGAGCTGAGCATTTACCAGCCATTCTAGCCTTCCCCCATTTTACAGATAAGGAAACCAAGGTCCAGAGAGGTGCAGGGCCTGCCCGAGGTCACACAGCACTGGGATTAGTGGCCAGCCCGCCTGACTCCCAGCTGAGTGCTCCTTTTACAGAAGCACATTCCCTGTCTGCGGTGTGCAGGGCCCCTTCCTCCAGAAGCACAAGTGGACTCGCAGAGGCCTTTTGGAGACTGTGGCCTAACACAGAGTGTTCATTGGAAGGTGGGCTTCCTGGTGGCAGGCTGACAAGCAGGCGGATGGTCTCCTGGGTCCTGGTGGGACCAGGCACTGGCCCCTGGCTCTGTCTATGCTTTATCTTCATGCTCATGGCTCCTGCAGCGCCTCAGGATTTGGGGAAGTGGGGAAAGGAGGGTCCCAGGGGAGAGAGAGAGCAGGGCTGTGGCAGCAGCCCTTCCCCAGGGAGCTGCTTACTGAAGAGATCATTAGTGGTACCAGCTCTCAGGCTGGCAAGGAAGGTGGCCTCATTAGCAAGCACCTTCCCCTGCACCACCTCCACCTGCCCACCTGCAGCCTCCTGACACCCACACTGCCACTGTCACCACTGCCATCACTCCAGAGATGCCACATGATGGGCCTCCTGTTGGGGACAAGGCTGCTAGCTTAAGGGAGCCAGGAAGGAGATGTGTGTGTAGGGTGCCAAGGGTGTGTGTACACTGCACACACACACACAGACATGCTCACATGCATGGACACACATACTGCATTAATAGAGGTGTGCACATAAGTCTAGCACACACACACACAACACAGACTTGCACAGTAACACGCAACTCCCCAAACACACGGTGCAAGCACACGGATCCAACAGAGATGTACACAAGGGGTGGGTTTCAGTGTGAAGCCCCACCGTGCACACGTATAGAGACCCATATGGAACACAGGCACACATGCACCGTAGGAGATGCACGTGTGTATTCACACAAACATACAGTCCTGTCTCCAGACTCCAGAGTGTGCATGGAATTGTACACACATGAGTACGTGTCAACAAACCTGCAGACCAGCCCGGGGCGTACTACTGTGTGTGCAGGGATGCCCACGTGCACACGTACATGCATGCAGAGCACACACCAGTTATTTTTTTCTTGGAATCTAACAAGGCCCAAGGAGCAGGGAGTGGCTAATTCCCTGGAGGAAGTGAGGAGACCGGAGCTGAGGACACGTTTAATTAATTCTTCTCATTCCCAGCAGGGGGAGAAAGGGAGAGAAGAAGGGAGAGAGGAATGAAATGACAGAGAGGAGAGGAGAGGGGAGAGGGGCAGCAGAAGGGTGAAGGTGAAGTGGGGAGGAACCGGTGTGGGCAGTGAGGAGGCTGAGGGACCCCAGGCCCAGAGGCATTAACCTTTTCAGCTTACGGCAGTCCCAGGGAACTCATCATTCAGCCCCGATCCCAGAACCAGACGGGTCGTTCAAGGTCAAGTGGTGGGGCTGGTGCAGAAATCCACCCTCAGTGCCCCCTACACACAGCTCTGGGGATGGCGCACACACGTCTTTCACCTGCTCCCACCGAGTGGAAACCTGCCCCCCAACCCCGAACCTCCCACGATCAGTCCCACTTCTGCTCTGTGCCTGCATTGGGTTAGGGCCCTGGGGGCTCTCCTATCACAAGTGCAGGGCACGGGCAACACAGCTGCCCAGGGAGGCCCCTGCTGGGCACCAGGACAGCTCCTCCCACCCCTGCCCTGACCTCAGCCTTGAGACAGAGTCAGGGAGATGGAGGTGGACAAGGACAGGGGCTCTGAGGGGGAGGGAGGATGTGAGCCAGGAGAGAAGGGAGGTGGGGCCGGGTGGGAGTGAAACAGGGAGATGGGGGGCAATGAGAGAGAGGGGGAGTCACTAAGCCAGAGATGGTGAAGGATGTGAGAGGGGCTAGGATGGTGAGAGTCAGACCCAGAGACACACAGAGAGGATGCTAGAAAGAACAAGAGAAACAAAAAAAGGTCAGAGGGTCAGGAAAGGCAGCCAGGCTCTGCAACTCTCCCAAGTCAGGAGGGAGGCAACTCACCTGGGGTGTGAGCGAGGAACCCTGGCCTAGAGAGGATGCTGTGTGACCCCGCCCAGGCACCCCACCTCTCTGAGCCTCAGCTGCTGGTTTCTAAAGCAGGGGGACCGGCCCTGTCTCTGAGAGGGCCCTTAGGCTCCGCAGGGAGGCTGGCCTGGTCCCTTTCTTCCTTCTACTCCCCTGAGTCATGTGGGCCTGCAGATGGGGGTGGGGGTCTCCCTTCCAGGGCCCTGAGTGGGCAGACCAGGTGAAAGAGGAAAGTTGCTGTGGGGCTGGTGTCGTGTGCTGCAGCTGTGAGCATGGAGTGATGGAGCGTTTGCCCTGAATATTGAAAATACATAAATATCCATTGTCAGGCACCAAGGCAGATATAAATACAGAAGGGAGGGTGTGCAGCCCTCAGCCATAATTTACCGGCTCTGCTACCCGCGGGGGCTTGGGCACTTGCACTTGGCCATCAAGAGGCTTTTCCAGATGGCTTTATGACCACCAGTGGCCACCTGGATCCCTTCTCCTGGAGAAGTGGCTCCTTGGGATCCACCGCCTGGGGTGAGGTGGGGCAAGGCAGGGTGTGTCATTCCTAGGTCTGCTCCGTCCTAGGCCTTTGGGGCCTCTCCCACCTTCTCCTCCTCCAGCATCTCCTTGTTTGGGAGGGACGGAACCACATCTGTATCAGGCCTGGTGTGTACCCAGCCCTGGTGCACTTGGATAAAATCACAGGTGTTCCATTCCTGCCCATGGGCACTTCCAGGCTGCGAAGCAGAGATGACACCCTAGGTCCTGCCCTTAAGAACTCACCCAAGGGAAACGGATGGTGGAAGGGTCTGGAGAAGCCAGTATGGGGCAAGACCCGGGTCCACTCTGGAGCAGGCCAGAGAGGAGAGACACATGGCCAATGGTGGCCTCCAAGAGTCTGGCTACAGCCCAGCACACCCAAAGCCCTCAGCCTGGAGGGGAAGCAGCAGGACCTGGGGTGGAGGTCACGGCCCGCTGGCAGGCAGCTCTCTCTCTGACATCCTCCTGAGAGGACATGGGTCTTGCCCCATGCTGGCTTATCCAGAACCTTCCACCGTCTAAGAAATGTGCTCATTCTCGATGAGTAGACAAATGGAGGCCCCAAGGCAATTCCCTGCCTTTCCTCCCAGAGCTGGAGCTGGGACTTGAGCACCCTGATCCCTGCCACCTTCACATGCTGAGGGGCATCTTTCTCTTTGGGTTGGGACTCTGTGTTCAGGGCACTCACCTTCCCACAGCAGAAAGCCACCAGCCTCTATTGGGGGGTGTGGAGCATTCTCCCTTCCAGGGTGCCCAAGCCTCCTTTTCCCAGGAAATGGAGGCTGGGCTTCCCTGCCCTGAGCAGGAGGCTGCACTGGGAGGCAGGGGCTGGACAGCCACCTGCTGCCTGGGCCGAGGGTGGAACCTGTTTGTGTGGGATGCAGGCATTGAATCATGAACACGCCAGGTTGAGTGGCCCAGGGCCCTGCACAGAGCAGGGGCTGGGATCAGGTGGCATTGGTGGGGAGGGGCCGGGGGGATGCTCCGTGGAGGGAGGGCTGAGGCTGAGGTGGGGGTAGCAGAACCGCGCCTCCTATTCCTTGCCTGCCTCTCTCATGTTTCCCTCCCCCACTGTCAACAGGGGCTCTCTGAGGCAGAGTCCTCACAGAGAGTGATGCCTGCCCGGGCCCTGCCCTCCAGGCCTGTTCTGCCAGAAACACCCACAGGTCAGGGCATCCAGGTGCCTGGATGGACAGCCACAGGCCAACTGCCTGGCCAGCCGCAGTCTTGGCCGGCCGCTCTCCTGTGGCTGCAGAAAGTGAGAGGTACTGCAGCCGCCAGCCCCCGCTACCCCGCCGCCAGGCTCTCCTGTCTGTCCTAGTCCTCGCATCAGGTGCAAGGGCACAGGCCACAGTGGAGTCTCTGGGTCTTCCCCGGGTGACTTTGCTGTTGGCTCTGGGCCCCACACTGGCCCTTCTGTGCCATCTGGGTGGCAGGATAGACGTCTGCGGGGCACATTCTCCACACCCCCTTGCATGCTGCTCCTGGTTCAGTTCTTCTAAGAGGAGGTGCTGGCAGGCTCCCGCACCTGCATGACATGTGCCTCTCAGCGGTTCCAGCATCAGCTCAGTGGCAGTTCCAGGAGCACAGCAGTGAGTGCAGGCTGTGGGCTCCAACTCAGGGCATCTCTGGATCTGCTTCCTCCTCCCAGCCCTTCCCCCATCACCTCAGCAGCCTGGCCGTCCTGGAACTCCCAGGATGCTTCTCAAAATGGCTCTAAAGCCCTTATTCCTCACTTCTTCCTGGAGGGGGCCCCACCTTGGCTCTGGGTGGCAGGAAAAGCTCTTCTCCCCTCTGCGGGAATGATCCCACTTTGCCAGTTAAATGGAATGGTCTTCCCCGAATCTGTTATCTGGGTCATGTGTGTGCAGCCAGGCCTCCAGTGGCAGTGGTAACAGGGTCCTCTCCCCACTGGCTGCTCCCCAGGGTCTCCTCTGCTCTCTCCTCCCTTCTCATGGGCTTCTTCATCTTCCTTGGGGTTCTGCTCCCCCATAGCTCAGGGTCCCCCAAGTTACTAGGGTGACAGTCTGGCCTGAGTCATTTATGATCAGGCCAGAGGTTCTGCATGTCCCAGGCTTGGCCTCTGGGGTCAGATACTCATTGCCTTCTGCAGGGCAACCAGGAACCATGGGGACCTGGGGGTGAGGCAGTCTTCCTTAGTTCAGGGTGGGAAGCAGGCAGGGGCCTCAACCACAGGCAAACTAGCAACTGAGATGGCATCAGCAGCCCTGCTCACAGTCGACCCTTGCATCGGCTCCACCTACCCCACCCAGGCTGCACCAATGCCTGCTGTATGCCCAGCACCAGGCTGGGCTTATGGCGGAACCAGATGAACAGGACTCAGACCCTGTTCTGGAGGAGCTGAGGGTCTCATAGGGGAGACATAGACTCCTCAGATGCCCGAATACCAGGCTGTAAGGAGCATGAGGTGCGCAGGGAAGGGAGAACTCAGCTCTGGCTGAGGAGCTGGGGATGCTTCATGTAGCGGGGGATATTTGACTTGAGCCACAAGGTGAGATTTTAATGCATGGTTGGTTCCAGGGTTGCTGGAAACATCCCAGAGAGAATAGAACCACCGTAACAAAGGCCCGGCTCGGTAGCAGGGTGGGAAGAGCTGACTACTAACCACCAGCCTAACTTGTTTAGTGAGAACGCTCAGAGCAGTGGGGATTAACCAAAAAGTGGGTGGTCGGGTTTTGAGCCCCTGGTGCCCTGACCTGCTTCTCCTCCTCCTGCTTGCCCAGGTCCTCTGGGGCTTCTCTCCCGTGGTCGCCATGGGAACTCCAGGTGGCTGAAGTTTACTTGAGCCTAGCTCCCTGAGATGGGCTGTGGGTCAGGGGAGGTGGAGGGAACTGGTCCCCAGCCTGGGCTCTGAGCACCCCTCCCCTGGGTCCCAGAGTCTCCATCTGAGCTCTGCCCATTTAGCCCTCACCCGGTGTCTTCCTCGCCTCCTCCCTCCCCCACACTCCACACAGCCTTCCAGTCACCAAGTTCTGACTGTTCCTTCCACTTGTAAAATCTCCCTGGGAGGCATCCACTCTGCACCCACCTCCCTGCCTCAGGCCTGGCTCCACCCCTTCCCTCTCCTCTGGATGACAGCAGGGGCCTCCTAGGGGGTCTGGCTCCTTCAGTCTGCTCTTCCTGGGTGCTGCTGCTGTCCTCCTGACCAGTGTCTGGCAGTCTGGCAGCTCCTCTGCCCCTCCCTACCCCAGCCTGGGTTCCCACCACCCTGGGATGGCTGAGTCTGTGAAATGGGTGGAGTGGTGTGTTGAGCTCCGCTTCTAGAACTGCATTCTATGGGGCAGTAGCATCTTTCTGGAATTAACAGGTATACCTTGAAAATGGGTTCCATGTGGAATTGGTTTGGGAAGCGCTGCACAGCCTCTGCCTCCTGGATACTCACAAGGCACTGTAACAGGTGAAAGGCTCCCAGAGGTCCTGGAGTAAAGAAGTCTGTTTTGATTTATTTAACCCCGAGATTCCCAGAGTGTTTTGGCTCTAAATAAGGAATGTCTATGAATAACTCCAGGAACAAGTTTCTCTGGACCAACCTTTGGAAAATGCTGGAGGAGCCATAAAGTGTGGTGCCTTGTCTTTGGGGATCTGGGGTCCTGAGGCCTGCTTCCCCCATCTGGCATGCCGGGGTTCACACAGGTGCACAGGCTGATATGGAGCTGAGGAAGCACTGGAAAATTGGGCCGCACCATGGATGCCTTGCTTCCATCTCCTGGCGCACAGCATGGTTCCTGGATATGTTTTGTTTAAACCGCACGTTCTTTTGAAATTTGACCTGGTTGTCAACATTTAAAACTTGGGAGATTCCACCACAAATTCTGCATTTTAAAGTTCTCTTAAAACATGAGGAGCCGGCCAGGTGTGGTGGCTCACGCCTGTAATCCCAGCACTTTGAGAGGCCAAGGCTGGCGGATCACGAGGTCAGGAGATGAGACCATCCTGGCTAACACGGTGAAACCCCATCTCTACTAAGAATACAAAAAAGTAGAGGGGCATGGCGGCGGGCGCCTGTAGTCCCAGCTACTTGGGAGGCTGAGGCAGGAGAATGGCATGAACCCCGGAGGCAGAGCTTGCAGTGAGCTGAGATCGCACCACTGCACTCCAGCCTGGGCAACAGTGCAAGAATCGTCCCCAAAAAACAAAAAACAAAAAAACCACGAGGAGCCCTATCCACACAGTGCGCATTTCTCCCTCTGTGGAGCCGAAGAATGGCAGGACCCATTTACATGCAAAGCACCCAGCCTGCAAGCAGACAGTTTCCCTCCCTGGCGTGGGCTGAGCCCCCGAAAACACTGGAGTTTCTGACCTCTGTCATGGGGAATATGGGGCTTTCTTCAACAAATTCCTCTTTACGATGGTGACTTATGCCTGACCCACCCTTCTCTTGGGGTGTCCTTCTTTGAGGGGCTGAGGCAGGTGGGGCCTGCTGGCTCCAGCATGTTCCTTACCTCCCATGAAGTACCATGTACATGGTGCAGTCTAGGCTATGAAGTCCACTAGGCTACCCCACCATTACCCTTGGTTCCCATGACGGGGGTGCCAGAGTGGCCCAGGGGCAGCAGGGCTATGGGAGACAGAGGGAGGGCCTGCCACAGCCTCCTCTCCTGTGACCACCTGGCGGCTCAGCTGACAGGAGAGTCACAGCTGCTCAGGTCACCCTGGTCACTGGAGCATGCTGGGTGGGAGAACCACTCCCTGCAAGAGCGAAAAGCTGAGAACACTGCCAACCGTGCTGGCACCCCTGAGCCAGCCCGCCGCTGCAGAGAGCCCTCTACAAAGAGCCCGCTCTGTGCTGATGGAGGCTGGAACCTGGGGAAATCTGGCTCAGGGCTGCTTGCTGGGGCTCAGGGTGGGGTGGGGCTGTGGCCCTCCACAACCCTGCCCTGGGATGACCGTGGGTGAAACAGAACCCTGACTTGCAGGCCCCAGTCTGAGGTGGAGGGAGGGGGCCCAGACCAACCTCACCCGAATGTTAGGATAACAGGAATTTCCTGCCAGGATGAGGCTGGCACTGGTTTCGGTTCTGTCCTGAGTGGAGGGGGAGGTCAGTAGTGGACTCTCCAATCAGTGGGGCCTTCACGGGCTCTGGTCGGAAGTTCCCACATGCCCCCATCAGGAGGTCTGACTCTGGCCACCTCCTGCCTCGCCTGAGCCTGTCCTGCTCATTGCCCTCCCCTTCTAAGCCTGTCCGAACACCCCTACCTTGGGGACCCCTCCTGTGTCTTCCTTCTCCAGGAAGCCCCTCTGATCCTCCCCCTCAGAGCTCTAGCCCTCCTCCAAGCTCCATCCCTGCCCTATCCCAGCCTTCCTATACAGCCCCACAAGTCAAAAAATCGTGACTAAAATAAAATATCTCCCTGACAAAAAACTAAAAAAAAAAGACACTGAAGTCCCAATTAAGACTAAAAAAATTAAAAAAAAATAAAGTATCCTTTTTAAAAGTGGCCACTGTAAAGCCTCCAAAACCCATTCCATTAACTTAAAAAACAAAAAAAACCTATATACGTAAATCAGTGGCCACTACCAAAACACAAACTAAAAACTTTACACTTACTAACAAAAAAATTTAAAAAAAAAAATTGAGCCTTCATTTTCGCCTTAAAATTCTCCTATGTTTATAATTCAAAAAAAAAAAAAAAATCCGACAAATGACACATACTAACCAACTTAAAAGCATTAATGCCGTAATTCAACCCATGGAGAGTCTCCAACCTGAGTTGCCCTCTCCGGCCATAATCCCCCAAAATTGGCCTTTAATTATAATTAATCTAAAAGATTACATTTTTACCATTCTTCTGACAAAACAAAATTTAAAAACATTTACTTTCACTATACCAGCCATAAATAATAAAAAACCAGCCACCAGGTTTCAGTAAAAAGTGTTACCTCAAAAAATACTTAATAGTTCAACTATTTGTCAAACTTTTTTGTAACTCAAACTCTTCAACCAGTTAAACACAAGTTTTCAAACTGTTATTCATTATATTAATACTATTTTGTATACTACAAAAACAAAAAACAAATTAACTATTACACATTTCTACAAGCAAAGGTTACCAACATAAGACTGACAATAATATCTAATAAAATTCAAACCTCTAATCCTTTCCATTACTTAAAAATGTAAGTTAAAAAACCACAAAAAATAAAAATTAAACATTAAAAACATTAAATAACTTTCAAAAATTACTAAAAATTATTAAACTCAGCCAACTCTAGACATCCCTACTTATGCCATGTCAAATTTGTTCTCTATCTTAAAAAAAATCCAAAATTAAATAATGAACATTAACTCCAAAGACAACTAAAAAAATTAATTTAAAAAAGTTCAGTCAACCCAAATAAATAAAATGAATCACTTAGCCCCACTCCAACTTTTAATTTTTACTACTACACATTCTCCAACAGACATTATTGTTCAAAATACAAATCTTATGAAGTGGTCCTTCCTTCCTTACAGCACAATTAAGACTTTTACATTGTACTTAAATCAAATGACTACATTAATTAGACAAAACTACAAATAATAAAATTATATAAAAATAACCCAAATAAAATCATTGTTCCTTTAAACAAAAAACAAATTAAACAAGACTTTATCAATTCTGGTATACAACAAATTGGTCTTACTAATTTTATAAAAAATTATTGACAATCATTACCCAAAAACAAAAATCTTCCAGTTTTTAAAATTGACTACTTAAATTTTACCTAAAATTACCAAACATAAACCTTTAAAAAATACTCTAATGGTGTTTACTAATAGTTCCAACAATAAAAAAATGACTTACACCAGACCAAGAAAACAAGTCATTAAAACTCAATGTCACTTAACTCAAAAAACAAAATTGGCTACTGTCATTACAATATTACAAAATTTTAATCAGCCTATTAACATTGTATCAAATTCTACATATATAACACAAACTACAAAAAAGTTAAAACAGCCCTAATCAAATATCGAATATAATCAGTTAAACCAACTATTTAATTTGTTACAACAAACAGTAAAAAAAAAAATTTCCCATTTTATATTACTCATATTCAAGCACACACTAATTTACCAAGGCCTTTAACTAAAAAAAACAAACTAATTTACTAGTATCATCTACATTCATAAAAACACAAAAACTTCATGCCTTAACTCATATAAATACAACAAAACTAAAAAATAAATTTAATATCACATAAAAACAAAAAATATTGTACAACATTACACCCAGTGTCAAATTCTACACCTGCCCACTCAAAAAACAAAAGTTAATCCCAAAAGTCTATGTCCTAATACGTTATGACAAATAAATATCACACATGTACCTTCATTTGAAAAATTGTCATTTGTCCATACAACAGTTAATACTTATTCACATTTTATATAAACAACCTACCAAACAAAAGTACTTCCCATATTAAAAAAACATTTATTATCTTGTTTTACTGTCATAAAGTTCCAAAAAATTAAATAATAGGACAAAATAGTGTAATAAAACATTTCAAAAATTCTTAAATCAATAAAAAATTACACATACACAAAAATCCCCTATAATTCCCAAACACAAACCATAATTTAAAAAACTAACACTCAAAACTCAATTAAACAATAAAAAGCAAAACACTCCCCCAATACAACTTAATCTAACACTCTATACTTTAAACTTTTTTAACATATATAAAAATCAGACCACTACTTCTACAGAACAACATTTTACTAATAAAAAACCCACATAAAAAAACTAATTTAATTTAAAAAACATAAAAAATAAAAACATTAAAAAAAGCTTTACTTGTGTTTCACCAAAAAATCAACTTCCTGTTTAAATACCCACTAAACATTTCAAATTCTACAATAAACCCATTAAAAATACAAAAAGCCACCTCCACAAAAATAAAAACACCACAATCAAGCATCATTAACTCACCAAATAAAATAACAATATCAAAAAAACAGTCGCCATCCACCAAAAAAACAAAGCCACCAACTTAAACACAATTAAAAAAACTAACACCGTTAACTAAAAAAAGCCAAAAAAACACAAAAGTGACACAAACTCCAAAAAAATACTGTTTATGACTTTAATAATTATATCAACAATAGTAAGTATCCCCATGTCTACAAAAACAACAACTAATTATACTAAGCCTATGTACCTTTCTCACCCTTAATTCAGTCACATAAATAAATAATCCTATTAAAACATATATTAATAATACATGGGTACCAGGCCCCACAAATAATCGTTGCCCTGCCCAACCTAAAAATAATAATAATATAAATATTTCTATTAAATATTATTATCCTATTTGCCTAAAAAAGACACCAAAATATTTAATACCTACAACCCAAAATTAGTAAAAGTACCTACTATCAATACCAATAAATTTACTTATTACATAGTAAGTAAAATGTCACTCAAACCACAAATAATTTACAAAACTCTTCTTTTCAAAAATCATTAAAATCTAAACCTAAAAAAATCCTTGCCCCTAAAAAATCAAAAGATCCAAAAGTCTTAGTTTTAAAAAAATATATAACTAATACTACAATAATACTACAAAACAATAAATTCAAAACTATTATAAACTAGGCCCCTCAAAACCAATTATATTGTAATTCTACGGGTCAAACTCACTCATGTTCACAGGCCCCATCCATCTGGCCCATTAATCCAGCCTATAATAATAATTTAACTAAAAAACTAAACCAAATTTATAAAAAGTTAAAATCACCCTATCCATAAAAATAAAATTAAAAAAAAAGTTTTTTTTTACTATGCGTAAATGTATGCATAGGCCAGATTTATACTTCTCTCCACCCAAACATTTCAGTGTAGTAAAAAGTAATAGAACAACATTGCCGCCAACATAACTCGCCTCCAGCCACAGGGCGGTTTTCTCCTATCTCAAAATAAAACGAATGTACAATCGGGTTTTACACGGAGACACTCCATTCCCAGAGGCATACAAGAGATGGAGGCCTTCCTCTTACTAATCCTCCTCAATACAGACCCTTTATGGGTGTCGGACTGGAAGACGGTCAGGTCTTTCCTTTCCCATAAGGCCATATCTCAGACCATCTCAGTGGGGAAAAACCTTGGACAATACCTAGACTTTCTTGGGCAGAGGTCCCTGAAGCTTTCCGCAGTGTATTGTGCCCCTGGTTAATCAAAAATGAAAAATGACAATAATTTTTACCAAAAATACTGCCTGTAAACATATTATTAACAAGACACATTCTACACAGCCCTAGATCCCTTAAACCTTAATTCTATACAACACGTGTTTCTGTAAACACAGGGTTGAAACTAAAGTTACAAATGAACATCTCAAAACAATTATTCAGGGTACAAATAAAAATGAGGTTTCTTATGTCTTCCTTTTCTACATAGACACAGTAACAGTCTGATCTCTCTTTCTTTTCCCTACAGACACCAGGCTTCCCTTCCCCTGGAGCAGCCAGACCTTCTGTGGTATCTTGAGCAAGCCCCTGGTCCTGTCTGGGCCTCTGCAGACTCAAGGTCTGGTGCCTGACTTACACCCTGTTATCATATCCTGCCATCTGGCCCCATATGGAGTCCTACAGGGGACTCTCAGACCCAGGCGTGACCACTGGCTCAGGCCCCTCTCAGAGGTCTGGCGGCCCAGCATCTGCCCACGGGCCTCCTCTCCCCCTCCTTTTCTCCAGGCTCCTGTCTCTGCCACAGTTCCCTGGAGGTGACCTCTAGCCCGGCCCAGGGGCTCACACACTCCTGAGGGAGGCAGGGCCAGACTCAGGCAAGGCCTTGGAGGACACATCCCAGTGGCAGGGCCCAGCACTCTTGGGGTGGAACTACAGGGAGGAGAGGCAGGGCAATTGAGGCTTGAGGTGCCTGGCCTCACCCAATGTGGCCAGCCTGCTCCTTTTCCTCAGTCTCAGATGGAGCAGAGGATGGAGGTGGGGAAGAGAGGCCAGGGAGACAGTAGGGCTTGGTTATGGATGATGGGGGTCCTTGTGTGATATAATTAGGCTTTGTGTCTCCACCCAAATCTCATCTTGAATTATCCCCATTTTCCCCACCTGTCAAGGGAGAGACCAGGTGGAGGTAATGGAGGTAGTTGGTGGATCATGGGAATGGTTTCCCCCATGCTGTTCTCATGACAGTGAGTGAGTTCTCATGAGATCTGATGGTTTTATAAGGGGCTCTTCCTACTTGTTCAGCACTTCTTCTTTCTGCCACCTCGTGAAGTTTCCTTGCTTCCCCTTCACCTTCCGTTGTGATTGTAAGTTTCCTGACACCTCCTCAGACATGCTGAACTGTGAGTCAATTAAACCTTTTTCTTTTACAAGCTATCCAGTCTCGTGCAGTTCTTTATAGCAGTATGAAAACAGACTAATACATTGTCCCTGCTGAGGGCTGCCCGGCTGGGCTCTCCCTGCTTTGGCACCTGGGTTGCCAGTAGCACATTATTTGGTCTAACAGTTTTTGTTTATCATTATGAAACTGAGCTTATCTAATACATTGATAAATTATTTCAAAGGTATTTTTATAGTTCAAATAGCTTCACTTTTACCCTGACACGTATAAATGACTAGTAATGACCTTCAGATAGCGTTTAGCATCTGTAACCAATCTGACAATAATGTGTTCATCAGGTACCTATGGATTAAATCACATACTGGCATATTTAAACTGAATGTAAGTCTGAAAAATAAATGTACTATATTAACTCAAATACCACTCTTTGTATAGGTATTTTGTCATATGTTTAAGAAAAAGCTAAAAAGAATGGAAATCCTATGACAATAACTTAAGTCTTTCTTCAAAGTGCATACAGTGTTTTGCAATACCTCATTCAGCCAAATATTTGTTCTCTTATTCAGTATAAGGCAGCTTTCAATTTGCTTGGAAGGCAACATTAGAAGGTTAGAGTTCAGCAGGAACATAGAATTTTAAAATGTGACTTCAACTGAATGAATTTCTCTAGGGAGTAAAGAATCAAAATACCTACTTAAAGACTGCAATATGTGATAATTATTTTTAAAGTAATTGATTAAACCTGGTAGGTTTTCCCGAAATGAAAAAAAAAAACAGTTCTAAAACCAAAGCTGATTTTTAGAAAATGTGAAAATGTAAGTCAACTCTATCCAAAATAGATTCTCTAAAACTTTGTCTTACAGTCACTTTCAAATAACTATTCAAAAATGTAACTGCTATACTAACATCTTAAAATAATTCAAAACATTTTAAAATATGAATGCTCTAGTTTAAAACAAAGAATCTAGGGGAAGGAAAAGTAGACAAAGAAATGCCAATTCCAGTCCAAAGCTGTGTTTGCCAAGTTTTCTTAGAATGACTTTTACTGATTTATGAATTCTTACAAACAGAATGTATAATGGAAATACTGATTTTTGTCTAAAGTGGTATTATTGACTGCTTCTGTGAAGCTACTGTAATGTAATACATTATTAAATTGTTTCAAGGTGCTGTTTTGCCTAAAAATTTTGTGTGTCTTGAAAACTATAGTATTAAAGGTATTGAGACTGTGCAAATGCTGGGCACGCTTGGCATGAGATAATCAGTTTTTATTCTTACAAAATTGTAACTATGTAAGTGTGTTTATTAAAATAACACAAACTAAAAAAGTTACAGGAATTAAAGTTGTGGGATGAAAAAGTTACGGGATAAAAAATACTGTGGAAAAGTGGCAAAAAAAGTTGTGGAAAAAAAGTAAAAAAAAGTTTTATGAAAAATTTTTTTAAAAAGTTATGAAAAAGAAGTTACAGGATTTAAAAAAAGTCATGGTATAAAAATAAAAATAAATAAAAGCAGGCCCCTGTCAGCATAAGCCTGGAGAAGTGGGTCTGGAGTCTTCACCCCCACCATGTCCCTACAACACCTCCCCAGTCACCCCTTTACCATTAGGGTAGCAAGACAAGACCCTGGTCTAATGCAGGGAGACAAACAGACCCTTACCACCTTGACCAAGGCTGAGTCCTTACATTTCTGGATGATGATGTTTGTTATTTAAGAGCCAGAGGTTGGAGGAGTTGGTTTGTTTGGAGGAGGTCTGATGGCCTCCTTACTCTCACCAAAGCAACTTTTCCCTCGGGGGGCTCCCATCTTCTTACTCAGAGAGGCAGCTGAGGCGGGACAGTGGAGATAACTGTAGATGAGGTGAGGGCACAGGCTGCTGGGGGTGGCCCCCCTTCCCCCGTGTACATACTGTAGCTGTGTAACATTCCGTATCGTACCTAGTGGAGGTTGCAGCTGGCATATGAGGAAGAGGTTCTTATAATTATTCACGGCTGGGAAACTTATTTATTGCTAGCATAGGAGCGAGGAAGGAGGCGGGGATGGGGTCATGGCTCCCTGGTGATGGGACTCCTGTTTTTTGTTTGTTGTTGTTATTGTTGTTGTTGTTGTTGTTTTGCTTTTGATTTTGGAATAAATGTATTTAGCCATACTGCTCAGCCTGTTATGTTCCCATTTCCCTGACTGGGTCCTGTAGTTTGTCCCACTGAACGAGGAGCCCCAGAGTGTCTCAGCATGTCCAGCTGGGCTGTGGGGAATCTTCCAGGCCTGTTACCTGTATGCTGCCTGGTGACACCTGGTGGATTTCATGGGGACTGCCATGGTGCCTATGGAGTACAGTCCAGCCCTGACAGCCAACAGGTTGAGAAGCCTGATCTAGCTGTGGCCAGGAAGACAGATACCAGCACCCAAGGGCACTGACTTCCCTCCACCCCAGGTGTCTTCCGTTCTGTCCCCCTGCCTCCCGTTCCTGTCTGCACCAGGTGGCCTGTCTGTCCCTCCAGAGTGCTGGCTGCCCCGCAGGCTCCCTCCAGGCTGAGTTCAGGGCCCTGTGCCCTAGTGGCCAGAGCCGGCTTCACAGGATAAGAGCCAGCTAAGCTGCGGGGACTTTCCAGGAAAAGTGTCCCTTGAAAAGGGTGTGACCTTTTCACTGCTCCCAACAACACCCTAAAAATGGCTTGGCCTTTTCCATCCCCTGAGCTCCATAGAGAACACAGCCAGCAGAGGACACATTCTCTGTAATCCAGAAATGGGTTTCTCAGCCGAGGGACAGCAGGACTGGTAGACACTGTCAGGCCACACAGCTGCCTGCACAGTGCAGCCATGCTTGGCTAGAAGGGCGGGAGGGATGGCAGGGGCTGGCTGTCCACAGGCTGCGCATGTCCTGGAAGCTCACTGGAGGTGGTGTACTTTGGAGGGGCGATGTCAGGAGACAGCTTTCTCTTGCTGGTCTACAAGACTCCACAAGCACAGCACGGGGACTGATTCCCAGTTCTAGAGGCGAGGCAGTTGGCCACGTATATATATGTATATATGTGTGTGTGTGTGTGTGTGTGTGTGTGTGAGAGAGAGAGAGAATTTATAGCTATTTATAGAACTGGGCAGGGGCATACCACAGAGGGGGCACAAGTTTTCAGCAATGGTCACACCTGGATGTGTCAGCTCACCACTACAACAGACTAAGTCACAGATGAAGGGGGCTGGCTTTGGGGCTGGGGGAGCCACTGTCAAGTCACAGGACACCCACCCAGGCAGGCTTGGAAAGGGAGGTCTCTGAGAAGAGGAGGAATCTGTTTAGAGGTCGAAGTGGGGCCTGGAGCTCTCAGGATGGGATGGACTTGCCTGACCTGATCAGCTGGCAGTTGGAGAGAAAGCAGAGAGAAAACGGGTTAGAGAAAAGTCAGAGCTGGTGAGGCGAGTGCAGAGTATGGGTGCGCTGCAGAAGCTGTGGGAGGGCCGGGGAGGGGAGGGCGTAGCTGTGGGCATGGCAAGGTTCCTGGAAAAGAGGGGCTGGAAGGGAAAGGGGAGGAAGATGGAGGGAGAAGCCAAAGCTTCATAGGTAGTGCCTGGGGACTGCGGCGGCCCTCCGCACCCCACACACGCTAGCCTCTCTCATGGCACCCAGGCAATCCACCCTTCCACCCACAGTTCAGACCAATGCCAGCTCCCTCAGGCTTCCCTCTTCTCTGGTGACCATGTCTTCCAACCCACTGGCCCAGGGCCACCTCTTGCTTGGAGAGCCCTATCCAACAGCCACCAGACCTGATAGAGAAGGAACACTGCCTGAACCAAAATGGTGGAGCTATAAGGGATGGCTGGCTGGAGTGGTCGCCAGAGGCCCCTCTGGGCCATCAGAAAACCCAGGGTCCTCTGAGGGACCCTGGGGAAGGCATGGAGGGCAGGTAGCCAGATGGCACTGGCCATAGACATATAAGTCTAAAAGGGGAGCCTCAACTGGTTGACGGGGGGCTGCAGGTTGCATAGGTGAGGCTGGGCCTTTCCTGCTGGGAAAAGCAGAAGAGGGAGGCTAACTTTTGTGTTGTTTAGTAGAGAGTGGGTTTCACCAGGTTGGCCAAGCTGGTCTCAAACTCCTGACCTCAAATGACCCATCTCTGCCTCCCAAAGTTCTGGGATTACAGGCCTGAGCCACCGCGCCCGGATCCGAGGCCCTTAAGCTTAAACACCTCGTTCTTCAGTCAGGTTTTCCTTGTTCCCGCGTGTTCAGCCAATCCTGTTTAAGGAGAAACTAACAATGAAAATGGACTCGTTGGTGGAGGAGAAGTTGGAATGCAGCCTCTGGTGCTGTTTGAGCGATCCCTCTTCCCTGGTCGCTGCTGTGTTCTGGAAAGGCGCATTGTACCCTGGATGCGGCAGGTAAGAGTCCTGTCCAGGTGCTCTGCCCGCTTTCCTTTCAGGCTTCTGTATCAGCTTTTGTGGGCTCTGGGTTAGCTACGTGGTTGTTGTAAAATGATTAGCAGGGAAAACCGTGTGTGTGTGTGTGTGTGTGTGTGTGTGTGTGTGTGTGTATTTTAAGTTTCTTTTCTTGTCAGAGGACTTCGAATTTTATTTTATATGGTAATTCTTTCAATTTACTTTATTCTCCACCCCACATTTATTGAACAGCAAAGTATGAAAGTAATGTGTCCCATAAGCAGCCTTCAGAAGAATTACAACTGCTGTATATCTGAAATTCTTTTTTATTTTTTTATTTTGAGATGGAGTCTCACTATATCACCCAGGCCAGAGTACAGTGGTGTGATCTTGCCTCACTGGAACCTCTGCTGCCCAGGTTCAAGCAATTCTCCTGCCTCAGCCCCCTGAGTAGCTGGGATTACAGGCACCTGCCACTGCACCTGGCTAATTTTTGCAGTTTTAGTAGAGACAGGTTTCACCATGTTGGCCAGGCTGGTCTTGAATTCCTGACCTCGTGATCTGCCTGCATCGGCCTCCCAAAGTGCTGGGATTACAGGCATGAGCTACTGTGCCCGGCTGAACTTTCCAGAAGTTTGTGTGTCAGTTTTCAAAAAATTATGATATCAAAAGATAGCTGTGCCCTACATTTGGAAAGATACAAAAACTGAACATACTGGCAGGCAGTTTTGCTTGCTGGTGCTTGAGATAGAGGCACACATTGGTCTCAGTGGATTTATGGAGAAAAATAGATACAGAAAGTTATTTCTAAATAAGACCAAAAAATCCTTTTCTTAAGCAGTGACAGGTAAAGAGGTTGTCTTGGCTAACCTTGAATTGTGTTGCCCTTGATTGAGACAGTTTTATGGTGGGGATGGTAGTGGTGATAAACTTGTTGGAAACTTGTCTGCTAATGGTAACCTTTGTGGTAGCGGTCACAGACAACTTCATCCTCACAGGCCTTGAAATTAGTATAAAACTAACAGAATGGAGGAGAAACAAAGGACCTGAATAATCAGATGCTTAGATAATTGTTCTGTGTTTTCATAACTGATGAAAAAGAACAGTGTTAGGAACACTTAAACATTCCATGGAAGGAACACTGCCTGAATTTATATTGTGATTTTTGAGCATCATTCACTGTTTAAAAACAGGCATATTGTAGGTAATATTTTAAAGACAAATAGAAAAGTTATCTTTTCAAGATGGATCTAAAACTTAACCTTATCAAAATTACAAAATGTAAAGCATACAATTGAAAAATATTAATGCATAGGTTTAAATATTGGTCATCATTTTAGATGTCTTTCAAAATACATTGTCTCTTAAATATTAAACTGAAAACATTGAACATGTTGTAGAGTTTGTGCTCAAGGTTAAGTTTCCTGGGGTGATGGATATTTTATAATATGGATAACAAAAACTTCTTATTTTAAGAAATTTAGAAAATTTTTAGGCAAAACTAGAACATAATACCAGTAATTCTACCACTCAGAATGTACCACTGTCAGAATTTTGTATCTTTCCCATCATCTGCTCATCTCTTTTCTCCTTTGCTTGTATGTGTTCCCTCTCCCTTAAAAAATCAGATTTTTTTTTGTAATCTGCTTTTTCACTCAACAATATTGTAGACCCATGTCATAAGTTACTCCTCTACAGTGCCTTCAGTTATTGTGTGCTTTGTGTTGGATGACTATACCATCTAGTCATTCGCGTTTTCTGATACTGAATACATAGGGGTGAGTGAGTGAGTGTTTATGTTTCTGTGTGTGTGTGTGTGTGTGCACGTGTGTTTTCTACCTTAACTAATGCTTTAGACATCAATAGCTAGAGCTAAATACTTGAAACCTTCCATGTGGTGGCTTTCAGTTCTCATTGCTGAATTGGTTTCTAGAGATGGAACCAATTATATTGTATGGAAAAAAAATTTTTTTGAGACGAAGTCTCACTCTTGTCACCCAGGCTGGAGTGCAATGGCATGATCTTGGCTCACTAAAACCTCCGCCTCCCAGGTTCAAGTGATTCTCCTGCCTCAGCCTCCTGAGTAGTTGGGATTACAGGTGGCTGCCACCATGCCTGGCTAATTGTTCTATTTTTAGTAGAGATGGGGTTTCACCATGTTGGCCAGGCTGGTCTGGAACTCCTGACCTTGGGTGATCCACTCACCTTGGCCTCCCAAAGTGCTGGGATTACAGGCATAAGCCACCACACCCAGCCTTTTTTTCTTCTAGGTACTAGTTTTATTTATCAGATTGGTAAAAATGTCAGAAAGTGTGCAATGAAATGGGCATTCTCACAGTCGTGGCAGAAAGTATAATTATCTTTGACTTTCTAGAAAGCAGTCTGACATTCTAGAAACTTGCCTAACCTCTTCCCATTTAGGCAAGATGAATTCTGACTATCCCTAGGTGGCCAATCTTGTCCCTGTGATTCCATATCTCCCAGAAAGAGAGGTCTAGTCTCAGGGAAAACCCAGATTTTCTTGGCTTAGCCCACCTGAGAGCTAATCACTGGAAATGGGGTGGGCCGGTAGAGTCCTTTGGTCAGGTTTTGTGTCAAGAGCAGGATGTGGAAAGATAGGAGAGAGGTAGCAAAATTGGCCTCAATGGAACTATGTAAGTTAACATAGAATGGCAAAGGAATGTTTCTTCCAAGGAAGAAATTCTAGGGAAGGAAGAAAGTGGAGGGTAAGGCAGCAGTTCTCAAAGTTTTGGGGTCAGGATTCCTTTACACTCTTAAAAGTATATTGAGGGCCCAAGGAGCTTTTCTGTATATAGGTTATATCTATTGGTATTTATCATTAGAAATTAAATCAGAAATATTTAGAATATTCTTTAAAAGCTCACCAAATTTTGTTATAAATGCTTTTATGAAAAGAAAATTTCTAAACCCAAAATAGTACAATGTTACACCTTTTGCAAATTTCGTTGATGTTTGATACGTCATTTGCATTTCCATTCAATTTATTGTGTGATATTTGCTTGAAAAAATGTGAACAAAGGCCAATCTGATACAGACAGCCATTTTAGATCATTATGGATATTTCTTTTTTTTTTTTTTTGTGAGATTGGGTCTTTCTCTGTCTCCCAGGCTGGAATGCAGTAGTATGATCACGGCTCACTGGAGCCTCAGTGTCTGGGGATTCAGGTGATCCTTCCACCTCAGCCTCCAGAGTAGCTGGGACTACAGATGTATACTACCCCACCTAGCTAATTGTTTGTATTTTTTTGTAGAGACAGGGTTTTGCCATGTTGCCTTGGCTTCCTTTTTGATACTCCATCAAAAATTGATTTTTCTTGAACTTTGGATCTTTTACCCTTGCATGGTATTATAACATCATGCATTGTTCCGTTCAAAAATAATGGTTTACTGAGATCTTCTATATGTTGATACATTTGATTGTACAATATCAAAATACACTCATCAATATCACCATCAATCTCATCAGAATAGTTTTAGAAAGCGATGGTGGATATAAGTTTTCTAAAATTCTAATTTTTTGTTCAAAAGCTTGAGTTTTAGTATTAGCAATTTTATTGTTGAAATTTATTATGGCCTGTCTGTTATTTTCCTTGAAATAACAGAATCTCCTTTTTTGAGAAAATGTCCCCCAAAACCCAAGCTGAAATAGCATTTTTTGTCAGCCATCTTTTGGAATAAAAATGATATTCCATTAAAGTGGTTAATTCACTTCATGACGTAGTCTCATGAGGGTTTTTTCTCTGACAGTCTGTAGGTATGCTCATGTATACTTCCCATTTCATCACTTGAAATATTAAAAAGGTATATTCAAGGATTAAGATGTAAATTTTTCACTGCTTCATCATAGACATTCTTTTTATTTTTGAGACAGGGCCTTGTTCTGTCACCCAGGCTGGAGTGCAGTAGCATGATCACAGCTCACTGTAGCCTCAACCTTCTGGGCTCAATCAATCCTCCTGCCTCAACCTGCCAAGAAGCTGGGACTGCAGTCATACAACCACCATGTCCAGCTAATTTTTATATTTTTAGTAGAGATGGGCTTTCACCGTGTTGGCCAGGCTGCTCTCAAACTGTTGACCACAGGTGATCTGCCCGCCTTGGCCTACCAAAGTGTTGGGATTACAGGCATGAGACATTGTGCCTGGCCTGCCCTTCCTTTTTCAACCTTTAAACCTTTCCTGTGCATAGTAGTCATACCATGACTACTAGTAGTTTGGTGTTACTGCCTTTATTTGTGCTAAAGTACCAGCATTTTTACCCACCATTGCATCTGCACCCTTACAGCAAATGTCACCATGTTAGTATTCCTGTCAAAACAGTTTGGACCTGGGGGTCTGAGGGCTGCACTTTGGGAACCACTGAAATAGGTACTTAAACCTACTATATATCATATCTTTTCATCTACAAGATTTTTAAAAACTTGATTTCAGTTAATATTTTTGTAGTTTTTAAAATATGGTTTTGAGGGGTTTCAGTCCAGAGCAGCAACATGTATTTTACTTTGCTTATGCTGAAGTTTACTAGACAAATACTAACCTAATAGAATGAGGTCCTAAATCTAGTTGCATTTTCTTTAGCCAAAAAAAAAAAAACCCAAACTAAAAATTTAAAAATGGTCCATATGGTGTATTCCCAATGTATGCTGAAGAATTTGAAGAAGAAAATGCAATAGGCAGTAAGTGGTATTCTTTAAGAATAGCATTGGGCCAGGCACGGTGGCTCACACCTGTAATCCCAGCACTTTGGGAGGCTGAGGCAGGTGGATCAGGAGATCAGGAGATTGAGACCACCCTGGCTAACACAGTGAAACCCCGTCTCTACTAAAAAACAAAAAATTAGCCAGACGTGGTGGCAGGTGCCTATAGTCCCAGCTACTCTGGAGGCTAATGCAGGAGAATGGCATGAACCCAGGAGGTGGAGCTTGCCATGATCTGAGATCGTGCCACTGCATCCAGCCCGGGTGACAGAGCGAGACTCTGTCTCAAAAACAAAACAAAACAAAAAGAATAGGATTCATTCTGAAGAGTTTCTTTTAGCCTGTAAAAAGATTTGGGACACTGTAAGAGAGGAATGAGAAGAATGAGAATAGTGAAATAAATCATTATTGAAGAGATAGACTGTTAATGATGTCCTCCTTCAATATAACTTGTTTTTCTTTTCCTTTTTTTTTTTTTTTTTTTGAGATGGAGTCTTGCTCTGTCACCAGGCTGGAGTGCAGTGGTGCATCTCAGCTCACTGAAACCTCTGCCTCCTGGGTTCAAGCGATTCCCCTGCCTCAGCCTCTTGAGTGGCTGGGACTACAGGCATGAGCCACCATGCCCGGCTAGTTGTTTTTATTTTGGTAGAGACAGGGTTTCACCACATTAGCCAGGATGTCTCGATCTCCTGCCTCGTGATCCACCCACCTTAGTCTCCCAAAGTGCCCAGATTGCAGGCATGAGCCACCACACCTGGCCAACTTGTTTTTCTGGTTTTCCGTGGTTTTCATGGTTTTCTGGTTTTCTTGGTTTTCCTTGACTTGAACCTAGTTCTTCTGAAGCTAATATATAATAACGATTGCTTTTCACCAGTTTCTAATAGAAGACAGTACAATGCAACAGAGTAAATGTCTATTAGTGGGTGAAAGTGCATAATGCTTAGTTCATTAGCTTTTTAAAAAATCACATGTAATTATCTCCCAAAAATATATGTATAATAATGGCATTTATTCATATTACTTGGTTTGTGTGATAGAATAAAATGTATGAATTTTATGGTGTTTGAATTAGTTATCTATTGCTCTGTAACAAATTTAGTAGCTTAAAACAACAAACATTATCTCACAGTTTCTGTGGGTCAGGATTCTGTGCAGTTTACCTTGGGTTCACTGGCCTGGCCTCTCACCAGGCAGTGAAGGTGTTGATGGCAGCTGTGATCATCCCAAGTCAGGATAGGGAGAGAATCCATCTCCAAGCTCACACTGGCGGGATTCACCTCAGAGGCTGCTGGACTGGGCCTCCGTTTCTAGATGGCTATTGGTCAGAGACCTTTTACAATACCTTGTCATGTGGGCCTCTCCATAGGGCACCTCATCACATGGCAACTGGCTTCCAACAGAGGGAGCAATGGAAAGAGCAGGAGAAGGGTGAACAAGGCATGCATCGTAGTCTCCTTGTAGCCTCATCTCAGAAGTGATGTTATTACTTTTGCTGTATTCTCTTTGTTAGAAGTGAGTCACTAGGTCCAAGGGTGGAATTTTACAAGGGTGTGAATGGCAGGAGGTGAGGGTGATCAGGGCCATTTAGAGGCTGCCTACCATTCTTGAAGAAAATTGTTGACTTCTATGAGCTGTGGCAGCAGACAGTGCTATGCAAGGAGAATGGCTGTCTCAGAAGTCCAGCTCCTCACATGGGTTTTAATGTGTTGCCTTTTCCTCCGATACATTTTGTTTAAATCCGTGGTCATCTTGCCCTTTAGTGATGTGGTTTAATTGCATATTTGGGTTAGGCTGTGTGTAAACATTTAACATAGGTGTCTCTGGGTTAAACAGGAATCCTATTCATCTTCTTCACCAATATGGTTTGTAGACTCTGATGAGCTAAATCTGACATCAGTTTTGGAATGTCTGGAAGATGATAAGAACAACAATTTGGTGAGGAAAGAAGCCAAGCTCTTTTCTCTTTTCCTCATAAACATTGTATTTAGAAATTAAATGTTAAGAGATAATATAATAAAAAAACATGATTAATAACTATAAACTTAGAGGAATTAAAGTCTGGGTATTTTAAGTCCTCCAAATCTTATTTACTACCTGGTTTCTCTTTGTTATTTCCCACATGTATAACCTTAGTTTAGATTAGCAATTCGGGATCTCTTTTGCCCTGAATTCTAACAATTAAGCCAAGCAAGCATTTTGGGTGGAGACCACTAGCCAAGGTGGGAAGTAGAAAAAAGACCAAGGTGGAAGTGAAGGGAAAGATGGGGAGAATGACACCAAAACTAGTGGGAGGGGATTGCCTTTTCTTTCAAGGGTCTGTAAGTCTGCAGTAAAAGTCAAAGGTATTCAAATAGGAAGTTTTGTTTTTGTTTTTAGTTTATAAAGAAATATAACTTTCCATGTTGGAAAAATTTTAAAAACTTTTTTTATTATAAAACTCACAAGCAACCATTGTTGAGAAAATTAGTAAAGTACAGAAAAGCAAAAAGAAAAAAAATTAGTC
This sequence comes from Homo sapiens, assembly GCF_000001405.40. Taxonomy (NCBI): domain Eukaryota; kingdom Metazoa; phylum Chordata; class Mammalia; order Primates; family Hominidae; genus Homo; species Homo sapiens. Next base: position 25,431,826 of record NC_000024.10, read on the forward strand.
TCCCATAATTTCTCTACCTAATATAACCACTATTGACAGTTGACATGATGGCCATTTTCTACCAGTATATATTTTTTCTTTGCTAGTAAAATACATAACCTTATACATATGTTTAAATAGTTGAGGTTGTATTCTCTATAGTTTTATATTCTTCTCTGTCTTTTTTTTTTTTTTTTTTTTTGAGACAGAGTCTTGGTCTGTCACCCAGACTGGAGTGCAGTGGCATAATCTCGGCTCACTGCGGGCTCCCCTTCCCAGGTTCACACCATTCTACTGCCTCAGCCTCCCCAGTAGCTGGGAATACAGGTGCCCACCACCATGCCTGGCTAATTTTTTGTATTTTTTAGTAGAGATGGGGTTTCACCGTGTTAGCCACGATGGTCTCAATCTCCTGACCTCGTGATCCTCCCGCCTCAGCCTCACAAAGTGTTGGGATTACAGGCGTGAGCCACTGTGCCCAGCCCTTTTATATTCTTTTAAAAAGTATCTACTGTATTTTCCCATGGTGTCATAGTCTATATAGAAAAATAACAATCATTATTTTCAGTTTACATGATTGTTTACCTAAAAATATCCAAAGGAACCAACTGAAAAAAACAATTTTTAAGATTATGGGTTAAAAGCTCTTTTATATAAAAATCAATAGCCTTCCTAAATGTTATTTATAATCACATAGAAGACATAGTGATGAAGTATTTTTTCAGGTATTTCAGCAAAAATTAAATACCTAGGAATAAACTTAGATGTGCAGGACTTTTATCAAGGACATGACAAAATTTTGCTGAGTGGAATGAAAGATTTGCATTCTATGTTCCTGGATGAGCAGATTTCATGTTATAAATATGTTAGTTATCACCATGTCTTCATATTAATTTGTAAATGTAATTTCTGCTGGGCACCGTGGCTCACACCTGTAGTCCCAAAAGTTTGGAAAGCTGAGGCAGGTAGATGACAATTAGCTGGGTGTCTGTGGCACACACTTGTAGTTCCAAATACTTATGAGGCTGAGGTGGGAGGATCACTTGAGCCTGGGAGGCAGAGGTTGCAGTGAGCCAAGATCATGCCTCTGAACTCCAGCCTAGGTGACAGAGTGAGACCCTGTCTCAAAAAAAAAAAAAAAAGCAGAAAAAAATGTGTATGTGTGTATATAAGTGTGTATGTACATTTCATATTTTATATATATATTTATATATACATTGTATATATACATTTCATATTATATATACTTATATATAAATTGTATATATACATTTTACATTATATATAGTGTGTATATACATATACACAAATTTCAGTACAAATTCCAGCAGATTTATTTTTGACACTTGACAAAAACGACTCTAAAGTTAGTTTAGAAGAATAAATAATAAAAATTCATAAAGTATAGACTCTTTCAACCAGATATTAAATAAAATATTGTGGACTAGCCCTGGACCAGACAGATAAAGGCAATGGAAGTTTAGAGCCAGAGTCATGCAAATGAGAATTTAGTGTAAGGAAAAGGTGGTATTTTAACTTAATACTGAAAAGAGAGATTATTCTGTAAATGGTTTTAGGAGAACTATTTGAGGAAGTTTGAGTCTTAACTCCAATTTTTGTCAAAATAAGTTACAGTTTGTTTAAACACATCTATTCGTAAAAATTAGAACAAAAGGATATTGGTTTGAAGATATTTTAAGAGTTAAGGCTGAGGCTGGGCACAGTGGTTCATGCCTGTAATCCCAGCACTTTGCGAGGCCAAGGTGGGAGGATTGCTTGAGCCCAGGAGTTTGAGATCAGCCTGGGCAACATAGCAAGACTCTTTCTCTCTCTCTCTCTCTCAATATAGATATACATGTAAATATACATATACAAATAGAAAAAAAAGAGTTAAGTTTTATATGGAGAGCCATGAAGATAAGAGGTAAAAATTAAAGGCTTGATGGACACATGTTTACATCTCCAGCAAGGGGGTTGATGGAAAGAATGATAGACATAGCTCCATTACTGCTACCTCCTTTTAGGAAGTTGCATCTGAACATCTAAAGATATCAGTTTTATAATAGCAGAAATGAGTTATTTTTCAGTGTCTAAAACATCACATGACATACATACATACATGCATATATACATAAGTATGTTCATAAAGTTAAATGAAGTAGGATATAAAATTGGGCCTAGTGTTTAAAAAAGTAAATATATTTACATGAAGGAGAAAACAACTCACCTCCCACTCTTACAGCCTCTGCCAGTTTATCATAGCCTAGTTTCTTGAGAGAATAAGCTGCATGTCTTCACCTTTTTTCACTGAGCTCATTATAATCTGGATTCTGCCTTCATCGTCGCGCTAAAATTTATCTCCTAGTTGCCAAATCCAGTGACTCCCCTCTTAGTCCCCAAATGGACCCCTCTGCAGTATTTTGATACTGTTGATTGTTCCTTTGTTGAAACATTCCTCCATTCTTAATGTCCACTAATAAAGAGTTGGTTAAATAAAAATTGTAGTGTACAGTTTTATAATAGAATATTCTGTTGTTCTGTTGTGGACCAAAAAATGCAGCCAGTCTTTCCATAAGAGCATGTGCAAACTTCTAAGGTATATTAGGTAAAAAAAGTAAGGCATAAAATATTGTGTATAATCTGACTCCTTTAGCATACAGTGTAAAAACATCTATGTCTGTACTTGTTTATACTTACTTTTTTCTCCCCTGGTGGATACAGGAAACTGTGAATAGTACAACACAATTTAAAAAAGTAACTGTGTGTCTTCTGCACCAGGACCTATGATAATTGGGTGTAAAAGACAAAAAAGGCATGTCCCTGTCCTCTGGGAAGGGACATGATAATCGAATGAGACTTCTATCGGATTCTCTTCTCCTGTTTTGATCTTATCACCCTGCCTTGGTCTCCTCCGATCTCTTCTTCCTTGTCCTACTTCTTTCTTCTCTTCTCATTCTGTGCTTTCTCTGAGTAATCTTTGACTCCCATTACTTAAGTCATGACCTGTGTTGCAGGGACTCCTAAATTTGTATTCATCTCCGGAGTTTCAAACCCATATATCTGTCTGTATATCATATATGTTAGGGAATCTCACCTGGAGTGACATGGGTGTTCAAAATGATGATATTTAAATTTTCATGTATCCACCTCCTAGCACTCTATCTAGTCACATATGCCTAAACCTGGGAACTGTCTTAGCGTTCTTTTATATACAACTGTTCTCTGACACCCCCAAACTAGTAAATTTCTAAGACCTGCCCTTCTGAATGTCTCTTAATATTTTCCCTGTGATCTCAGTTTCTTCCTCCCATCCCTCAAATGCTTTGTGTCTGTGTGTGGTGGGGGAAGAGAGTAAAATTTGTGGAAAATGTACTACCTTGTCTTTCTTTCTTTCTTTCTTTTCTTTCTTTTGAGATGAAGTCTCCCTCTTGTCCCCCAGGCTGGAGTGCAGTGGCACAATCTTGGCTCACTGCAACCTCCACCTCCTGGGTTCAAGTGATTCTCCTACCTCAGCCTCCTGAGTAGCTGGGATTACAGGCACCGGCCACCATGCCCAACTAATTTTTGTATTTTTAGTAGAGATGGGGTTTCATCATGTTGGCCAGGCTGGTCTCAAACTCCTGACCTCAGGTGATCCACCCACCTCGGCCTCCCAAATAGCTGGGATTACAGGTGTGAGCACCATGCCTGGCCACTACCCTGTCTTGTTGCTTGGTATGACTCCACTACCCTGCTCCCTCTCTCCCCGTGCAGCAGCATAATTTAAGAATCAGACAGACTGAGGAGGATATATGTTATTATTTAGGTGCACCAGCCCAGTCAGATTAACATCTAAAGGACTGAGCCCTGAACAAAGAGTCAGGTTACCTTTTAAGCATTTTGTGGGGTGGGGAGAGATCTGTGCAGGGAGAAGCATATTACAGAAGCAAGAAACAAAGACAGTTATTCAGTTGAGACATGCATTACATTATTTCTTACTTTTCAAGGAAAAACATGTTTTATGACTTGAGTTTATCTGTCCAGTGACCTTGCAGCTGCACAGCTAGAGAAACAGGGTCTCCACAATGCCTGGGAGAGGAGGAGAGATGAGGTTCACTAGCCTCAGAAAAACAGACAGTTAATTCTTAAAGTACTCCACCTCTTTTTCTTTCTTAGGGGGAATTGGGTTTTTTTAACATACAACTGCATTTTTGCTTACACGTTCTTTAATTTCTTTTCATTCCTCTTTCATCCCAGCCCTCCTGTAGCCCCTTCAGTGCCAGAGGTCAGAGTGTTCAGGTCCATGTCCAGATCACCCTGCCTCATCTCCATTATGTACTTGGCACAAAACAGAACACACTGAGTGTGTAACAAATCCACACTGGGGCTTGGCTTCCTTTTAAGCATGAGGATTTTTGGTGGATCCTAATTTATGGTTCAACCTTCCTATTTCCACTTGCTTCATTGTTCACTTTGGAAAGGCTTATTCTTTGCTTCCTTAACCCATTCTATCCTTTGTCTTCTTTCTCTGTCCTTTGTAAGCCTGCTTCTTTCTCTTCATCTCTTTTCTTGGTCAGAGACACCCAGAAAATTGTTCCTGACCAAGTGAAGTGAGTTGCCTTATTAGATCCCATTTGAGTCACCTTATACATTGAAAAACATTTTAAACAATGAAAACCACACTTGTGCACATAGTTTACCTTGCTTACTTCCTTAAAGTAAATATGCTTACAACACAATTTGGACTTAAACATGGAAATTTACAGTTATTATTTGCAGTTTCCTAGTGAATTATTATTTTTTTAGACAGACACTTAAGAGCCTACTAAATATTAAGTCTTTTACAGGTTTCATTTAATCTTTACTATTCTGGGAAAGTTTTCATTTCTTTGTTTTGCAGATGAGTAGACTCAAACTCAGGGAATTAGATATAATATCCAAGGTCATCTAGATTTCCAGGCTCTGTCTGCTGGATCACATTTGCTTTTGTACTTTTAACTGACTATGACAGGAACATATAATTTTATAATCCATCTGTAAGAACAGTGCCTGTGCATGGTTTTCTTTTTCTTTTTTTTTTTTTTTTTTTTTTGGTGGCCTCATTAATGTTCTATTGTTTGAAGTTTTAAGTTTCTAAGAAAACAAGATAGCAATGAGAAATTGGACAATGTCTGGAACTTCCTTCCTCTGCCTTTATTGTTGACATTCTGCTAGGTATCAGTTATGTGATTATACCCCAAGCCATAGTAACTTTCTTAAGCTAGAAGCTCCTGAAAATATTTAGTTTTTTTTTTTAATCTGTAAGCTGCACTTGAGCAGTGACAAAATTTTTATTTCCTACTGGATTGATTACAGCAGTCATAACATTATTGATGTCTTCTAAGGGCTCTTTAACATAATGCTTATTTACTGAAATGTGTTTTGTAGCTTCATCAGCAATTGAAGTGGTTGATATGTGGACTCTGCAGATTATATAACCTTCCTAAGCACCTGGATGTTGCCATGCCAGATCAACCACTACCCATGGGTCAGGTAGAGTAAAAATTCTCTAGTGTTCAAGAGCTAAAATAAATAGTCTCAAACAAAAGTCAAACTAGGATGATTTTTTTAAATTATTCAATTTATTTAGAAGTTAGCTTTTCTGTTCCTATTGAATTGTTTTGTTTGTCCTGTTTTAGATACTAAAAATAACCTTTTCATTCTTTGGAGCTGCTGGTATTTAGTATGACAGGCAAACAATTGCCCTTTTCCCTAACACCAGCTTTTTATTATGAATATTCCTGGTGTCCATAAATGTTCTTGCTTCTTTCATTGTTTGTCTTTGCTCATTGAATTACCTTCACCTAGAAATGTCATCTCCTTAAGTCTGTCTATGCTTCTTAAGGACTCACCCAAATGTTATCTCCTGCAATCAACAGAAATCTCCACTAGCTCACCACTACCCCTAACTTCTTCCTGGATTTACCTATTTAGGCATCAGCTATTGACTTTTTAGTATAATACATGAGAATTTAGCTCTTATACTACCCACTTTGCCTTCCTCAGATATTATCTTTAGTGATATAAGTAATCACTAATTATCATTAGGACTTCATGAAGCCAAGTTTTCTAGAATATTTAGGATAGGATATTTCTTTCCTTGGTGCTACTTTTTGTTTTGCAGTGTCTTCCTCATAATAGTAATTTTTAATTAAAAAATTTCTGTTGTAGCCCTTTCTGTGAGATCTCCTTCTCTTCCAAAGCCTTTGGCTCCTCTGTGCCCATTTTGGCAGGTTGTTCTTCAGCTTGGCTGTGCATATGTCATCTTGAGGTTTTTCTCATCTGCTCGCCTAGAGTACATCCATTGTTTCTTGGATCCCATGTCATCTTTCTTGGTTTTTCTCTTTGTCATTTTACCTGACTGTGTCCTCAAGTAAAACCCTGAGAAAGCATAGAGTGGTATATTTTCTGATCTCTAGCTTCTGAGAAAATATAATCCAGTGTTTGGGTTTTGGAGCCAGTCTGAGATAGATTTGAATCTTAGTTCTACTACTTATTAGCTCTATGCCCTTGGGCTGATTCCATAATTGCTCTATGCATCAATTTTCCATTTGCAAAATGGGGGAACCGGTAATAGTATTAGTACCTATGTTTCTAAGGATCTGTGAGGATTAAATGAGTTGGTACATGTAAATCATTTAGAACAGTGCCTGGTGCTTAGCCCATCCCCATCACTATTCACTTTTGTCATAGTCTACCCTCACACTTGATTGATAGTTTGGTTGATTATGTATTTCTAGGTTGAGGATAATTTTACCTTAGAATTTCAAAGTCTGTGCTGTTGTGTTCTAACCAGTCATGGTGGTGAAGCCTCATGTCATCCTGAGTTTCACTCATTTATGCATGACTTTCTCTCTGGAAGCTTTTAGGAGTTTGTCTTTTCCTTGGTGGCTGAAATAGCACAACATTGTACTTAGTGTGTGTCTTTTTTCATTCACTGTGCTGGGTATACCGAATGGATAGGCCTATGGATCGGCTCTTTCAAAGTTGTAATCTTGAATCTTGTCATATTTTTGTTAACTTTCTCTTTTCCACTTTATTTGTTCATTCTGAAGTGTCTGTTAATTGGATTTTAGTCCTCTTCTCTTGAGACTTGCATCTCACATTATTTCTAATTTTTTAAAAAATGTTAAGTTCTGGAACATTTTCCTTATATTTTGACTTTTAGGAAATTTTATTTGGACAGTCAACGTTAAGTTTTGTTTTGGTTATTTATTGTTGCTTAACCAATTTTCCCAAAACTTAATGGAATAAAACTACACATTTGTCTACCTGTCACTACTGTATGGGTTAACTGAGGACAGCCAGACAGTTTTTCTGCTGGTCTCGTTTGGCATCTCTCACTGTGCGGTTAGATGGTGTCAGGGACTGGTCATCTGGATGCTCAGCTGCAGTGGAATGTCTGAGATGGCTTCTTCACCCACAGGTCACCTGCTTTGGTGTTTCTTCATGTGGCCTTCCTCTCTGGCCTCATCATATGGCTTCTCTTTCCCCGAGAGTTAGTCAGTACTTATTTTGGCTACTAGAAGCACAGATGTGGAGCTGCCAGGTGTTCTTAAGGCTTAGACCTGGAACAGGTCCAGCATCATTTCTACCAAATTCTGCAGGTTAAAGTGAATCTTGGGGCCAACCTAGATTCACTGTGGGATGGGACTGTCCAAGGACATGATGCCGGGAGGTGTGGCTCACTGGGGACCAACTCCCAAGATGAACCCTGAGTTCTAAGAACTTTTTCTTCTCTGATTATTCCTTATTCATATCCTATTTTTGTTTTATTCATGTAATATATTCACAAGTGTCTTTATGAAGTGATTTGGGTACTCTTTTGTCTTCTCCCTAGCATCTCTTTGTTCTTTAATAAATTTTTTTCTTAGTTTATTTTGGTCTTATTTTTCTTTTTAAAACCTTTCCTTAAATATCTACTCTATGTTGCTTATCATTTGTAGTCTTTTTTTTTTTTTTTTTTTGAGACAGAGTTTTGCACTTGTTACCCAGGATGGAGTGCAATGGTGTGATCTCGGCTCACCACAACCTCTTGGGTTCAAGTGATCCTCCTCCCTCATTCTCCTGAGTAGCTGGGATTACAGGCCTGTGCCACCATGCCCGGCTAATTTTTGTATTTTTAGTAGAGACAGGGTTTCTCCATGTTAGTCAGGCTGGTTTTGAATTCCTGACCTCAGGTGATCCACCCACCTTGGCTTCCTAAACTGCTGGGATTAAAGGCATGAGCAACCGTGCCCAGCCTGTATGTTTTCTTTAATTCCCTTTTTTGTTCATTCATATTTGAGAGAGGTACTAAAAGACTGGGAGTCTGGACGTGGTGGCTCACACCTACAATCTCAGTGCTTTGGGAGACTGACGTGGGAGGATCACTTGAGCCCAGGAGCTTAAGACTAGTTTGGGCAACATAGTGAGATCCCACCTTCACAAAAAAATAAATTAAAAAAATAACCAGGTGTGGTGACACCAACCCATAGTCCCAGCTACTTGGGAGGCTGAGGTAAGAGGATCACTTGGGCCCAGGATGTTGAGGCTGAAGTGGGCTGTGATCATCCTGCTGCTTCCTGCATTCTAGCCTGGGTGAAAGAGCAAGACCCTGTCTCAAAAACATAAATAAATAAATATATAAAAAAATAAATAAAAATAAAAAATTGGGAGTTCTTCATGGCCAGGACTTGCCAACTGATAGCTTTTAGGGGGAATGTATGCTGATTCCTAATTGTCATCCTCTACCCCCCATCTTATCTCCCAGTGCAATCATAAATGATGGCTGGAACTACTCCATTTCTCTGGAGGTGAAATCTACATTCTCTTGTCTGAGGTAGATATGTTTGCTTGGGTTCTGCTTAAGGAGATAGGGGAGAGCAGTGTGTTTCAGGGCCTGGAAAATGTGTTCTCTATATAGGCTTTTGGTTGATCTCTGTTTTCAGTCTTGCCTATCAGTCCCACTCTCGGGGGTACCTGGTGTCGGAGTCTAGAACCTTTCCAGGTTGCTGTGGGACAAATTAGCTTCCTTGTTATCGGTGTCCCCCTGACCTCCACTTTGCTTTGCTTTGCTCCATTAATTAACCATTTTCCGTTTACTGTCATTTTCTAATGGAGGTGAATTCTCTTCTGTGGGTAACCCCATTTCTTTTTTTTGTAATTGTGTGTTTATATATCGTTTATTCTTCACTGTATTTCTAGTGGAGCCTCAGGACAAAGAGCAGATGGTGGAAATATGTGTTCAGTGTTCAGTTTTTTTCTGTAAGACATCTGCAACTTGTGTTTTTCACTGAATATCACGTGGACTTAATGCATATAGAGCTACCTTGTTTTTCATGATTGTGCCTACAATTCTATGGAGAAATATAATTTGTGAATTACCTGATGAAATTTTCCTAATTTTGAATCATCCTTGCATTCCTATAATAAATACTGTTAGAATGGCTATGGTAATATTTTATTTTTGCATTTTTATTTCTGTATTAAATAAGATTATAGTTTTGTTTGCTTCCTTTCAGGCTCTTATTTCAGTATCAAGGGTGTGCAGGGCTAACTTGGGAAGCTTTACATCTTTTCTCTAAAACCTAGGATGTAGATCTAGTTTACACAGTAGTTTTCAACTGCAGGAATATTTTGCCTCCCATGGGACATTTGGAAATATCTGGAGACATTTTTGTGGTCACAACTGGTCACGGTCGGGAGGTCTTACTGGCATTCCATGGGTAGAGGGGATGTTACTAAATGTCCCACAACACACCAGGAGAACCCTCACAAAGAATTGTCTGGCCCAAGATATCAATATTGCTGAGGCTGACAAACCCTGGTTTAAATAAATGTCCAATTTGGAGGATGAGTCTTTGTCTTTTTCCTTTTTCTGTGTGTATGGGTCTCCAGATTTTCCATTTCTTCAGTTAGTTTTCATAACTGTAGATTCTTAAAAGAAATGAACACTTCTCCCATACTTCTAAGGTGTTGTAAAGATGTGTAAAGTTTTCACTTTTTGCATCATATTCACATGTGGCTATATGCCCTTTTCTCTTCAAAGGTTTCTTTATCTCGATCAATTATCAGAGGTGTGACAGTTTTATTATCTTAGTCTTTTGAAATAATCCTCCTTGAGTTTTATTTTTTAAATTTAGTGAGTTTTTTTGTCACATTTTCCTTATGTCTTAATTATTTCCCCTTTTTGTTTATTTTGCTTTTTCTAGTTTAGTGGATCAATGTAATTTAAATTGCCTTTTAAACAAACCTGTAATGGTATACATTTTCTTTGGGTGCTGCTTGACTTTAGTGCACAAGTCTTTTTTATTTATTTTTTATTATACTTTAAGTTTAGGGTACATATGCACAACGTGCAGGTTTGTTACATATGTATATGTGTGTAATTTTGATGTGCTGCACCCATTAACTCTTCATTTAAAATTAGGTATATCTCCTAATGCTATCCCTCTCCACTCCCACCACCCCACAACAGGCCCCAGTGTATGATGTTCCCCTTCCTGTGTCCATGTGTTCTCATTGTTCAATTCCCACCTATGAGTGAGAACACGTGGTGTTTGGTTTTTTGTCCTTGTGATAGTTTGCTGAGAATGATGCTTTCTAACTTCATCCATGTCCCTACAAAGGACATTAACTCATCATTTTTTATGGCTGCATAGTATTCCATGGTGTATATGTGCCACATTTTCTTAATCCACTCTATCATTTTTGGACATTTGGGTTGGCTCCAAGTCTTTGCTATCATGAAGAGCGCCGCAATAAACATACATGTGCATGTGTCTTTATAGCGGCATGTTTTATAATCCTTTAGGTATATACCCAGTAATGGGATTGCTGGGTCAAATGGTATTTCTAGTTCTAGATCCCTGAGGAATCACCACACTGACTTCCACAATGGTTGAACTAGTTTACAGCCCCATCAACAATGTAAAAGCATTCCTATTTCTCCAAATCCTCTTCAGCACCTGTTGTTTCCTGACTTTTTAAGGATTGCCATTCTAACTGGTGTGAGATGGTATCTCATTGTGGTTTTCATTTGCATTTCTCTGATGGCCGGTGATGATGAGCATTTTTTCATGTGTCTTTTGGCTGCATAAATGTCTTGTTTTGAGAAGTGTCTGTTCAAATCCTTTGCCCACTTGTTGATGGGGTTGTTTGTTTGTTTCTTATAAATTTGTTTGAGTTCTTTGTAGATTCTGGATATGAGCCCTTTGTCAGATGAGTAGATTGCAAAAATTTTCACCCATTCTGTAGGTTGCCTGTTCACTCTGAGGGTATTTTGTTTTGCTGTGCAGAAGCTCTTTAGTTTAATTAGATCCCATTTGTCAATTTTGGCTTTTGTTACCATTGCTTTTGTTGTTTTAGACATGAAGCCCTTGCCCATGCCTATGCCCTGAATGGTATTGCCTAGGTTTTCTTCTAGGGTTTTTATGGTTTTAGGTCTAACATTTAAGTCTTTAATCCAACTTGAATTAATTTTTGTCTAAGGTATAAGGAAGGGATCCAGTTTCAGCTTACTACATATGGCTAGCCAGTTTTCCCAGCACCATTTCTTATATAGGGAATCTTTTCCCCATTTCTTGTTTTTGTCAAGTTTGTCAAAGATCAGATAGTTGTAGATGAGTGGCATTACTTCTGAGGGCTCCATTCTGTTCCATTGGTCTATATCTCTGTTTTGGTACCAGTACCATGCTGTTTTGGTTACTGTAGCCTTGTAGTATAGTTTGAAGTCACATAGCGTGATGCCTCCAGCTTTGTTCTTTTGGCTTAGGATTGACTTGGTGATGTGGGCTCTTTTTTGGTTCTATATGAACTTTAAAGTAGTTTTTTCCAATTCTGTGAAGAAAGTCATTGGTAGCTTGATGGGGATGGCATTGAATCTATAAATTACCTTGGGCAGTATGGCCATTTTCACGATATTGATTCTTCCTACCCATGAGCATGGAATATTCTTCCATTTGTTTGTATCCTCTTTTATTTCATTGAGCAGTGGTTTGTAGTTCTCCTTGAAGAGGTCCTTCACATCCCTTGTAAGTTGGATTCCTATGTATTTTATTCTCTTTGAAGCAATTGTGAATGGGAGTTCACTCATGATTTGGCTCTCTGTCTTTTATTGGTGTATAAGAATGCTTGTGTTTTTTGCACATTGGTTTTGTATCCTGAGACTTTGCTGAAGTTGCCTATCAGCTTAAGGAGATTTTGAGCTGAGATGATGGGATTTTCTAAATATACAATCATGTCATCTGCAAACAGGGACAATTTGACTTCCTCTTTTCCTAATTGAATACCCTTTATTTCCTTCTCCTGCCTGATTGCCCTGGCCAGAACTTCCAACACTATGTTGAATAAGAGTGGTGAGAGAGGGCATCCCTGTCTTGTGCCAGTTTTCACAGGGAATGCTTCCAGTTTTTGCCCATTCAGTATGATATTGGCTGTGGGTTTGTCATAGATAGCTCTTATTATTTTGAAATACGTCCCATCAATACCTAATTTATTGAGAGTTTTTAGCATGAAGGGTTGTTGAATTTTGTGAAAGACCTTTTCTGCATCTATTGAGATAATCATGTTGTTTTTGTCATTGGTTCTGTTTATATGCTGGATTACATTTATTGATTTGCATATGTTGAACCAGCCTTGCATCCCAGGGATTAAGCCCACTTGATCATGGTGGATAAGCTTTTTGATGTGCTGGTGGACTCAGTTTGCCAGTATTTTATTGAGGATTTTTGCATCAATGTTCATCAAGGATATTGGTCTAAAATTCTCTTTTTTGGTTTTGTCTGTGCCCGGCTTTGGTATCAGGATGATGCTGGCCTCATAAAATGAGTTAGGGAGGATTCCCTCTTTTTCTATTGATTGGAATAGTTTCAGAAGAGATGGTACCAGCTCCTCCTTGTACCTCAGGTAGAACTCGGCTTTGAATCCATCTGGTCCTGGACTTTTTTTGGTTGGTAAGCTATTAATTATTGCCTCAATTTCAGAGCCTGTTATTGGTCTATTCAGAGATTCAACTTCATCCTGGTTTAGTCTTGGGAGGGTGTATGTGTCCAGGAATTTATACATTTCTTTTAGGTTTTCTAGTTTATTTGCATAGAGGTGTTTATAGTATTCTCTGATGGTAGTTTGTATTTCTGTGGGATCTGTGGTGATATCCCCTTTATCATTTTTTATTGTGTCTATTTGATTCTTCTCTCTTTTCTTCTTTATTAGTCTTGCTAGTGGTCTATGAATTTTGTTGATCTTTTCAAAAACCAGCTCCTGGATTCATTGATTTTTTGAAGGGTTTTTTGTGTCTCTATTTCCTTCAGTTCTCCTCTGATCTTACTTATTTCTTGACTTCTGCTAGCTTTTGAATGTGTTTGCTCTTGCTTCTCTAGTTCTTTTAATTGTGATGTTAGGGTGTCAATTTTGGATCTTTCCTGCTTTCTCTTGTGGGCATTTAGTGCTATAAATTTCCGTCTGCACACTGCTTTGAATGTGTCCCAGAGATTCTGGTATGTTGTGTCTTTGTTCTTGTTGGTTTCAAAGAACATCTTTATTTCTGCTTCCATTTCGTTATGTACCCAGTAGTCATTCAGGAGCAGGTTGTTCAGTTTCCATGTAGTTGAGTGGTTTTGAGTGAGTTTCTTAATCCTGAGTTCTAGTTTGATTGCACTGTGGTCTGAGAGACAGTTTGTTATAATTTCTGTTCTTTTACATTTGCTGAGGAGTGCTTTACTTCCAACTATGTGGTCAACTTTGGAGTATGTGTGGTGCTGAAAAGAATGTATATTCTGTTGATTTGGGGTGGAGAGTTCTGTAGATGTCTATTAGGTCCGCTTGGTGCAGAGCTGAGTTCAGTTCCTGGATATCCTTGTTAACTTTCTGTCTCATTGATCTGTCTAATGTTGACAGTGGGGTGTTAAAGTCTCCCATTATTATTACATGGGTGTCTAAGTCTCTTTGTAGGTCTCTAAGGACTTGCTTTATGAATCTGGGTGTTCCTGTATTGGGTGCATATATATTTAGGATAGTTAGCTCTTTTTGTTGAATTGATGCCTTTACCATTATGTAGTGGCCTTCTTTGACTCTTTTGATCTTTGTTCATTTACAGTCTGTTTTATCAGAGACTAGGATTGCAACCCCTGCCTTTTTTTGTTTTCCATTTGCTTGGTAGATCTTCCTCCATCCCTTTATTTTGAGCCTATGTGTGTCTCTGCATGTTAGATGGGTTTCCTGAATGCAGCACACTGATGAGTCTTGACTCTTTATCCAGTTTGCCAGTCTGTGTCTTTTAATTGGGGCATTCAGCCCATTTACATTTAAGATTAATATTGTCATGTGTGAATTTGATCCTGTCATTATGATGTTAGCTGGTTATTTTGCCCATTAGTTGATGCAGTTTCTTCCTAGCCTCGAAGGTCTTTACAATTTGACATGTTTTTGCAGTGGCTGGTACCGGTTGTTCCTTTCTATGTTTAGCGCTTCCTTCAGGAGCTCTTTTAGGGCAGGCCTGGTGGTGACAGAATCTCTCAGCCTTTGCTTGTCTGTAAAGTATTTTATTTCTCCTTCATGTATGAAGCTTAATTTGGCTGGATATGAAATTCTGGGTTGAAAATTCTTTTCTTTAAGAATGTTGAATATTGGCCCCCACTCTCTTCTGGCTTGTAGAGTTTCTGCCAAGAGATCCGCTGTTAGTCTGATGGGCTTCCCTTTGTGGGTAACCCGACCTTTCTCTCTGGCTGCCCTTAACATTTTTTCCTTCATTTTAACTTTGGTGAATCTGACAATTATGTGTCTTGGAGTTGCTCTTCTCGAGGAGTATCTTTGTGGCATCCTTTGTATTTCCTGCATTTGAATGTTAGCCTGACTTGCTAGATTGGGGAAGTTCTCCTGCATAATATCCTACAGAGTGTTTTCCAACTTGCTTCCATTCTCCCCGTCACTTTCAGGTACACCAATCAGATGTAGATTTGGTCTTTTCACATAGTCCCATATTTCTTGGAGGCTTTGTTCATTTCTTTTTATTCTTTTTTCTCTAAACTTCTCTTCTCACTTCATTTCATTCATTTGATCTTCAGTCACTGATACCCTTTCTTCCAGTTGATTGAATTGGCTACTGAGGCTTGTGCATTCATCACATAGTTCTTGTGCCATGGTTTTCAGCTCCATCAGGTCCTTTAAGGACTTCTCTACATTGGTTATTCTAGTTATCCGTTCGTCTAATTTTTTTTCAAAGTTTTAAACTTCTTTGCCATTGGTTCAAACTTCCTCCTTTAGCTCGGAGTAGTTTGATCTTCTGAAGCCTTCCTCTCTCACCTCGTCAAAGTCACTCTCCACCCAGCTTTGTTCCATTGCTGGTGAGGAGCTGCTTTCTTTTGGAGGAGAAGAGGTGCTCTGATTTTTGGAGTTTCCGGTTTTTCTGCTGTTTTTTCCCCATCTTTGTGGTTTTATCTACCTTTGGTCTTTGATGATGGTGACGTACAGATGGGTTTTTGGTGTGGATGTCCTTTCTGTTTGTTAGTTTTCCTTCTAACAGTCAGGACCCTCAGCTGCAGGTCTGTTGGAGTTTACTGGAGGTCCACTTCAGACCCTGTTTGCCTGGGTGTCAGCAGCGTTGGCTGCAGAAAAGCAGATATTGGTGAACTGCAAATGCTGCTGCCTGATTGTTCCTCTGGAAGTTTTGTCTCAGAGGAGTACCTGGCAGTATGAGGTGTCAGTCTGCCCCTACTGGGGGGGTGCCTCCTAGTTAGGCTAATCTGAGAACAATAAAACAATTTGAAACAAAAATGTCTCCAGATCTCTTAAAAGGAAGCTAGGGCAGCTTTCTGTAGTGCACTTCCCAAAAATGGGCTGATTTACCTCAAGAGGTAGGGATTCTAGCCTACAAGGGATACATACAGGAGAAAAAAATCAGAAAAAGAAAAGAGATTTAAATAATAAAATGAAAATAACAGTAATCCCTCATTATAAAGGAAATCATTCTTTTTGTAATAATTTGGATGACAAACATTAAGAAAAATCTTTAATTTGCCACTCAAAACATTCTGGTTTGTTGCTTTTTATATGTTTTTCTGCACATAAACCTTTTAAAAAGTAGAATTGCAGTATGTAGTCTTTTGTCACTTACTATATTTTGGGCATATTTCTGTGGCAGTAAATATATCCTGGAATCATCATTTTTAATAGCTGGATGTATATTAAGTTAATCACTGCCACCCCAGAGGTGAATTTTCTTATACATACTTTTTTTTAATTATACTTTAAGTTTTAGGGTACATGTGCACTTTATGCAGGTTAGTTACATATGTATACATGTGCCATGCTGGTGCACTGCACTCACTAACTCATCATCTAGCATTAGGTATATCTCCCGATGCTATCCCTCCCCCCTCCCCCCAGCCCACAACAGTCCCCAGAGTGTGATATTCCCCTTCCTGTGTCCATGTGACCTCATTGTTCAATTCCCATCTATGAGTGAGAATATGCGGTGTTTGGTTTTTTGTTCTTGCAATAGTTTACTGAGAATGATGATTTCCAATTTCATCCATGTCCCTACAAAGGACATGAACTCATCAATTTTTATGGCTGCATGGTATTCCATGGTGTATATGTGCCACATTTTCTTAATCCACTCTATCATTTTTGGACATTTGGGTTGGTTCCAAGTCTTTGCTATTGTGAATAGTGCCGCAATAAACATACGTGTGCATGTGTCTTTATAGCAGCATGATTTATAGGCCTTTGAGTATATACCCAGTAATGGGATGGCTGGATCAAATGGTATTTCTAGTCCTAGATCCCTGAGGAATCGCCACACTGACTTCCACAATGGTTGAAGTAGTTTACAGTCCCACCAACAGTGTAAAAGTGTTCCTATTTCTCCACATCCTCTCCAGCACCTGTTGTTTCCTGACTTTTTAATGATTGCCATTCTAACTGGTGTGAGATGGTATCTCATTGTGGTTTTGATTTGCATTTCTCTGATGGCCAGTGATGATGAGCATTTTTTCATGTGTTTTTTGGCTGCATAAATGTCTTCTTTTGAGAAGTGTCTGTTGATGTCCTTTGCCCAATTTTGATGGGGTTGTTTGTTTTCTTCTTGTAAATTTGTTTGAGTTCTTATACATACATTTTAATGGGCTCGAGCAAATATTATTGGACTGAATTCATAGAAGTAGAATTTCTGGAGGAAAATAATTTTTAGGGTTTTTAATAGAAATTTTCAAATCATTCTCCAGGAAAAGTGACTCCGGTTATACTCCCACCAACAAGGACAGAGCTCCAGGTTCCCCTTTCCATTTATCATCTTTCCTGCCTTTATACAGAAAATCTCATTGTTTTCATGACATTTCTTTGATTTCTTGTGCTTTTGAATCTTTGTATATGCCATTGGCCATTTTTATTCTTATGAGAAGTGCCAGTTTCTCCATTGCCCATTTCAGTTGAAAATCATTTGTTTTTTTTTCTCAGTAATTTTAAAGATTTATTTATAGGCTAAGGATACAAGCCTTTTATCTGTCATTGAGGTGACAAAACTTTCACCCGGTAAGTAATTTGTCATTTCATTTTTTCTTCCTTCTTTTATTTTTCCTTTCCTCTCCCTTTCTTTCTTTTTCTTTTTCTTTTCCTTGTTTCTTTCTTCTTCTTCCTTCCTTACTTTCCTTTTCTTTCTTGCTTTCCATTCTTCATTTTTTTCTTTTCTCTCCATCCCTCTCTCTTTCTCTTTCTTCTCTCTTTCCTCTTTCTTTCTTTTTCTTTCTTTCCCTCTCTTTCTTCCTTTCCTTTCTTTCTCTTTCTTTGTTCCCTCCCTCCTTCCTTCCTTTTTTTCTCTTTCTTTCACTAGCCAAGCTCCAATGTCACATTTCACTTAATTTTTATCCTGCCAAATTTGAAGCCTCTTAACTCAGTGATTTTAGTGTAAAACAGGAGCAGGAGAAAATGTAATTATCTAAGTCTCGCTCTGTCACCCAGGCTGGAGTGCAGTGCCATAATCATAGCTACTGCAGCCTCCAAATCTTGGCCTCAAGCAATTTCCCACCTCAGCCTTCCAGGTAGCTAGGACTACAGCTGTGTGCCACCACACCTAGCTAATGTTTAAAAATTTTTGTGGAGATGTGAATTCGCTATGCTGCCCAGGCTAGTCTTGAACTCCTGACTTCAAGTAATCCTCCCACCTCAGCTTGCCAAAGTGCTGGGATTGCAGGCGTGAGCTCCTGCTCCTGGCCAAGAGTTTAGTTTTGTTTGCTAGTGGTGTTCTTGGTATCTTTTCATATTTGAGGCTTTGGGCTAGTGCTGAAGTATTACACTCACCATCCGCTGTCCAGGACTTTTGTTTTATATTGAACCGATGGAACTGTTTAGTTCTGCATCTTTGCAGGTATACAGAATGTGCCTACCAGGAATCTGCTTTATATCCATTGAAAGCAAGAAATAATACAGTAAAACTTTGCCTGGCTAGAGGCTTTGAAAGAATGGCATATTCTGGTTTTATTCTATTAACTTGGAAGTATGAAGGTTAAAAAAAATTCAAAACTTAAATTTCCTGTTGAATACAATTTGAAAATATGGCCAATGATTGCACTTTTCTTCTCTAGTAAGGTTGGACATTCTGATCTACTTGGTGTTTTATTATAGAACTGCTAGTGTGCCTGAGTGTTACATTGTGAAGATACTTTTTTAAAACTTGCGATGCAAGAGGATGAAAATGGTTTTGTAGGAGATCAGGCTGGATGAGAACGGACACTTGTAAACATACGTTTTAGACTAAATCTCTGATTGCCACTTGTTTTCTTATGGAACTCATAAAAGTAAAACACATTGGATGGAGGGTGGGAGCAGGAAGGAGATTCTCGTCTTTTAATTGCATGTCATTGTTTCATAACAAGGCAGAACATATGGCAACCCTGGCTTTGGACCTACAGAAGTAAACACATTTTACTAACTGCTGTATGCCAGAGGTTCTTGAACACCTGGAGGGATTGCTGAACCCTACTCCAGAGTTTCTGATTCACCAGGTCCAGGGTGGGGCCTGAGAATTTGCACTTATAAAAAGGTCTCAGGTGCTGCTGGTGCTGCTAGTCCATAGACTACATTTTGAGAACCACTCTTGTCTATTAAGTGTAAATTGTAGAACTCTAGAAAAAAGCTTAGTTTGGTCTGGGATAAGAAGCACACAGGTTATGGAGAAAATCATGAAAGATTCAACCCTTGATCCCAGCCTAGTGTGGATTTCAGGTAACAAGCAATACACAGTGACATAACACAATTCTTGGTTTTCATGATTGCAAGTCATAGCCAGATATCAAGTGAGAAATTCAGTTTCATTTGCAAGGCTTAGAGAGGCCAGGTGATTCTAGAAAAATGGGCCTTGTATTTGTTTTAAACCAGTAAAGAGCTTTAAGTGCTTATTAAATTGAAAGCTTTGTGCTCTTACTTATTTTGTATTTTATTTTATTTTATTTCTTTTGAGATGGAGTCTTGCTCTGTCACCCAGGCTGGAGTGCAGTGGCATGAGCTTGGCTCACTGCAACCTCCATTTCCTGGGTTCAAGTGATTCTCCTGCCTCAGCCTCCCAAATAGCTGGGATTACAGGCACCCACCACCACACCTGGCTAGCTTTTGTATTTTTAGTAGAGATAGGGTTTCTTCATGTTGGCCAGGCTGGTCTCGAACTCCTGATCTCAGGCAATCCACACACCTCGGCCTCCCAAAGTGATGGCATTACAGGCGTGAGCCACCCCACCTGGCCCAAAAGCTTTGTGTTTTTAAAGATATTAGACATGTTTCTTGTTCTAAAAAAAATCTTAACAATAATGTAGGAGGATAAGACAAACAATTTTCCAAAAAAGAGAAATCATTGTGATTATTTTATCCTCCTGGAATGTTGGATACTATAGTCTGCTTCATTAATCAAGCATGCTATGGATTTTCCATTTTTATATGATCTACATCTCAAAAGGTAAAATGTACCAGGTCATGGCCCCCAACCCAGCCACAGATCCCCTCTGATGACAAGACCGGTGCCAGAGTCCATACTAATCCTGTGGCATACCAGACTGGGCCCCCCAACCCCAGCACCTCTGGGCTCCCCCCACCAAAGTCTTCTCAGTCAGCCCCACCCCTTCAGCAAGCCACTCAGTCCTTGCCCTTGCCAATCACCACAGGGTGAATTTGGGAGGGTGACTCCTGGGGCTCCTTGCTCCATACTTGGCCATCACCTTCTGCTGCCCCAAGCCCAACCTCCCTGGGCTCTTTGGGCTTGTGTCTCCCAGGACCTGGGTCCCCCAGCCCCAGGCCCTGCCCTCACCAGTCATCCCTGGGTGACTTTGGGCTGGTGACTCCTGGGGCTCCCTACTGCAGACTCTGCCCTCCCCTCCTGCTGCCGCAAGCTCAACCTCCCTGGGCTTCTTGGGCTGGTGTCTCCGAGGACCTGGGTCAAAACCCTGTATTTCCCTCCCCCATCATGGAGTGGCGACTCCGGCATCGCACTGATGTCCCCTCCCCTGGGAGGAGTGGAATGCAGTGATGTCACAGTGCCCCTAGGAACTGTCATTACTGCTGCAAGACCGGCCTTTGATCTTACAACCCAGTCCCCTAAGTTTTCTCACCCCATTTCTGGTTCCTCTGGTTGCAGCCTAAATTTCCAGCTGGAAGAGGAGTGGAGACTATGGGACGTATGAGCAAGAAGTTTCAGGCTGCCTTACTCCCTTAACAATGTCTAATTGACAGTGGGAAAAGCTTACACTTCCCCTGTGAACTCAAAATGTTGACAGTATCTCTGGGTGGCAATGGGAGAATGGGTTTGGTTTGGTTTTCTCCCAGGCTTCTACTTTCCAGAGAGACTTTGACAATTTTTTCTGAGTTCTCCACAGTTCTGGGACCAGACTGCCCTTCAGTCAGTGGTCTCTGAGGTGAGATTTGCCCATCTTCTGTGGAATAGATCTTGGGAAACTGAACTTGACAGCTTGAATCTTCTCATATCATCTCAACCTGGGGTACTTTGAGTGCTACAGGATAAATGTGGGACATCTTTCTGAAGCATCATTTTCCCTTGATTCTCTTGAGAAAAAATATTAATGTTCTTTTTTTTAAAATTTTTATTATTATACTTTAAGTTTTAGGGTACATGTGCACAATGTGCAGGTTAGTTACATATGTATACATGTGCCATGCTGGTGTGCTGCACTCATTAACTCGTCATTTAGCATTAGGCATATCTCCTAGTGCTATCCCTCCACCCTCCCCCCACCTCACAACAGTCCCCAGTGTGTGATGTTCCCCTTCCTGTGTCCATGTGTTCTCGTTCAATTCCCACCTATGAGTGAGAATATACAGTGTTTGGTTTTTTGTTCTTGCAATAGTTTACTGAGAATGATGATTTCCAATTTCATCCATGTCCCTACAAAGGACATGAACTCATCATTTTTTATGGCTGCATAGTATTCCGTGGTGTATATGTGCCACATTTTCTCAATCCAGTCTATCATTGTTGGACGTTTGGGTTGGTTCCCAGTCTTTGCTATTGTGAATAGTGCCACAATAAACATACGTGTGCATGTGTCTTTATAGCAGCATGATTTATAATCCTTTGCATATATACCCAGTAATGGGATGGCTGGGTCAAATGGTATTTCTAGTCCTAGATCCCTGAGGAATTGCCACACTGACTTCCACAATGGTTGAACTAGTTTACAGTCCCACCAACAGTGTAAAAGTGTTCCTATTTCTCCACAACCTCTCCAGCACCTGTTGTTTCCTGACTTTTTAATGATTGCCATTCTAACTGGTGTGAGATGGTATCTCATTGTGGTTTTGATTTGCATTTCTCTGATGGCCAGTGACGGTAAGCATTTTTTCATGCGTTTTTTGGCTGCATAAATGTCTTCTTTTGAGAAGTGTCTATTCATGTCCTTCACCCATTTTTTGATGGGGTTGTTTTTTTCTTGTAAATTTGTTTGAGTTCATTGTAGATTCTGGATATTAGCCCTTTGTCAGATGAGTAGGTTGCAAAAATTTTCTCCCATTTTGTAGGTTGCCTGTTCACTCTGATGGTAGTTTCTTTTGCTGTGCTGAAGCTCTTTCGTTTAATTAGATCCCATTTGTCAATTTTGGCTTTTGTTGCCATTGCTTTTGCCTCATTTCAGAGAGAAGTCTGGTATACGCTTGGAAACCTATGTGTCTATCATCCCTAAGAACATTAATGTTTATTGA
The DNA here is from genome assembly GCF_000001405.40 of Homo sapiens. Classification (NCBI taxonomy): domain Eukaryota; kingdom Metazoa; phylum Chordata; class Mammalia; order Primates; family Hominidae; genus Homo; species Homo sapiens. Next base: position 25,453,999 of record NC_000024.10, read on the forward strand.
GAGTTTAATAAACATTAATGTTCTTAGGGATGATAGACACATAGGTTTCCAAGCGTATAGCAGACTTCTCTCTAAAATGAGGCTTGGGTTGTCCTCTTTCTGATAAATTCCCAGATTTAACAGAAAAGCTGCCTTCTGCCATGAGGACACATTGATATGAAAGTGTGAGAGGTACTCGTGCACTTCTTTACACTAACAGACATGTGAGGATGTATGACTCTAAACTACACGGCCTACAGTTCCTGCCTGCTTAATGTTTACTTTTCTACCACTGTCCCTGGTTTTGGTCCCTGGAAGCTGCTGATTCATGGCAAAACCCCAGAGCTTGGAGTCAGAAGACTGAGTTTAAGTTCCAGTATTGCCTTTTTCTTTCCTTCTTTTTTTTTTTCTATCCATGATATCAATCACTCTCAGTCACTAAATGATTGTGACAACATCTTGTACAGTTGTTGGTGGCATTAAACCAGATGGTGTATAAGAGTATTTTGTCAAAACTGTAAAGCAGGATGTGGCTATAGGGGCTGATTGTTCTCATGAGTGTTGCTGCTCTTCTTTCCCACAGTTAAAAGAATATTGGCAGAGGAAGAGCCCTGGCATTCCAGCAGGAGCTAACAGGAAAAAGAAAATCAATGGCAGTAGCCCTGACACAGCCACTTCTGGTGGTTACCACTCACCTGGGGATGTGAGTCTTGGCTGGCCAGGGTCCTGGGGACAGGGGGCCTAAGGGGCAGTAGGGGGTAATTTTTAAGATTGTAGATGGACTATTGGGTACTGGTTAAGAATTCTGGGTTTGAATCCTGCCTCTCCGTCTGCTAATGATTGATTAGGGATTGATTAGCATATGATTTAGGGCAAGTTGCTTGAGGTCTTTGGGTCTCTGTTTTCACATCTGCATAATAGAGGTGGTATTTTTGACTTCCATTTGTGAAGTTTAAATCAGATTTGTTATTGCTTATATGTGAATCCTTAGTACATGGCCTGCTGTAAACACCCAGGACACCCAGGAAATGGTTGTTGTTTGATTTTCCTCATCCCCAGTCTCAAGGGGAAGCCAGTTAATGAGAAGAGACACTTGCCATCAGGCTGTCCCTTTAGGAGTCACTGAAAGGGCCCCAGGGTGGGATGGTGGGGAGATAAGAACCATGAGAGAAGTTGGCACAAAGGAGTTATGGGACAAAGGGTCCAAGATAGGCAGAAAAGAAGCTTTTGCCAGTTGATGGGGAAGAAAGGAAATCAGAGGGCTTAGACAGTGAGGGGGGACAGAACATCTCCATGTGCACTCTCATCTCTTGCAGTCAGCAACAGGTATCTACGGGGAAGGCCATGCATCATCTGCTACCCTGGAGGATCTGGAGGTAAGAGGCCCTGGGCTGAGGTGCAGTGACCCTGCAGGCCAGCCCTCCAACCTCCTCCCACAGCAGGGGCTTGTTGCCCCTCTGCCAGCTGAGACAACCCACACCCTCCACCAGCCCTAATGATTGTTCTCTCTACCCCTCCCCACAATCTTCCTCCAACTCCTCCTCTCTGCATGCACCTCACAGCCAGTACCGAGAACTAGCAGTGGCCCTGCACTCAAGCTCCGCAATAATCAGTCAACTCAGTGAAAACATCAATTCACTGGTAAGAGTCCAGTGGGGTCCCCTGATTCCAGCTGGTCAATCCTGGACTCCAGTTTTCCCTTGGTGCCCTGAAGAAAGGGGCCAGGAGCCCCTGATGCCAAGGGCAAATGGGGAGCTGGGGCACCCAGGCCTCACCTGGAGGGACCCCAGAGCACAGAACATGCAGCATGGCTCTTCTGCACTGCCCTCTTTGCTGACTCTCTCTTCTCCAGACACCCTTGCTCTAGTTGTTGCCACACATGCCCTGGGGTTGTCATCTCTCAGGGAAGCACTAGCCTGACTGGTTGTCAGAGGCCCGTATTTCTGCCCTGCCTCAGCCCCTAATTTGCTTTTTGAGTCTGGACAAGCCATCTCTCCTCCTTAGGCTCATGTTTCTGGAGGAGGTAGAGAGTATCAAAGGTCACTGTTAGCTCTGAGATTTAAAGGCCCCTAGAATGGAAACCTCAGGGCCAAGGGCTCCTGTCTGTCCTTTGCTGTCTTATATCTCTGCTATGAAGAATTGTACGTGCTCAGTAAATGTTTGTTGAATGAATGCACCTTTCTCAATCACAAGGTGGCAGAAGGGGGGTGGGACTTTCTCAAACTCTGTCTCTAGAGGTTCAGCAGCCCCTCT